>NC_000016.10:22122849-22425879 GCF_000001405.40 Homo sapiens
GGGATCACTCTCTCTAAGGCTCTCTACTTCCAGTTCCAGACAAGGCAATGACCTGGTGGTGGTGGTGGTATTGGGGTGTGTGTGTGGTGGAGATGTGGGAGGGAGTTCGATCCGACCTCAAATGTGTTCAGAGTCCACTTCACTCTCCTGCACCTGATTTGGAGAACCAGTGCCCAAATTAAACTACATGTACTTCTGTTCGCCTGCTCACCCTCCTGCCCATGCCTGAGTATAGAAGGCAATGATACAATTTGAATGGCACGACGGGACAGTGAAGAACATTCATGTGGACCCACCCTTCCTCTATAAGTACCAGGTCAGTGATGGGTTCAATCAGTCAGAAAATGGGGTGCAGAAAGTGGGGACGGGAGGAAGGTTCCCTGGGCTATGAAGTCACCAAGCCATTGACTCAACTCCCTCTTGTAAAGAGGGACTGTGTGCTCCACCTACAGGCCTCCTGAAGCTTTGGCCATCTCCTCCCCAAGCAGGGACCTCAATGCCTTTAAAAAAAAAAAAGGCTTCTAATCCTCTGGGGAAAGATCTGCTTCCTTCCCCATTTGATGCAATGAAATACCGTGTGACTCTTCCCTTCCTGTTCTTGTGGTGAATTTGTTCATGATTTAGTGGAATGATTATACTGCCTGGATTCCCAGGGACTTGACACACCATTCCCTGAAGCCCACCCAGGTACACGTACTTCCCCTCAGGCCCCTTGGTTGCTCAGCCTTTGAGCAGCCGCTCACTGTGGCCCACACTTCTGCAGCAACAGCTCAGCAGAGCTATGCGGATGTATGAGAGGCGGATTGAGTGGCTCTCCCTGGCCAGCAGAAGAATCTGGGGCACAGTCTGTGAAAAAAGGTACCTTTCTTAAGCAGGGTTCTTATCCTTCATGGGTCTGGTGTGTGACGTGACATTTATCCGCCTCATGAATTCCCTGTTGGTAGCATCAGAAGCCATCACTTAGATTAGGGATTAGGAATCTCTCAGCAGAACCCCCAGAGGAGGAAAAAGTCACCAACACCATCACTGATGTCAATAATGTCATCATTGTGTCACTGAGCATTTTTGCAATCCCAGCACTTGGGGAGGCCAAAGCGGGAGGATCGCTTGAGGCCAAAAGTTTGAGACCAGACTGGGCAACATAGTGAGACCCTGTCTCTACAAAAAATAAAATAATTAGCTGGGCATGGTGGTGTACACCTGTAGTCCCAGCCACTTAGGAGGCTGAGGCAGGGGCAGGCGGGTCGCTTGAGTCCAGGGGCTCAAGGCTGCAGTGGGCTATGATCGTGCCACTGTACTCAAGCGTGGGCAACAGAGCAAGTCCCTGTGTCTACCACAAAAAAAAAAAAAAAAAAAAAAAAATCACACCTCCTCCCTGGCCAGAGCAAATGGGTCATGGATGAATAGATCCTCCCACCCAGCCAGAGGTGTGATGTTCTGATTGGCCAGGGTCAAATGCCCATCCCTGGAGCTTGGAGTAGGCTCAGCTTCACACAACTCAAATTGACTGATAGAGGCAGAGGTGTTTCCCAAAGGAAAATCAGGATGCTGTTGCCAGATGAGGTAATGGATGCTGAGTTGGGAGAAACAATAGTTATCTATTATGGCCATTATTATGATTCCATACCTTGTTTGATGAATTAACATTTACAAAGTATTATATTTTGTAATACTATACATCTATTATTATTATTATTATTATTATTATTATTATTATTATTATTATTAGAGACAGAGTCTTGCTATGTTGCCCAGGCTGGTCTCAAACTCTTGGCCTCAAGCGATTCTGCTGCCTCAGCCTCCCATCATGTTAGGATTGCAGGCATGAGCCACCGCACCTGGCCACTATACATCTATTATGTAATTTTGTTCTTGAAGCAACCCTATGATGAGTCTTACAAGTAGTTTATGGTTAAACTACTTAAACAAAGATCAGAGAGGTTTTGTGACTTGCCTAAGGCCACACAGCTGGTAGGAAGCGGAACTTGAACCAAGGTCTTCTGACTGTAAATCCCATAGATTTTCTTTTGCTATCCATAGCTGTCTCAAAATGAGAATGGGGCAGAAGGTGGGAATATAAGTTTGAAGTTCTAAAATTAGAGAAAGAACAAATAAGGCTAGAGATCTTAAAACAGAAAGAGAGCAAACAAAAAGATAAAAATATTTTCCAAGAGGCCCAGATACACCTAATTCCTTATGTTACTTGCTCACCTGGTTTTCGTTTTCCCTACGAAGACCCCAACCTATGGCGGGCATAGTGGCTCATTCCTGTATTTCCAGTACTTTGAGAGGCCAAGGCAGGAGGATCACTTGAGGCCAGGAGTTCAAAACCAGCCTGAGCAACATGGGCAGACCTGGTCTCTACAAAAAAAAAAAAAAAATTTAAATTAGCCAGGCATGGTGATGTGTGCCTGTGGTCCCAGCAACTTGGGAAGCTGAGGCAGGAGGATCTCTTGAGCCCAGGAGGTTGAGGCTTCAGTGAGCCACGATCGCACCATTGCACTCCAGCCTGGGCAACAGAGAGAGACCGTCTAAATATATATATATTTGTTGTGTGTGTTTTGTTTTGTTTTGTTTTGTTTTGTTTTGTTTGAGACGGAATCTCGCTCTGTCACCCAGGCTAGAGTGCAGTGGCGCGATCTTGGCTCACTGCAAGCTCTGCCTCCCGGGTTCATGCCATTCTCCTGCCTCAGCCTCCCAAGTAGCTGGGACTACAGTCGCCCGCCACCACGCTCGGCTAATTTTTTTTATTTTTAGTAGAGACAGGGTTTCACCATGTTAGCCAGGATGGTCCCAATCTCCTGACCTTGTGATCCGCCCGCCTCGGCCTCCCAGAGTGCTGGGATTACAGGCGTGAGCCACCGCGCCCGGCCTTATATATTTGTTCTTGAAGCAACCTTATGATGAGTCTTACAAGTAGTTTATAGTTAAACTACTTAAACAAAGATCAGAGAGGATTTGTGACTTGCCTAAGGCAATATACATATATATTTTTTCATATTCTGACCTATAAAAATATTGAATGCTAATTCTTTAAAATAAATCTGTGAAAATCATTATATGAAGCGCCTACCACTTAAACCATCTCCACCATGAGGCTTTATTCCATTAAAGCACCTCCTGGGAGAGAAGGGGGGCTTCCATGACCCCCTTAATCTACCATTGTAAGCCCACATCCGTTGGCCTCAAACCACAGAGAAGATTTTGGCCAGCTATGAATTTGGCATGCAAAATTCCCCTGGAAAAAAACTTTAAATAGTAAAATGGAACAAAATAAACATTATCTCAGAGATTCGGTTCTCCTCTTAAAGCTCGTGTTTCCTTTTAGGGTGGTTGTACTGCTCGATATCTCTGCGACCAATTCCATGTACATTATTCATATCCAGCACTCCCTGCGGCTGCTGCTGGAGGAGCAGTTATCCAACAAGGACTGTTTCAACCTCATCGCGTATGTGTCTCCTGGCTCCTGGGGGCAAGGGTGGGTCGTGTGTGTTTGGATGCCGTCATTGGGCTGAGGCTTTGGACGTTGCTGGACGATAGATATTGACGTCATGGTCACCCGGCTTCCTAGGATAGCCATCGGTTTATCTGATTTGGATGATCTTGTTTGGGGCATTGAATAATTAAATAGTTGCAGGACTGTCCTACTGGGGCGAAGGTGGTAAGTGACCCCATAACACACTGCTTGATCAACCAGGATAAAGTAATTCAGCCCATTGGCCCATTTGGCTTCCAAGATGAAATAGGAAGAAGAGGAAAGGAAGGACCCCAGCCATGCCCTAGTGTCAGTCCTCAGCCTGTCTCCAGCAAGCCATACCTTTTCAAACATTTAGGATTCCAATTCTGAATTTAAATTAAAACTGTATATATAAATTTGGCCAGGTGCAGTGGCTCACGCCTGTAATCCCAGCACCTTGGGAGGCCGAGACAGGAGGATCGCTTGCATCCAGGAGTTTGAGACCAGCCTGGGCAACATAGTGAGACCCCATCTGTGTTTTAATAAATAAATAAAATTATATGTATACATTTAATTATGTGTATATATATATAAATGGTATGCAATTTTTAAAACTGTATAATTTAGAATTAAATACAACAAAGATCAGAGAGGTTTTGAAGATTTGAACTTACTTCAAAATTATATATAGTTTTAAAATTATATATAGTATATATAGTTTTAAAATGTTAATATAGTTTTAAAATTATATTTTATATATAATTAAATATAGTACATATCTAGCATTTTTAATTTAAAAACTATATATATAGTTTGTTTTTGGTTTTGTTTTTGTTTTGAGATGGAGTCTCGCTCTGTTGCCCTGACTGGAGTGCAGTGGCTTGATCTAAGTTCACTGCAGCCTCCTCCTCCCAGATTCAAGCAATTCTTCTGCCTCAGCCTCCCAAGTAGCTGGGTCTACAGGCACACACCACCACACCTGGCTAATCTTTGTATTTCTAGTAGAGATGGGGTTCACCATGTTGGCCAGGCTGATCTTGAACTCCTAACCTCAAGTAATCCGCCTGCCTCAGCCTCCTAAAGTGCTGGGATTACAGGCTTGAGCCACTGAGCTCAGCCATAAAAACTATATATATAGTTTTTTAAATTGCATACTATTTTAACTAATAAGGGAAGACAGAGAGAAAAGGAACCCACTTAAAGTGTAGGTTTTTATACAACCTCATACCAAATAGGGCATTTTCTAAACCTATTAAGTCAACAGTTAGTATTAGATATTATTCTGTACCAGAGCCCAGTCATTCCTTAATAAACTCTATATAAAAATATTTATGGTAACATTATAGATAAGGAATTTTATTTATTTATTTACCCATTCATTCATTCAGCAATGTTTCATTGACAATCTGCATGAACCAGTCCCTGTGCCAGGCACTGGGGAGATGGACATGAAGACACACAAAACTCATCCTCGAGGAACTCATGGCCTAACAGTGGGAGACAGGGATGTTAAGGAGTGCTGTTAAGCGTTTTCTATAGAAATGAGTAGATAGCTAGGTATGGGACTGCAAGGTATCAGTGGCAGGATCAGTCCATTCCACTTGGGTGGAGTAGGCTCAGGACATCTTCATGGAGCAAGTGCCCCTTTTGCTGAGTCTTGATGAATAAGTAGATGTTTGCCTAGCACCTGGGAATGATGGGGTCCTAGGGAGAAAGGGTGTTCCAGGTAGAGGCAACAGCATGAGCAGAGGTGTGACGTATGCTAGAACCTTAGGGACCATCAGGTAGTTCAGCATGGATATGGGGCTGAGAGGGAGAGATTGTGCATGACAGAAATACCAGGTGATGGAGGATTGATATAGGCCATGCTCACGAGTTTCCTGTGCTATAGGATATAAAGGCACTGGAGGATTGCAAGCAAGGTACAAATACAATCGGGTTTGCGTCTTCAAATGCTCAAGCAATGCTGTGAAGGAGGAACTGAAGGGATGTAATACTGGAGGGAAGAGACCAGTTTGACTATTGCAATTGCCTGCCCTAGTGTTGAGTGGGCTTGAGCCAAGGCAATGTGAATGGAAGAAAGAGTGCGTGGCCAGTAAGAATGCCATATTAAAGTCAAAAAATAACAGGTGCTGGCGAGGTAGCAGAGAAAAAGGAGCACTTACACACTTGGTGGGAGTGTAAATTAGTTCAACCATTGTGGAAAGCAGTGTGATGATTCCTCAAAGACCTAAAAACAGAACTACCATTCAAAGTAGCAATCCCATCCCTGGGTACATACCCAAAGGAATATAAGTCATTCTGTCATAAAGACAAATGCATGTATATGTGCATTGCAGCACTATTCACAATAGCAACAGATGGAATCAATGTAAATGCCCAGCAGTGGTAGACTGGATAAAGAAAATGTGGTATGCATATACCACGGAATACTATGCAGCCATAAAAAAGAATGAGATCATGTTCTTTGCAGGAACATGGATGGAGCTGGAGGCCATAATCCTTAGCAAACTAACACAGGAATAGAAAATCAAATACAGCATGTTCTCACTTATAAGTGGGAGCTAAATGATGAGAACACATGGACACATAAAGGGGAACAACACACACTGGAGCCTATTGGAGGGTGAGGGTGAGAGAAAGGAAATCAGGAAAAATAACTGATGGGTACTAGGCTTAATACCTGGGTGATGAAATAATCTATATAACAAACCCCCATGGCAGGAGTTTACCTATATAACAAACCTGCACACGTACCCCTGAGCCCAAAATAAAAGTTAATCAAGAAAGAGGTGCATGGAGGCTGGGTACAGTGGCTCACGCTTGTAATCCCAGCACTTTGAGAGGCCGAGGCGGGCGGATCACGAGGTCAGGAGATTGAGACCATCCTGGCTAACACGGTGAAACCCCATCTCTACTAAAAATACAAAAAATTAGCCAGGCGTGGTGGTGGGCACCTGTAGTCCCAGCTATTCGGGAGGCTGAGGTAGGAGAATGGCATGAACCTGGGAGGTGGAGCTTGCAGTGAGCCGAGATTGCGCCACTGCACTCCAGCCTGGGCGACACAGCGAGACTCCATCTCAAAAAAAAAAAAAAAAAGAAAGAAAGAAAGAAAGAAAGAGGTGCATGGAAGAGATTTTGGGGAGTTAGAATCTACAGAATGTCATCACTGGCTGTAGGGGGTGAAAGAATGGTGAAGAGAAGATGATGTCCCAAGAAGAACAGATCTCTGAAGGGAAAGATGGTTTTAAACATCCCGAGTCTGAGACACTCAAGAGTTTGGAGACATTAAGAGGAGGAGGAGCTCCAGTGAGGAGACCTAGCCAAGAAATAAGGGGTTTTGAGCCATCAGCATTTTGATTCTATGAATGAAATAAATGGTAGTGCAGGGATCGCACCTGTGGAGATGCGAAGAGGAGAGAGAAGACAATCAAAGGCAGCACTTGGAAGACACCAGCATTCGAAGGGTGGGCAGAAGAAGGGAACCACCAAAAGAACACAAGAAAGAAGAACCCAGAGAGGTGGGAGGAAAACAAGAGAGAAAGGTGTTGGGATGCTGTGTTAGTCCATTCCTGCACTGCTCTAAAGGAGTACCTGAAGGTCGGGCGCGGTGGCTCACCCCTGTAATCCCAGCACTTTGAGAGGATGAGGCATGTGGATCACTTGAGGCCAGGAGTTTGAGACCAGCCTGGCCGACGTGGTGAAACCCCGTCTCTACTAAAAATACAAAAATCAGTGGGTCTCAGCGGTGCAGGCCTGTAATCCCAGCTACTCAGGTGGCTGAGGCATAAGAATCACTTGACCCAGATTTATTATCCAACGATAATAGGGATATATTTCCACTGGTGGGGGAATGGAGGGCATTCTTTATCTCTACCAGGGAATGCCCCCAGGGTGGAAGTTTGACTGCAATAGGTTGAGGAGGTGAGGAAGTGGTGGTATACTGTGTTTCCAGGGAGCTTGTCCACAAGGGGAAAGAGAAAAGAGCGAAGTCACTCATAGAGTAGCTTCCCAGGGGAAGGAGGATGTTCTTGTTAAGTATAGAGAGTCTGAAACAGGTAGAGAGGCGCGGGGCAGAGGGAAGTGGAGAGAAGTTGGGAATGTGTGGATGTGAGGGAGGAACTGTGGGGCAAAGTCTCAGAAGAGATGGGTGATGAGGTCAAAGGCCAGGTGGAGGAATTAATCTCAAACTAGAGAGGGGACAACTTTTCCTTCATAAAGGGTATAAATCCTCTTCTCAAAGATCTTAAATTCTGTCTTACAGGACAAATGAGACAATGTGGGTTTTCTGGATTTGAGGATTTGTTTGTTTTTTGAGATGGGATCTCACTCCATTGCCCAGACTGGAGTGCAGTGGCACAATCATAGCTCACTACAGCCTCAGCCTCCTGGACTCAAGTGATCCTCCCACCTCAGCCTCCTAAGTAGCTAGGTTGACAGACATGTGCCACTATACCCAGCTAATTTTTTTTATTTTGTAGAAATGGGGTCTTGCTATACTGCCCAGGCTAGAGGTATATTTTTTTTCTTTGCCAAATCCTGTTGATTACATAGATGTGTATTTAAAAAAAAAAAACAAACTATAGTATGGATAGGGAGGGGAAATGTGCAGTGAGAGAAGCCATGCTAGGGGAGGTTAAAGAGGGGGCCACACGCCATAGCTCAATGCTTCAGAAAGGAAGCTGACCAAAGCTGGCTCACACTGTGTCTTGGCTGAAGTATGTTGGGACATATGACCCACAAGGAAATCTCATGGCTGGCCCAGGCCAGTGACATCCTCACATTTTAGGGGATCTCATCAGAATTTTGTCCCCACTAAAAGCCTGCAAAGCCCAAAGAGGTGGGCCACCAAGTGGACCTCCCCCAGCCTAAGAACGAACTCTCTTTGCTTCTTAAAGGTTTGGAAGCACAATTGAAAGCTGGAGGCCTGAGATGGTTCCCGTGAGTCACAACAATTTACAAAGTGCCTGGCGGTAGGTTATGGGCAGAGACTTCGTGGGGCTGTGTCTGAGGGAAGGTTTGCAGGCATTGTTTTCTCTGTCCCCCTCTCCACCAAGAAGTAGCTCTCTAGAGTCCCTGACCCCAAACAGCCATGGGCAGAAATCAGAAAACAGCTTCCTTCTGTCTGCTGCTCTCCCCACCTGGCCATCTTCACTTTATGAGAGTGATGACATCGACTCCATCACGTCTGAGATGGAAAAGGCTCTCAGCTACTCCCAAAAGGTATGCCCTGGGCATGGGCCAATGACCCTCAGCATGGCCATCTCTGCCTCCGCAGGTGGGCCCTGAACCTGCGGTGTCGGGGCAGCAGGAACGTTCTCAGCGCCCTGCGGAAGGCTGTGGAAGTAGACTTCAAGGACAAAGACAAACACCAATCGCAGGGAATCTACCTCTTCACTGGGGGCATCCCCGACCAGGACATGGTGGGTAGGCCACGTCCTGGGTGTCCATTATCCTTTGCGACCTCATCCGTCTTCCCCCAGGTGGATACCTTGCCAAGGTTTCTGCAGCATGATTTCTAAACCAGTGCTTCTCAAACTTTAATGTATAGACAAGCACCTAAGGATGCTGTTAAAATGCAGGCCCTGGAGACCAGCCTGGGCAATATAGTGAGACCACATTTCTGTAAAAATTTTTAAAATAACCTGCCATGGTGGCACATGCCTGTACTCCCAGCTACTCAGGAGGCTGGGGTGGGAGGATCTCTTGAGCCCAGGTGCTCGAGACCAGCCTGGACAACATAGCAACAAGACCCCATCTCTACAAAAATAAAATTTAAAAAATTAACCAGATGTAGCCAGGCACAGTGGCTCATGCATGTAATCCCAGCACTTTGGGAGGCTGAGGCAGGCAGATCACCTGAGGTCGGGAGTTTGAGGCCACCTTGACCAACATGGAGAAACTCCATCTCTACTAAAAATACAAAATTAGCTGGGCGTGGTGGCACATTCCTGTAATCCCAGCTACTCGGGAGGCTGAGGCAGGAGAATCGCTTGAACCTGGAGGGGGAGGTTGCGGTGAGCTGAGATCACACCATTGCACTCCAGCCTGGGCGACAAAAGCGAAACTCCATCTCAAAAAAAAAAAAAAAATTAACCAGGTGTGGTGACATGTGCCTGTAGTCACAGCTACTTAGGAGGCTGAGGCAGAAGGATTGCTTGAGCCCAGCAGGTCAAAGCTGCAGCAAGCTATGTTTATGACCCTGCACTCCAGCCTAGGCAACAGAGCGAGACCCTGTCTCTTTAAAATACATACATACATACATACATACCTACATAGTGCAGATCCTGGTTCAGTAGGTCTGGGGTGGAGCCTGGGAGTCTGCATTTCTGGCAGGCTTCCAGGGGATGTGGATGCTACTGGTCTAGAACATGCCTGGTATCAGGAGGCTCTCAGGTCCAGCTCCCCAACCACACTCTGTTAAAATATTGAGAGAAACTGCAACCCAGCCTCATCTCTTTCCATCCTTGTGCCAAGGACTGGACCAGGCACAGAGAAGGCCCTGGAGAAACATGGCCAGGCTGGGCTGCCCAGAGCCCCACAGCTTCAAGGCCCTCAGCTGCTGGCCCCTCCTACCTTCTCTTCCCCACCAGCCTACACTCAGTGCCTACATGGCTGAGGCCTGTGGCGGCTGCGACCTCCAGCTGAACGTGTGTCTCTTCTACGTGGGCGAGCCAAAGATGGACACCACACCCCCTGCCCGCTATGCCAGTCACACTGACACAGCCGCCGCCTACAAGGAGGTCACCCGGGCTGCAGGTGGCCGCTTCCACTGGTTTGGAGACACAGGTACATGACTGTTTCCTCATCCCTTCAGCTCATTCCAAACAGTTGTCTCAGCACCAGCATAGCTCCCTTAGACCACAGATGTATTCCAGAAAAGCAGCTTGTGAAAATCACATTTTAAAATGTAAAACTGTTCCTCTGAAGATAGATAGCAGTGATGGTTGAACAACAATGTGAATGCACTTAATGCCACTGAATTGTACAATTTTAAGTGATTGAAATAGTAAGTTTGATGTTATGTATATTTTACTGCAATTTTTTTAACTTAAAAGAAGTAGGCCAGGAACAGTGGCTCATACCCACAATCCCAGCAGTTTGAGAGGCCAACGTGGTCAGATCGCTTGAGATCAGGACTTTGAGAACAGCCTGGCCAACATGGTGAAACTCTATTAAAAATACAAAAAAATTAGCCGGGTGTGATGGCACATACCTGTAGTCCCAGCTACTCGGGAGGCTGAGGTACAAGAAAATCGCTTGAACCCAGGAAGCGGAGGTTGCAGTGAGCAGAGATCACACCACTACACTCCAGCCTGGGTGACAGAGCAAAACTCTGTCTCAAAAAAAAAAAAAAAAAAAGAAGAAGAAGAAGTAAAACTCTAAAAGTATATTATGAGTCAGGTGGTGGCTCACACCTGTAATCTCAGCACTTTGGAAAGTTGAGGCGAGCGGATTGCTTGAATCCAGTTCAAGACCATCCTGGGCAACATAGCAAGATTCTGCCTTTACAAAAAAATTAAAAATTAAAAAATATATAATTTAGAATGTCATAGAATGTCAGAGCTAGAAGGCACCCTGAACATCCCTTAGATTGTTTTTCAAAGGGTGGTGTGTTCACAGCACATGGTTGGCAAGATAGTTGTACATGGTACAAAAAGCAACATTTTTTTTAGAGACGGGGTCTCCCTCTGTCACCCAGGCTGGAGTGCAGTGGTGCCATCATACTTCACTGCAGCCTCAACCTCCTGGATTCAAGCAATCCTCCCACCCCAGCCTCCTGAGCAGCTGGGACTACAGGTGTCCACCACCACGCCCAGTTAATTTTTTAAATTTTTTTTTATAGAGAAGGGGTCTCACTATATTGCCCAGGCTGGTGTTGAACTCCCAACCTCAAGCAATCCTCCCTCCTCAGCCTCCCAAATGCTGGGATTACAGGAGTAAGCCACCATTCCCAGCCCTCAAGTCACCTCCAGGTGGCTTTCTAGTATCCAGATGATGGGGACGCTTGCCAGGATCCACACCCTGTCTCACCTTGCTCACGATGTGCTTTGTTTCCAGGCATTTATGAGAGCGATGACATCAACTCCATCATGTCTGAGATGGAAAAGGCTCTCAACTACTCCCAAAAGGTATGCCCTGGGCATGGGCCAATGACTGCACTGCCTTTTGTATTCATTTCCTGGGGCTACCATAACTGCCACAAACTGGGTGGCTTAAAATAACAACCATTGATTCTCTCACTTCCAGAGGCTGGAAGTCTGAAATCAAGGTGTCAGCAGGGCCAGGCTCCCTCTGAAGGCTTTGGGTAGAATCTTTCCTTGCCCCTCCCTGGCTTCTGGTGGCAATTGGTGTTTGTTTGTTTGTTTGTTTGTTTGTTTGTTTTTAATTGCACTGGTTGCTCTTTTAAAATGGCAAGGAAGACTTTACTTAAGACTATTGCAATAGGGGAGAGAGACTGAACTCAACTCTAAATAATAGCAAAGATAGCTGGAGATTTATAGCCAATGAGCAGTCAGTGGATGGAAAAATTACTAAGAGAACTGGATAGATAGGATAGATAAAAGGATTCTTGTTAAACAGGGCTCTTGCTAAAGGCAGACCAAAGGCTTAGATGTCAAAAATAGAACTGGGCACAGTGGATCCCACCTGTAATCCCAGCACTTTGGGAGGCCAAGGTGGGCTGATCGCTGGAGCCCAGGAGTTTGAGACCAGCCTCAGCAACACGGTGAAACCCTATCTCTGTTAAAGAATTTTTTTAAAATAATTTTTTTAAAAAAGGTATCTCAGATGGGAGATGAAGAACTTGCTTGGATATCAAGGATGGGACAGGTCTCACTAAACTGACTTAGCAAAATTCTTTGCCAAAACTGAGTTCGGCAGGCCAAGGTCAAGGCCTCATTGAGAAGATGGCTTAGAGGAGCCGGCTAAAGTTCGGTCAAGGAGGCAGTCCTTGTCACCAGCAATCTCTGGCATTCCTTGGCTTGAGGAGCATAACTCCAGTCTCTGCCTCTGTCTTTACATGGCTGTTTTCCCTCCAGGTGCATCCCTTCTCCTCTTACATGGACAACAATCAGATTAGATTAAGGACCTGCGCTACTCCAATATGCCTCACCGTAATTTGTATCTTAATTACATCTGCAAAGACCCTATTTCTATGTAAGGCCACATGCACAGGTCCTGAGGGTTCAGACTTCAACATATCCTTTTGGGGGACACACCTCATCCCATGTCAGCTTCCCTCTTCATGTCCTAATCCACTGAGACCCAAGGCTTCAGAAGAAATGAGTGTCTCCTAGAAGCCATTGGTTTTAGGTCTGTGTGCTGCACATTCTGGCCTCCTTTGAGTTCCTTAAACACGTCAAGGTTATTGCTAAACCCATTCCTAAGCTCAGGGCCTTTGCACCTGCTGTTTCCTCTGTCCTTCCCATCCCAGACCTTTCATGGCTTGCTCCTTATCATTAGTTAGGGTTTTGTTTTTTGTTTTTTGGGGGTTTTTTTGAGACAGAGTCTCACTCTGTCGCCCAGGCTGGAGTGCCATTGTGCAATCTCAGCTCACTGCAACCTCTGCCTCCTGAGTTCAAGCAATTCTCCTGTCTCAGCCTCCCAAGTAGCTGGGGCTACAGGCACCCGCCACCACGCCTGACTGATTTTTGTGTTTTTTAGTAGAGATGGGGTTTCACCATGTTGGCCAGGCTGGTCTCAAACTCCTGATCTCAGCTGATCTGCCTGCCTCAGCCTCCCAAAGTGCTGGGATCACAGGCGGGAGCCACCACACCTAGCCTATTAGTTAGTTTAGACACACTAAAATGTTACTTCCTCAGAGGAGTTGAGCAGGACAAGATACAATGAGAGAGGTAGCTAGGAGCCAGATCCCGTGAGGAGCAATGACTATCTAAGGAAGAATTCCCCGGACTTGCAAGTGATTGAACGGGCAGTGTGAAAGAGAAAACATACAAACTGACCCCCACGCTCCTCACTGGAGCACCCAGTAGACAGTGAGGCCATTGACCAAGATGTAGAAAACAGGAGGAAGAGCCCATGGAAGGACGGAGAGGTGCAGGGAAGGCGGGTCTGGGACAAGGGTGAGTTTGTGGAGCCTGTGAGATAACAAGTGAGGGTACCCTACAGGCAGGTGGGAAAAGACATGGCTGGAGATGGAGATTTAGGGCAGTTCAAGCCACAGTGACGGACAGAGGGCACTTAGCAAGGCTGTGGTCGAGGCAGTGGAGTGGAGGAGCCTGTGAAGGAGACTCCTGGACTCCACCACTTGCAGAAGGACTCACTTCCCAGACTGGATTGTGGACTCCTGGGAGGGCAGGGCCACGTCTCCATCTTCTATTCCTCTGTGGCCACTGGATCTGCAGATCTGTGGCTCCCCCTGCGTGCCTGTGCTGTCTTCCCCAAAAGGGACCCTTTTGGTGCTTTTAAAATATCTCTTCCCAGCTGGGCGTAGTGGCTCATGCCTGTAATCCCAGCATTTTGGGAGGCTGAGGCAGGCAGATCACAAGGTCAGGAGATCGAGACCATCCTGGCTAACATGGTGAAACCCCGTCTCTACTAAAAATACACACACACACACACACACGCACACACACACACACACACACACGCAAAATTAGCTGGGTGTGGTGGTGCGCACCTGTAATCCCAGCTATTTGGGAGGCTGAGGCAGGAGAATCCTTGAACCCGGGAGGCAGAGATTGCAGTGAGCCAAGATCATGCCACTGCACTCCAGCCTGGCAACAGAGTAAGACTCTGTCTCTAAATAAATAAATAAATAAATAAATAAATAAGTAAGTAAATAAATAAATATCCCTTACCCTCAGGTGCACATAGTCCCATTCCCTCATCAGATAAACTGATACATATGGTGTTAATGGGCAATGACCGCATAATTCACCTTTCCAGAGGATGCTTATTTACATTTGAATGGTGTCTTCTGGAGCTTTGATTGAGAATAATTGCTGGGGAACCAGTCAGGCTGTTGAGAAAATCGTAGGCAAAAGGCATTGAGTATTACACCATTAGTCTGCCAGCATCTGGAATCAGCCCTGGCATGCGGCAAGCTGACTGGCCCACAAGTGGAGGCCACAGTGTCTCATAATGGAAGGGTGCTGGCTTTGGAAACAGACCCACCTGGTTTGAATTGAAGTTTCTCTACACACTGATAAGGTGGTCTTAGATGAGAACCTTAAGCTCACAGAGCTGTAACTGTAATAGATCTGTGGCCAGATATGCATGGCAAGTCAATGCACAGAGACACTGGGTTGCAGCAGAGAAAAGAAGTTTAATTATAGGACTGCCAAACAAGGAGATGGGAGGGAACCTCAAATTTGGTGTTAAGGTTTTTAAGGGTTTTGCAGTGGGCTGAAGTATGGAGATCACTGACTAGTTGAGTGCAGGCTGGAGTCATGGGCAGGGGAGATGAAGAAGCTGTGTTCTCATGCTGTTCCTGTTCCTCTGGGGGTCTTCAAACTGTTGGCATCAGCTGCTTTGCTGGAATTCGGGTCTGAAAAACATCTTAAGCAATTCTTAAACAAAAGCCTTGTGATTCTGAAGTCAGAAATCCTATCTAGAGGAACAACGGGGATGCAAACAGCCAGGATCTGGTGCTATGTGACTTTAGGTTACAAAGAAGTGGGGCTATGTGCAGCCTGATCAGGGCTTCATGATAACTAGATTTTTGTCCAGAATTCTTGTTAACTCTGTGATGACAGCTTCAGAGCTTTGGTTTCCTCATCTGTAAAATGGGGAGACGACACACCTACCCTATCGGCATAGCTGATGTGACTTGTTGGCATGAGGGTTGGAGACCCCCAAGTATTCACTAGCCCAGAGCCTGTGCCTCCCAGGCCCCCATACCTGGTCTTACTGTTGTTCATAGGATTGGTCCATAGCACTTTCAGCCCCAGGTGGCTTTCTAGGGACAAAAAGAGGAGTCCAGGGGACATCAGAGGTTCCAGTGGATACAGTCCCTCCTGCTGTGTGTGTGTGTGTGTGTGTGTCCACAGTGGCTGGGGGTGCCACTGACCCTCCCAATCCCACTGCAGTGTGCCTTCCTCATGGCCTCCCTGAAGAACCATTCAGGAAAAGTACTGGGAAGTTCAGCCCTCCCGAAAGAAAAACCAAAGACACTTCAGCTAAGAAGTCAGCCCAAGAAGCTCTGCCCTCCCAGGCCCACCGTCCCCCTGGGGGCCAGAATGGTTTGACTCCCCTCCTAATAACACGCAGAAGATTTGGTTTCCTGTTTGTCTTCTGGTCTTTCCTGGGTCTTAAAATGGCTGGGGCCAGCAGGGATGGGGGTGGGTGCTTCAGTGGTGAGTGTCCTGTGGGTGCCTCTTGCCCAGGCCTCCAGGGGGAAAATCTCCCGCGGGGGGCCGGCTCCTCAGCTCTCGGGGTCCTCTGTCCTCCCCCAACCCACCCTTGGCTCTGTCAGCCTATCCCAGCCTTTTCCCTACCCTGGTACTGAGGATGCCACAGAATTGACACCCACCTGTTTCATCTGATGGCTTATCCTGGAGAGTCTCTCGGGGGCAAAGGAATTATGGTCTCTAAGGGCTCTTCCCGCTGCCACCCAAGACTTTGCAGAGGCTGATAGGAGCCTGAGGGTGGGCTGAGCCTGCTAGGGGCTTATCCTCATTCACAGCCTATCAATTCTGTCCTCCATAAAATACCCACCCACCTTGGCAATCAGAAGGGCTCTAGAGGACAGACCCCAGAGGCACCTGTGCTTGTGAGCAGACTGGGAGGGACACCTGTGAGTCCCTCAGCATTGCATGACTCAGACCCTGTGAGCACAGCCCATGTTCAGAATGTGGAAATCCATCCCAGACAGTAGGTAGCAGATTTCCAGCCAAAGGGCTGCCTTTCCAGGAGAGCCTGTGCAGCCGGGTTCTGCCCTCGTTCGGGGAACTCTGCCAGGTTTCAGGAGCCAGCTCAGGCACTTCGCCCCCTCCTCAGAGGCTGCCTCTTGAGCCTTCAGTGCTTCCTGAGTGCCTCCTGAAACCAGGCCGGGTGCTCCCCAGACAGTGACTGTTTAATGACCGCCACACTCCAGTCGTGGCTGAGAATGAAGGAACTCTTCCCTTAAAACTGAGGTGTCTGGGCCAGGTGCAGTGGCTCACACCTGTAATCCCAGCACTTTGGGAGGCCAAGGCAGGCGGATCATGAGGTCAAGAGATCAAGACCATCCTGGCCAACATGGTGAAACCCCCTCTCTATTAAAAATACAGAAATTAGCCGGGTGTGGTGGCGGGTGCCTGTAATCCCAGCTACTCGGGAAGCTGAGACAGGGAGAATTGCTTGAACCTGGGAGGCAGAGTTTGCAGTGAGTCGAGATCACGCCGCTGCACTCCAGCCTGGGTGACAGAGCCAGACTCCATCTCAAAAAAGAAAACAAACAAACAAAAAAAAACTGAGGTGCCTGATAAGGCACAGAAGTTACCTAAATTTCTGTTGTCATGCTGGAGGCCCAGACATCCCAGTCCATTAGGAAGAGGGGCAGGTGACTGATGAAAAAAATTCTGGCAAACCCCCATAGCTCTCTCACTAGCAGCTCTCTCACTCTCATCTCACACACACACACATGCATACATACACATATGCACATGCACACACATACATATACACTCCTACACACATGTACACACCCATACTTTTTCACCTCAAAACCCAGAGTCCCTTCTGAATCTGCTGCAGGAGAGGGGCCAAACCTGTCTGAGGAGTCCCCTCCCTTAGGCTCCTCCCTACAAAAGTTCCTGATTGACAAATTGAGGTCAGGGTAACTGGGATCCTGCGTGACACAGGGAACACTCCTCTGATGGGAAAGATTGCCTGTTTTCTAGAGCATTAAAGATGACCCTGACAGAGAGAAGAGCCCCCCGCTGAAATCTCTGAAATGGCGTCCACTCAGTAGCAGAGTTGGCATCTCACCAGGTAAGGCACCATCACGGTCAGGCAGGGTGGAGGGATGTCACGGTCACGGCTGAGGCATGGGTTAATAATGATAGTAACTAGAGCCACGTGTGGAAGCTCGTGCCTATAATCCCAGCACTTTTGGAGGCTGAGGTGGAAGGATCACTTGAGGTCAGGAGTTCAAGACAAGCCTTGACAACATAGCAAGACTCCATCTCTACCAAACAAAAAAGGAGCCAGATGTGGTGGTGCATGCCTGAAGTCCCCCAAGTACTCAGAGGCTGAGTTGGGAGGATTGCTTGAGCCCAGAAGTTCGAAGCTGCAGTGAGCTATCATTGCACCACTGCACTCTAACCTCAGTGACAGAGCAAGACCCTGTCTCTACTTTTTTTTTTTTTTTTTTTTGAGACAGAGTCTCGCTCTGTCACCCAGGCTGGAGTGCAGTCGTGTCATCTCAGCTCACTGCAACCTCCACCTCCTGGGTTCAAGCGATTCTTGTGCCTCAGCCTCCTGAATAGCTGGGACTACAGGTGTGTGCCACCACGCCTGGCTAACTTTTTGTATTTTTAGTAGAGACGGGGTTTCACCATGTTGCCCAGGCTGGTCTACAACTCCTGAGCTCAGGCAATTCATCTGCCTCGGCCTCCCAAAGTGCTGAGATTACAGGCGTGAGCCACCACGCCTGGCCACATCTCTTAAAATAATAATCATAATAGCAATAATGATAGTAACTAAAACGATCAATGATCCTGAGTCTTGATCATGTGCCAGCCCATCTGCTAAGATTGTCCCATTTAAAGCCTATAATGATCAATCCTTTGCATCTGTATTCTATCAGCTTCCTATTGTACTGACAAAGGAACTGAGGCTCAGGGGGGTAAGGATCATGTGCCACTAGTGGTAACAGGCCTTCACAATCTTAATGAAAGTACTCAGCTCGTAGAACCTAAGACCATGTATTTTATTTCTAATGTCAAAGGTATGGCAGAGTGGCTCAGAGCAGAGTTCTGGAGTCAGCAGGACCAGGTAGAATCATGCCCTGCCTCTTACTGGTGGATTCCCACTTACCTTATCTGTAAACTGGGGGACTGTGAGGATGAAGCAAGGCAGCATACTCAAAGCACTTAGCACAATGCCAGGGAAAGATCTGGACTCAGTAAATGGTAGCTATAGCTATTTCTGATCCAAGCAAAGCCAGAGACCTGGCGGGGGAGGACACAGGGTGCCTTGAAGCCATCTTGGAGCCCCATTTCCTGGGGTGGAGTATAGCTGAACTTGAGTGTCTCTAAGCCAAGCTGGACAGCTGTATTGCAAGAATGCATGCAGCTGCTCCAGCCAACAAGCCAAATGTTCCTCAGCTGCGGCCCAGCCAACGAAAGAAGGGATGATGGAACTGAGGAGGAAGACCAAGTCAAGGGAAGCAGAGACATCTCTTTTACTGTTCTACACAGAGAAAGGGAATGACGTGGGTAAGTTAGAGGCTATACAGGTGTCTGGACAGCCCCCTGGCCCTGGGGGAGCTGTAAGGGCAGCAGGTACCGTGGGAAGGAGACCCCTCCTGCTGTCCCAGGACCTAGGCACTGGTGCCTCTGGAGCAAGCCGTACTCAACTCAGTTCTCCCAGCCCTGGGAAATGGACATGCAAAGTTTTGACAACAACCAGGGAATGAGAGAAGTCAATATTGAAGATGAGACCTCCTGAGATTCTTGGGCACTCCAGCTCTGTCCACTAGGGGCAGTTTCCTTAGCTCTAAGGCAGATGGCAAGGGATGGAGATGATTCCCCTAGGCCAGCCTGATTCACTGCTGTGAAATGGTGCAGATCCCAAGAACAATTCATTGCTAGGCAGGAGGTCCCAAACAGCCTTTCCCCATCCACCCAACAGCTCCCTTTCTACCTCTCAGCAAATTGCACTAAGGACTTTTACAACTGACTTGATTGACAGAGAAATTGACATGAAAAAGGGAGCAGTGGGAGATTCAGGGGGAGGGAAGAGAGGTACACAGGGTGACCATCTTAGTTCATTTGTGCTTGGAATACCCAAGGCTAGGTGATTTATGAAGAAAATAGGTTTTTTTAGCTCAGGCTTATGCTGGCTGGAAGTTTGGGCATCTGGTGAGAGCTTCAGGCTGCTTCCACTCATGGTGGAAGGCGCTGGGGAGCTGGCATGTGCAGAGATCACATGGAGAGAGAGGAAACAAGAAAATGGGGAGGTGCCAGGCTTTTATTTAACAGCCAGCCCTTGCGGCAAGTAATAGAGGGAGAACTTACTCGCTCCCCACCCTCTCACCAGAGAGAGCATTGATCTATTCATGAGGGATCCGTTCCCATGACCCAAACACCTCCCATTAAGCCCCATCTCCAACACTGGGGATCACATTTCATGAGGTTTGCAGGGGCTCAACCATCCAAACTATAGCAATGACCTCACTCTGCTTCTTCTAGGCTCAGTGTACAAGAAGTACCCTCAAGGAAGGGGCTTGAGAAGGACTAGCTCTTCTATTGACTTACCCAGAAAGGATACAGTTTGCTCAAGCCAAGAGGTATTAAGTCACCCATACTAGCACATGCCCATTAAGCAATAGAGTAGTTCTGTCCACCAACCATTACTTCTAGGATGGGGGGGCATAATCAGAAATGAGAACAAGCCAGGCACAGTGACTCACACCTGTAATCCCAGCACTTTGGGAGGCTGAGGTGGGTGGATCACTTGAGGTCAGGAGTTCGAGACCACCTGGCCAACATGGTGAAACCCCATCTCTACTAAAAGTACAAAAATTAGCCAGGTGCAGTGGCACGCACCTGTACTCCCAGCTACTTGGGAGGCTACATCATGAGAATCACTTGAAACTGGGAGGTGGAGGTTGCAGTGAGCCAAGATTGTGCCGCTGCACTCCAGCCTGGGTGACAGAGCAAGACTCTGTCTCAAAAAAAAAAAAAAAAAGGACAAACCTGATAAGAACAATTGCTTACTGTGGCAGATGGGATAAGGGTTAAATAGACCTAAATTCAAAATCTAGGTCTGCCACTTCCTGCCTGGGTGACCTTGGGCAAATCACCTAGCTATACTCAATCTCACTGCCTTTGTAAAATAAGGACAATTGTGCCAGTCAAATAAGATTGATGTGAAGATTCTTTAAAGTGAAATCAACAGAAATCCCACTTCTTGTGCATAAGGGGATAGTTGTCCCACAGCTATTCAATAAAAGCCTGAGCATGGTTCTGATTGTGCCGATGGCAGATGCCATCCCTGGCTGCTTTGAGCCTGCCCATTCTTGTGTCCCTCATTGTGACAAGGAGACTGAGATTATCCTAATTGGCTTAGAGTCTAAGCTTTAGACCAATCAGGGCTTTCCACTCAAATATTGTAGGTGGGGTGCTCACTTCAGCAGCACATATACTAAAAAATGTTGTAGGTGGGGTTGAAATGGATGTTAGGGAAGTAACAGTGTCCACTAGACTAGGGTCTGGGAGGTGCGCGATAGATTTTGTTCTTCACCCCCACTATTTCTTTCTTTCTTTCTTTCTTTTTTTTTTTTTTTGAGACAGAGTTTCACTCTTGTTGCCCAGGCTGGAGTGCAGTAGCACTATCACTGCAACCTCCGCCTCCTGGGTTCAAACGATTCTCCTGCCTCAGCCTCCCAAGTAGCTGGGATTACAGGCATGCACCACCACTCCTGGCTAATTTTTTGTATTTAGTAGAGATGGGGTTTCACCATGTTGGCCAGGCTGTTCTCAAACTCCTGACCTCAGGAGTTTGAGAACCACCGCTGTCAGCCTCCCAAAGTGCTAGGATTACAGGCATGAGCCACCGCGTCCAGCCTGCACCCCCATATTTCTTGTGCATTTCTCCCCCAAAGCCAGGGAAGGAATCTGCATGGGATGGATGCTCTGTGAGGACCTGGGAATCCCACATTTCAAACATCATACAGGTTTCAAACATGAGGTTCTCATAGACCAGTCAGATGATCATTCAGTTGAGTCTGAATTGCCTAAGATAATAGTTCTTTCCTTTATTCTAAAGTGGGTGGCAAAATATGGGCTCAAAAAATTGAAGCTGGAGATTTCCAGATGCATGGGTCCCAACTGCACTCATCAAAAGTCAGGACAGAGGTCAGCATCCGCCAAACACTGCAGCATCTTCCCCAGCGTTGAGATCCATGTAAGTCACAATTTTCATCATCGTCTTTTTTTTCTCCCCCAACTCAGCTGCAAATGGCAGAGAGCAGTGTAGGGCACTGTGGCCTCTATTTCTGCTTGTAGGAACTGCCCTCCTCCCCAAAGTGGGACTCCCCTCACCAAATAGGAGATGCAAAATCCTGTTGGAAGAAAAGCCAACTTCCCAGAGGGCCTAAGATCCCATTCCAGGGTTAGATGAGCTCATTGGAATAAGAATTATAAACAATTGCCGAGGCCAGGTGCGGTGACTCCTGCCTGTAATACCAAGTGCTTTAGGAGGCTGAGGTGGGAGGATTGCTTGAGCCCAAGAGTTTGAGACCAGCCTGGGCAACATAGCAAGACCCCATCTCTGAAAAAAAATTAGATTAGCCAGGTGCAGCTGTGTGCCTGTAGTCCGAGCTACTTGGGAGGCTGAGGCGGGAGGATTAGTTGAGTCATGGAGTTCAAGGCTGCAGTGAGCCGTGATCACGCCACTGCACTCCAGCCTGGGCCATGGGGCAGGAGCCTGACTCTTAAAACATAAAAAGGAAAAGATAGGAAAAATAGCAATTGCTGAGAAGATTGGGCCGTGGCTGAAGTGTTCACCCATAAGAATGCTGTACCCCAATACTGATGATGGTTCTGTTATGGCAGCAAATAGGGGTTGTGATAGGAAGTGAAGGGTTCTCTTTTCTATTTTCTAATTTTGGGGTGATTTTTTATTGCTTTGACACTGGAACAAGTAAATTTAGTACAGAATGAAAATCTGATCATTTCTCTCCTTGCCCTCTTATCCTACATTGTCAAGATTAGGGGAAACTAAAAATAGCCACAAAATTCAAAATTATTCACTAGAGGAATATAGGGTCATTCTAGCATGTTGCCCCTCTCCACCTGAAGTCATCTTTCAGTTCAAAATTTATGAACTTCTTACCCCACCATTTAGAGTTTTCTATTTTAAAATTTAGAGATTATTGGCCAGACGCAGTGGCTCATGCCTGTAGTCCCAGAACTTTGGGAGGCCAAGGCGGGCGGATCACCTGAGGTCAGGAGTTCGAGACCACCCTGGCCAACACAGTGAAACCCCGTCTCTACTGTAAATACAAAAATTAGCCAGGCATGGTGCTGTGCACCTGTAATCCCAGCTACTCAGGAGGCTGAGGCAGGAAAATCGCTTGAACCCGGGAGGCAGAGGCTGAAGTGAGCCGAGATCGCACCACTGCACTACACAGCCTGGGCAACCGACTGAGACTCTGTCTCAAAAAAAAAAAAAAATCAGAAATTATTATGATTTTTATTAATATAGCAACTGCATTTACCAAAAAAAAAATCTTAATTCCCTACTCCTTTGTAGAACCATAAATCCACTAGTTTAATAGAAGAAAAAAAGGCTTTAAACAAAAAAAAAAAATACACTTAACAGATGGTTGTTTTTTGTGGGTTTTTGTTTGTTTGTTGAGACAGGATCTTGCTCTGTCATCCAGGCAGGAGTGCAGTGGTGCAATCACAGCTCACTGCAGCCTCTACCTCCCTGGGCTCAGGCAATCCTCCCACCTCAGCCTCCCCCAAGCAGCTGGGACCACAGACACATGCCACCACACCAGCTAAATTTTCTGTTTTTGGTAGAGATGAGGTCTCCCTATGTTACCCAGGCTGGTCTTGATCTCTTGGGCTCAAGCGATCCTCCTGCCTCGGCCTCCCAAAGCGCTGGGATTACAGGCATGAGCCACCGTGCCCAGCCAACAAATATTTTGAGAATTGTTAACCACAATGGAATAAACAATTTTAGGGGGTGATGGGGATATGAAGAAATGACTGATGGGGTGGGTGCTTGCCTCTGCTTGCCTTAACCCAGGGAGTGGTGAGACACATCCAGTGGACGCCCAGGGAGATGGAGGTGTACATCAGGCACTTGGAGAAGGTGTTAAGGCGCTATGTCCAGAGGCTGCAGTGGCTGCTGTCCGGTGAGCCTGCCCACTGCCCTGAAGGGTGGAGGAGCATGAGGGGATGTAGAAGGCTAGCCCCAGGGACCCCAGTGTCAGTCCTTCCAAAGCCAGGCCTTCAAGAACTGCAGATCAGAGGATTAGGCCAGGAACATCATCCACATACAACATGACACTGGGAGGCCGGGCGTGGTGGCTCATGCCTGTAATCTCTGCACTTTGGGAGGCCAAGGTGGGTGGATCACCAGTCAGTAGTTCGAAACCAGCCTGGCCAACATGATGAAACCCGTCTCTACTAAAAATACAAAAAATTAGCCAGGCATGGTGGCGGGCACCTGTAATCCCAGCTACTCAGGAGGCTGAGGCAGGAAAATCGCAGAGGTTGCAGTGAGCTGAGATCGCGCCACTGCACTCCATCCTGGGCAACAAGAGTGAAACTCTATCCAAAAAAAAAAAAAATGACAGTGGGTTCAGAGGACAGGCAAGGGGCTGGATAACAGGGAGGTGGAACATGGGCCAAAGAGCCCCAGCGGGAGCTCACACGCATCCCAGCCTGCTCTGCAAGGCCACCTGCCACACCTTGCCTTCCTGCAAGTGACAAGGGGCTCACTGTCAAAAGGTTTGCTTTAATATTGACTGCGCCCCAGCAAAACAGCCCCTGGAGATGCAGATGGTAAGGGGAACTGACAGAGCAGAAACCCTCTGTTTTGTTTTGTTTTAGAAACAGGGTCTTTCTCTGTCACCTAGTCTGGAGTCCAGTGGTGCAGTCATGGCTTACTGCAGCCTTGAACTGGGCACAAGCAATCCTCCCACCTCAACCTTGCAAGGACCTGAGACTACAGGCACGTGCCACCATGCCCAGCTTACTTTATTTATTTTTTTTAGATACAGAGTCTTTCTATGTTGCACAGGCTGGCCCCGAACTCCTAGGCTCAAGCTATCCTCCTGCCTCAGCCTCCCAAAGTCCTGGGGTTATAGGTGTGAGCTACTGTGTACCTCTTTACAGAGAGCACCAAGTCCCCTCCAGGAGAGGTGAATGGACAGGGTTGGGCTGTGGATTAAGAGACGGTCTGGAAGCATCAAGCCCAAGAAGACAGGCAGACAGCTAGAACTGGACAGGAGGGGATTCGGGCTATGGGGCCTGGAGGGTTTCTGGGGCATCAGGAGGAGGGAGGAAGGGAGTCCTATATAGAGATCCTACAGGTGGCTTTGTACGTGCCACTCAGGGTCCTGTGTAAATTCATTAGGTCCAGTCCTCTGCAGTAGGACCTGGTATAGACAGTCCATGGACAGGGGCGTCATGATGACTGCTGCTTCAGGTACAGTTGTCAGGTCAGAGGCTGAGCTGGGACAGAGAAGGCGTGAGCCTCTCTCCACCCTCGGTTCACATTACCCCTGGGAACGGTGACATAAAACCAGAGATCCAGCGATTTCTTTTGTAGTATGAATCCCCCAGCTCACATACCAGTACACACCCAAACACCATCTAATATTTTAAAACAATGTCATGGTACTATTTAATCCAATCACTTAACTTTAAGGATAAGGAAATTCAAGCCCAGGAGGTTATAACCGCTTGTGCAACTCATCACAGACAAAGCCAGAGCTGAAATCTCGATCTCCCAAAGCCCAAACCACTGACCAGGTCTGTCCTTGGACAATCGACCCCTCCCACAGCACCACAAAAGCCGTCTCTCAGTGGGGTGACATCCAATCAATGATCAGGCAGGCAACAGGTGTCACAAGACTTTATACTTGATAGATAGAGTGAGGGAAACCACCCAGGAGGAGGGACCCCTCACTCCCTCCCTGCCTCTTCCCCACCTGTCTCGGAGCAGGGAGCCGCCGACTGTTTGGCACCGTTTTGGAGAGCAAAGTATGCATATTGCTGGACACGTCAGGGTCCATGGGCCCCTACCTGCAGCAGGTGAAGACAGAGCTGGTTTTGCTGATTTGGGAACAGCTGCGGAAGTGCTGTGACAGGTAGGAGGCGAGGGCTGATCAGGAAGATCAAAGGGGCAGTTCCTGGGGCTTCCCTGGCCAAGCACGCCCCCTCTTCTCAGTGCCAACAGGCCTGGAGTTTCTGAGATGCTCTTCTGAGTAACGCGTTTGAGTAGGAAAGAGCACTGTATTCTGCTCTGCTGTGAAGGAAATCAGTTTTTAGAGGCCGGGTATGGTGGCTCATACCTGTAATCCCAGCAATTTTGGGGGCCAAGGCAGGAGGATCACTTGAGCTCAGGAATTCAAGACCAGTCTCAGCAACAAAGTGTCATCCCATCTCTTCAAAACATTTAAAAATTAGCTGGGTATGGTGGTGTGCACCTGTAGCCCCAACTACTTGGGAGGCTGAGAAGGGAGGATCACTTGAGCCCAGGAGGTTGAGGCTGCAGTGAGCTATGATTGCACCAGTGCACTCCTGCCTGGGCAACAGAGTAAGACCCTGTCTCAAAAAAAAAAGGAACGCAATTTTTAAAAATTAATTTCAGGCCTAGGGACAATTGCAAGCACAGCAAAGGAACTACCATGTGGCCTTGAAGTATGGCTTTCAGCTGAACTTGATTTGTTTTAAATTATTTAATGATTTAATTTTTTTAATTTTTGTGAACTTGATTTTTGAGTGGAGGAAGTTGTTTATTTTCCCCATCCAGAAGGGTTGACCCGAAGGGGACCCCAGGGGACTCTCATCGTAGACTAGGCCTCGTTCTTGCCTTAATCAGAGTATACATTTATTGAGCACTTTCTGTGCACCAGATGCTTTACACGCATCATTTCATCAACTCTCACAATGAGCCCGTGAGGTGTTGCTGTTATCGGCCCCCATTTTTCAGAAAAGGAAGCCAGGACTTCAAGAGGTTAAGACACTTGCTGAAGATCGGGTAACCAGTCACTGGCTGAGATAGGATTGTTTGGGTTGTTTGTTTGCTTGTTTGTTTTGAGACGGGGTCTCACTCTGTCTCCCAGGCTGGAGTGCAGTGGTGTGATCATAGCTCGCTGCAGCCTCAACGTCCTGGGCTCAAGTGATCTCCCACCTCAGCCTCCCAAGTAGCTTGGACTACAGGCGCACACCACCATGCCTGGCTAATTTTTTAAAAATCTTTTTCGTAGAGATGGGGGTCTCACTATGTTGCCCAGGCTGGTCTTGAACTCCTGGCCTCAAGCAATCCTCCCAGCTTGGCCTTCCAAAGTACTGGGATTACAGGCACAGGCCACTGTGTCTGGCTTGGGCTGGGATTTAAATCTATTTCTGTCTGCATTCAAATTGTCAGTGTGTACCCTCTCATTCTCAAGAGGCCCCACAGCCCTCTCCCTGAGGGGCCACAGGGCTCGTTGTAGGGGTCTTCAGTGACGAGCAAGAATAGTCCTCATGAGGGTAACTTATCTGAATTCAATCTAGACAGGCCTGTTCTAACCAATCTCTTTCTCCCCTTCTCTGCCCCTCACCTCCTCTTTTCCTCCTCCCCAGTTTTAACCTGCTCAGCTTTGCAGAGAGCTTTCAGTCATGGCAGGACACGCTGGTGGAGACCACAGATGCAGCGTGTCATGAGGCTATGCAATGGGTGACCCACCTGCAAGCTCAGGGCAGCACCTCCATCTTGCAAGCATTGCTGGCAAGTCCCACCACGGAGCCCGACCTTGACGCAAAACAAATACCATCATCCCCTATGCTGATGCTGCACGATGCTTTAGGATTTACAAAGGGCGCTTTATAATTTACAAAGCACTACATCATTTCATCTTCCCAACACCCGAGTGAGAAAAGGATTCTCAATGTTCTCACATTATAGATGAAGACACAGGCTGGGTGCGGTGGCTCACACCTGTAATCCCAGCACTTTGGGAGGGCAAGGCAGGTGGATCACCTGAGGTCAGGAGTTCAAGACCATCCTGACCAACATGGTGAAACCCCGTCTCTACTAAATACAAAAGATTAGCCGGGCGTGGTGGCACATGCCTGTAATCCCAACTACTTGGGAGGATGAAGCAGGAGAATTGCTTGAACCTGGGAGGCAGAGGTTGCAGTGAGCCGAGATTGCACCATTGCACTCCAGCCTGGGCAACAAGAACGAAACTCCATCTCAAAAAAATAAAAATTAAAAAAAATAGATGAAGACACAGAGGCTCAGAGAGGTTAAGTGACTTGCTTGGGATTAACCAGCTAGGCAGTGAACCATGCTATTTCTCCTAAACCTCAGCAGCTTCCTTAGTCTGTCTGAGGCTGAAAGAGAATCTCAGTCTTTTTGAACAGGTCAGTGGCATCCAATCAGATGCATTTTGGCAGAGGCGGCAGCAGGCACTACCTTTAGGCATTTGGTTCTTGTGTTCTGGGTGAGCCTCTCCCCTGAGCCTGACAGCCTTCCTGCGTTCTTTCAGAAAGCTTTCAGTTTCCATGATCTGGAAGGATTGTACCTCCTGACCGACGGAAAGCCAGACACAAGCTGCAGCCTTGTCCTAAATGAAGTCCAAAAACTCAGGGAGAAAAGAGATGTGAAAGTGCACACCATTTCCTTGAACTGCTCAGACAGGTGCGCAATATGGAGTCTGACTGAGTTTTATTCTTTTTCCACAGCCACACATCTCAGCAGGGAGATCCAAGCCCCTCACCTAATCTAGCTGCTCACTTAGACACGGGTTTCTCCTGGGCCCTAATCCTGTAAATCAGAAATTAGGAGAAGCGGCCGGGCATGCTGGCTCACGCCTGTAATCCCAGCATTTTGGGAGGTTGAGGCAGGTGGATCACTTGAGGTCAGGAGTTCAAGACCAGTCTGGCCAACATGGTGAAACCCTGTCTCTACTAAAAATACAAAAATTAGACAGGTGTGGTGGTAGGCGCCTGTAATCCCAGCTACTCAGGAGACTGAGACGTGAGAATCACTTGATCCAGGGAGGCAGAGGTTGCAGTCAGCGGAGGTTGCACCATGGCACTCTAGCCTGGGCAACAGAGTGAGACTGTCAAAAAAAAAAAAAAAGAAAGAAAAGAAAGAAGTTAGGAGAAGCATTGTTTTTCTAGACGGCCCAAGCCGGTGTCACACCACAGGGTGAAAACCCCTCTCTTTACCCAGATATTTCCCTCTGACTTCCTCCAGCCTGGAAACACATTTGCAAGGGATTCACACAGTCATTTTACAGTCTCCCTCCTACTCTTCCCTGGGATCACATTTGTGAATATTTAGGGGACATTTAGGGGAAAAGCCAGAGAGAAAAATATTAATGTAGCATTGTCATGGTTATTTTTTTTTATAAACGATCACTATAGACCATGTGCTATGACCGGGCACAATGGCTCATGCCTATAATCCCAGTGCTTTGGGAGACTGAGGTGGGAGGATCACTTGAGGCCAGGAGTTCGAGACCAGCCTGGATATCATAGCAAGATTCCATCTCTACAAAACAAAATAAAAATGTGAAAAAGAACACATGTCAGATAAGACATACTCAGCTCCTTCAAAAAAAAAAAAACTTTATTATTAGCAAAACAGACTGCATAGGGACACATTTTATCTCTTGGTCTAAACCATGAGCCCCATAAGTGTAATATGTGTGTCCTTTACAGGCCTAACACATAGTAGGCACTGGATAAATGTCCCATAAATAAATGGGGGCTAGGCTGAGCACGACGGCTCATGACTGTAATCCCAGCACTTTGGGAGGCCAAGGCAGGCAGATCACCTGAGGTCAGGAGTTCGAGACCAGCCTGGCCAACATGGCGAAACCCCGTCTCAACTAAAAACATACAAAAATGAGCCGGGCGTGGTGGCAGGTGCCTGTAGTCCCAGCTACTCAGGAGGCTGAGGCAGGGGAATCGCTTGAACCTGGGAGGCTGAGGTTGCAGTGAGCCAAGATTGTGCCACTGCACTCCAGCCTGGGTGACAGACTGAGACTCTGTCTCAGAAAAGAAAAGAAATGGGGGCTGGAGTGTGTGGGCTGTGTGGTTTCAGGGGGTCCAGGCTAAATGGTGACACTCACACGGGGACTCCTCTTCCCTCAAGCAGCAGCAGTTGCTATAGCTGTCCAGAAGCTGGTGGGGAAAGTGTCCTCTAATGGTGGTCTCCATGGGACAAGCCACGGCCCATTGCCAGGCTGATTTCTCTTAAGCCCCACGGACTTAAGTTCCCCATGGACGTGGGGAGTCACACGAACTTGCCTGGTCAGTCAGCCTTCCCACCAGCCCTCTGTCCCTTCCTTCCAGAGCGGCGGTTGAGTTCCTGAGAAAGCTGGCTTCCTTCACCGGCGGACGCTATCACTGCCCTGTGGGTGAGGACACACTCTCCAAAATTCACAGCCTGCTGACCAAAGGCTTCATCAATGAAAAGGTAGGTTGCAGAGCCACTGAGCATGAGGTCTGTTGAAACGGCTCGATAAAATATCAACAGGCATGGGGTTTTCCTTCTTGAACTCCTGGGCTCAAGTGAACCTCCCACCTCGGCCTCCCAAAATGTTGGGATTACAGGCATGAGCCACCACGCCCATCCTGGGTTTTCCTTCTGACGAAAAAGATCTCTGCTTTTCGTTGAGACAAAATATTAGCTGAAAAGGATTGGGTTTCCCTGCTGCTGTCCTTTTAGGCTGACTCTCCTCAAGGCTGGGAAAGAAGCAGGATTTGAGGGTGTTATATTTCCTGATGGTCAGGCCAGTTTGCCTTTGTTGGAAATTTATGTGGCTTTATGTAGATAACCTCTTTTAATATTATACCCATTTAACAGGTGAACGAGAGGGCCAGCAAGGTTTAAGAATACACCTAAAGCTGGGCACGGTGGTTCACACCTGTAATCCCATCACTTTGGGAGGCCGAGGTGGGTGGATCACTTGAGGTCAGGAGTTTGAGACCAGCCTGGCCAACATGGTGAAATGACGTCTGTACTAAAAATACAAAAATTAGCCAGGCATGGTGGCATGCACGTGTAATCCCAGTTACTCGGGAGGCTGAGGCAGAATTGCTTAAGCCTGGGAGACCCAGGTTGCAGTCAGCCGAGATTGCGCCACTGCACTTCAGCCTGAGTGTCAGAGCAAGACTCCGTCTCAAAACAAACAAACAACAACAATAAAAACTAGTCAGAGGAAGTGGTATAGCTAGAGCCCCAAGACACCCATGATCTTAAACTTTGTGCTTTAATTCCTGCATATTTGTGTCTTCTGGGGTTCAATTCATTGAAATACAGACATTCAAGTTATCTGTTAAGCAATAGATCTGGCAAAGTCATAGGTTATCTATTAAGTAATAAGTCTAGTAAAGTCATAGATTTCAATGATCCACTTCTGACTTAATAGGAAAATTCTGCACTTATTTATACCTTTTAGGAATGCAATGTTGTCAGTGATAACATTCCCAGCGCAACAAATTATCAAGTAAGACAACCAATCAGAATTCCAGATTTCTTTTCAGAGGTTAAAGGTTACTTTCACAGGACATGGCATAATTTTTTTTTTTTTTTTTTTGAGACAGGGTCTCATTCTGTTGCCCAGGCTAGAGTGCAGAGGAACAATCACAGCTCACCACAGCCTCCACCTCCTGGGCTCAGGCAATCTTTCCACCTCAGCCTGCAGAGTAGCTGGGATCACAGGTGTGCCACCACGCCCAGCTAATTTCTTTAATTTTTTGTAGAAACAGGATCTCACCATGTTGCCCAGGCTGATCTCAAACTCCTAGGATTAAGTAATCCTCCCGCCTGAGCTTCCCAAAGTGTTGGGATTACAGGTGTGAACCGTCAGGCTCGGCTGGCATAATCTTTGAAGCCTGGGTAGCCTTACATGACTCCTTTGGTTCAACTAGCTCTTCTAGGGACAAGTATTATAAATAATACAGAGAACTGAACAAATTGGTAAAAGTAATGAATATTCACCCAAGCGTCCTTATTACACAGGAAAACAAGTGATGATATGTTTAAGGCTCTCAGCTTAATTCCTTATCCAATCAGATTCTCTGAATTGTTTTTGCATGCAGAATGGGATTGCTGTGCTACTACTGCCAGGCAGAAGGGATGGCTTCCTCTTTTTTCTTTTTCTTTTTTTTTTTTTTTTTTTTTTTTGAGATGAAGTCTTGCTGTGTCACCAGGCTGGAGTGCAGTGGCATGATCTCAGCTCACTTCAGCCTCTGCCTCCTGGGTTCAAGTGATTCTCATGTCTCAGCCTCCCGAGTAGCTAGGATTACAGGTGCCTGCCACCACACCCAGCTAATTTTTATATTTTTAGTAGAGATGAGGTTTCATCATGTTGGCCAGGCTGGTCTCAAACTCCTGACTTCAAGTGATCCACCCGCCTCAGCCACCCAAAGCGCTGGGATTGGTAAGATGTATTTTTAAGGATAGGTGGCGAAATTTTATTAGTTAACATTTTTTTTAAAAAGCATGCCTCAGCCGGGCGCGGTGGCTCACGCCTGTAATCCCAGCACTTTGGGACGCCGAGGCGGGTGGATCATGAGGTCAGGAGATCGAGACCATCCTGGCTAACAAGGTGAAACCCCGTCTCTACTAAAAATACAAAAAATTAGCCGGGCGCGGTGGCGGGCGCCTGTAGTCCCAGCTGCTCGGGAGGCTGAGGCAGGAGAATGGCGTGAACCCGGGAAGCGGAGCTTGCAGTGAGCCGAGATTGCGCCACTGCAGTCCGCAGTCCGGCCTGGGCGACAGAGCGAGACTCCGTCTCAAAAAAAAAAAAAAAAAAAAAAAAAAAAAAAAAAAAAGCATGCCTCAGCCAGGTGTGGTGGCACATGCCTGTGGTCCTAGCTACTTGGGAGGCTGAAGTGGGAGGATAGCTTGAGCCCAGGAGGTCGAGGCTACAGTGAGCCGTGATCACGCCACTGCCCTGCAGCCAGGACAACAGAGCAAGGCTCTGTCTCTAAAATCAACCAAATAAAAAGCATACCTGTAAGTCTACTTCACTAGAAGAAATGCAAAAAATGGCTGAACAGATTCTACTGAATAGCGCTGAGATAAGGAAACGGTGTCATTTCTGTTCCACTGGACCAGAGTGGGGCCACTTTCACTCAGATTCTGACACCATCGTACTTTGCCACCGTCCCCTCCCTACACTGACTCTCAGACACCATATTTCAAAGTTTCCCCTTTGCAGAATGACTGTCTTGATAGGTAGTGAGCTTCCTGACCCTGGAGATATACAAGCAGAGGCTCACAAGATTTCCTGCACTGGATGGAAACCAGAACGTGATTAGCTCTAAAATGCTTTTCCTGAGATTTTGGATTTTCAGCTCCCATCCAGTCATAAACTTCACACTCATTTCCTCTTTTCAAGGATCCCACATTGCCACCATTTGAAGGAGATGATTTAAGGATCCTGGCCCAGGAGATCACCAAGGCCAGAAGCTTCCTCTGGCAGGCCCAATCCTTCAGGTATGCCCTTCACGCAGCCTCTCCGGCCTGCCATGTGGCTACAGCCCATGCAGACCCCGGACCCCATCGAGAAGGGCCGCACCCATGATGGTACCCTTGCTCCAAGGGTTCCTGCCCTGCTTCTCCCAGCCAGCCCAGAAATCTGGGCACCAGGGAGACCATCTTTCTTCATCTCCTGCCCACCAGATCCCAACTCCAGAAGAAAAATGATGCAGAACCAAAGGTCACTCTTTCCTAGAGAAGTGTTCTCAGGTAAGGGGAGGGGCTAGACCCCATACTACCTGAGTGTGCACTAAGCACCAAGTGGCATGCTCTATTTTGTGGTCAATAATAACTTTGGTTAAAAAATAATGATTCCTCTAAACAGAAAAGTCATCCTGCAAAGGACCACTCACTGAGCAAATCTCAGCCCCGAGGGCAGGATGGGATGAAATGCTGTGACCTGCAGGAAACATGATTCCTGGTACCAGGACTCTCTGGAAGCTGAGGAAGGAAAGACTTTGTCTTTTGTGTGAGGGGCCATTCCCGGGTCTTAATCTAACTCTCCAGCCCTGTCCCGCAGCGCACTCTACTCTCCAGCCACTAGATTGTCCCTCTCTGGGAAGCCCTAAACCAACCCCCTGCCTAAATGGTGGTGCTTCTTGCAAACCAACCCCCTGCCTGAACGGTGCTTCTTGCCCCCTCTGCCTGGAGACTCCTGCTCATCCATCAAGGCACAGCTCAAATGACATCAGCTCCCTGGGACCTATCTAGAGCGAGGGGCCTCCAGTCTTTCTCTTGCAGCATCCTGACCACGCAGACCTCTCGCACTCAGCACTCTATGTCACGCCACCTTGCTCGCTGATCTAACTCTTCTCCTTGATGGTGAGCTCCTTCGGGATGAGACTGGTGTCCCAGGATCTGCAGGTCCCCAGAAGCTGCCACATAGGAGACACATGGTGAACAGTGAGCAGGCGGCTGAGCTGTGAGAGCCTAGCTCTGGAAAGCAGCTGATGGGGTGGTCTCCACCCTGGTTCATAAGAGGCTAATGCAGAGTCACAGTCAGCCCATCCTGGGGGAAGAAGAAACAAGTGAGCCTCAGCACCACCCTCCATCCCTGCCCAACCAAACTGAAGTGAAGGCTGCTCATCTGGGTTCATTTTCTAAAATTAAAAACAATTAATTTTATTCTACTAATAGGATCAACATGACTTTAACTGTTTGAAGTGATCATTGGCGTGTGTGTGTGTGCATAAATTTTTAGTGACATAAAACTTTATTAAAAGACTCATACCATAATAAAGAATTTCAATAAGAAAAAGATAAACATCCATTTTTTTGTTTTTTTTGGAAACAGAGTCTCGCTCTGTTGCCCAGGCTGGAGTGCAGTGGTGCAATCTCGGCTCACTGCAACCTCCGCCTCCTGGGTTCAAGCAATTCTCCTGCCTCAGCCTCCTGAGCAGCTGGGACTACAGGGGCCTGCCACCACGTCTGGCTAATTTTTGTTTTAGTAGAGACAGGGTTTCATTATGTTGGCCAGGCTGGTCTTGAACTCCTGATCTCAGGGGATCTGCCCGCCTTGGCCTCTCAAAGTGCTGGGATTATAGGCGTGAGCCACTGTGCCTGGCCCATCTCAATTTTTTTTTTTTTTTTAGGCACAGTCTCACTCTTTTTGCCCAGGCTGGAGTGCAGTGGCACGATCTCAGCTCACTGCAACCTCCGCCTCCCAGGTTCAAGCGATTCTCCTGCCTCAGCCTCCCGAGTAGGGTAGCTGGGATTACAGGTGCCTGCCACCACGCCCAGCTAATTTTTTTTATTTTTATTTTTAGTGGAGACGGGGTTTCACCATGTTGGCCAGGCTGGTCTCAAACGCCTGACCTCAGGTGATCCGGCCCGACTGAGACTCCCAAAGTGCTGGGATTACAGGCATGAGTCACCGCGTCCAGCCCATCCAATTTTTAAAATGGACAATAGGTACATGAAAAGGTGCTCAACAGCCTTACCTGCCAGGGAAGTGTAAATTAAAACCACAGTGAGATGCCACTACACTCCCACTAGAATGGCTAAAATAAAAAAGACTGGGGTTGGGCACAGTGGCTCATGCCTCTAATCCCAACACTTTGCGAGGCTGAGATGGGAGGATTGCTTGATGCCAGGGGTTCAACACCAGCCTGGGCAACATAGCAAGACCCCATGTCTCCAAAAATTTAAAAGAAATTAGCCAGGCATGGTGGCCCAATGCATGTAGTTTTAGCTGCTCAGGAGGCTGAGGCATGAGGATCAGTTGAGCCCAGGAGTTTGAGACTACAGTTAGCTATGATTGTGCCATTGCACTCCAGCGTGGGCAACAGAGTAAGACCCTGTCTCTTAAAAACAAACAAACAAAAAGACAAGATGGCCAGGCATGGTGGCTCACACCTGTAATCCCAGCACTTTGGGAGGCCAAGGTGGGCGGATCACATGAAGTCAGAAGTTTGAGACCAGCATGGCCAACATAGTGAAACCCCGTCTCTACTAAAAACAACAAAAATTAGCTGGGCATGGTGGTGCACACCTGTAATTCCAGCTACTCAGGAGGCTGAGGCATGAGAATCGCTTGAACCCAGGAGGTGGAGATTGCAATGAGCTGAGACTGGGCCATTGCACTCCAGCCTGGGCAACAGAATGAGACCCTGTCTCTAAAAACAGAACAAAAAAAGAACTACAATATCAAGATGTGGAACAGTTGGAACACTCATATTCCAATTAGGGTAGGGGTTGGGGTAGGGACGTATAATTTGACTCAATAACTTTGGAAGACTATTTGGCAATTTCTACTAAAGTAAAACATATGCCTACTCTATGATCTAGTAATTCCACTCCAAGGGTAATGAGTGCATATGTTAGACAAAAGACATATAAGAATTTTTCCAGCAGCCTTATTCATTAGAGCTCAAAATTGGAAACTACCCAATGTCCATCAGTGGCAGAATGTGCAAATAAAATCTGATACATTTTACAGTGAAATATTATGCATCAATTTAAAAAGAATGAACGGCTCATGTGGTGGCTCACACCTGAAATCCCAGCACTTTGGGAGACCAAGGCAGGTAGATGGCTTGAGCCCAGGAGTTTGAGACTAGCCTAGGTAACATGGTGAGAACCCATCTTTACAAAAAAATACAAAAATTAGCCAGGCTTGGAGGCATATGCCTGTAGTGCCAGCTACTCAGGAGGCTGAGGTGCAAGGATCACCTGAGCCCAGGAGAGGTTGAGGCTGCAGTGAGCCTTGATCATGCCACTATACTCCAGCCTTGGCAATAGAGTGAGACCCTGCCTGCACCCCCAAAAAAGAATGATCTATACAGCTATATTCAACAAGATGCATCAGTCTCATAATATTGGGCAAAAGAAACCAGACACAAAGGAGTACATACTGTATAAAGTCATTTATATGAAGTTCAAGAACCAGCCAAACTCCTTATTGGTGATTGAAGTCAAAATACTAGTTACCCTGTGGGATGGGGGACACAAAGGGGACATCTGGTGTGATGAAAATATTCTATATATTGATAAAGGTAGGAGTTACATTGAGCTATACATAAGTAAAAATTCATCAAGTTGTTTAAAAACACTCAGTTGTGGCCAGGTGCGGTGGTTCACGCCTGTAATCCCAGCACTTAGGGAGACCAAGGCAGGCAGATGGCTCAAGGCCAGGAGTTCGAGACCAGCCTGGCCAACATGGAGAAACCCTGTCTCTACCAAAAATACAAAAATTAGCCAGGCATGGTGGTGGACGCCTGTAGTCCCAGCTACTCGGAGGCTGAGGCAGGAGAATCGCTTGAACCCGGGAGGTGGAGGTTGCAGTGAGCTGAGATCGTGCCACTGCACTCCAGCCTGGCAACAGAGACTCTGTCTCAAAAAAAACGAAACTCACTTGCTAAGGCTTGATGAGACCCTGCTTTGGCCAGGCTCTGTGCTGGGCCCAGGAAGGCAGTGGTGACCACAACCCCTGCCATGGTAAATCTCAGTCTGGTCCATCTTGCACAGCTGCCATTTTGGGTCACGTCTGTAAATACAGAGAAAAGGGCCTGTGGTGGTTGTATTCATTTGCTAGAGCTGTCATAACAAAGTACCACAAATTGAGTGGATGAAACAACAGAAATGTATTCTCTTATTGTTCTGGAAGCTGGAAATTCAAGATTAAGATGCCCTCAGGGCCATGCTCCCTCTGAAGACACTGGGAAGGATCCGTTCCAGACTTCTCTCCTCCATTCTGGTAGTTCCTTGGCTTTGGGCAGCATAACTACAGCCTTCACATGAAGCTCTGCCTATGTGCATGTCTCTGTTCAAATTTCCCCTCTTTATAAGAACACCAATCATACTGGAGTAGGGGCCCACCCTACTCCACTATGACCTTAACTCATTACATCTGCAGTGACTTTATTTGGAGAGTTAGGGTTAAGTACATGGGATTGGGACTTCCACATATGAATTTTGTGAAGAACACAATTCAACCCGTCACAGATGTAAGTTATGCTTCTCTTTGCAAGACAATATCAGCAGCTGGTACTGGGGAATATGAGTTCTCTGGCCCTGTTGGTGGGAGAAGAATAGGCTGGCCTTTGTGAATGGAAGGTTGAACCAAACACATGGCTTATGAAGTGGGGAAGGACAGGACCTAGGTTCAAATCCCAACCTCCCATGTAATGAGGAGAACAGCTACCATTGTTTGCACACTGATTGAGCCAGCACCATGCTCAACATTTTGCATAGAGCATGTTAGCCATAAACCTCACAGCATGACAACTATAAAGTGCACATCATTTGCAGTTTACAGATGAGGAAACTGAGCCTCGTAGCTGCTCAAAGACACACAGCAAGAAAGTGGCAAAGCCAAGATTTAAATCCAGGACTGACCCTATGGCTTTTCCCCACCACATTTGGAGCCCCTTTTCTGAACCTGTTTCCCTGTCTCTAAAATTGAGCTAAAACAGAGTTGTGAGGATTAAACAAGATCTCTTACCATCTGGCTCATAGAACATGCAGACTAAGATTTTGTTTTTCTCTTCCCCACACCTATGCCCACAGAGGGTGTTGTATGGGTGGAGGCTTTTTCAGTTGCCCTTTTCAGAGCAAAGTGACCAGCCCTTCCTGCTCTCAGCCCCTGTGGCTCCATTACAGCAGTTGTGAGCTCTTGGGCACATGCCTGACCCTCCAATACTGCCACTTGAACATGAGTTTTCTTTTACTGAGACAGGATCTCACTCCATTGCCTGAGCTCTCCAGCATGAGACTGCAGTGGCACAATCACAGCCCACCATAGCCTCCACCTCCCAGGCTCAGGTGATCCTCCTGCCTCAGCCTCCCAAGTAGCTGGGACTACAGGCACATGCCACCATGCCCGGCTAATTTTTTTTTGTAATTTTTTGTAGAGATGGGCTCTCACTATGTTGTCCAGGCTGGTCTTAAATGCCTAGGCTCAAGTGATCTGCCCACCCCAGCCTCCCAAAGTGCTGGGATTACAGGCATGAGCCACCACACCCAGCTGAACATGAGTTTTCAAAGGATGATATGATCCAGCACTGAAGAAGCACCCATCAAAATAGAATGATGTGATTGATGCATAAATCAACAGAGATAAGTGGAAGATTGCAAGACAGGGAGAGTAGATAGATGGGTAGAAGCAAGGAAAGAAAGATATATGTAATGAATTAGATGGGTGGAAGGTTGGATGGATGGAAATTTGGATGGATAGGTGGAAGGATAGATGATGGAAGGTTGGATGGACAGGTTTAAGAATGGATGGATGACAGGTTGTATGGATAGGTTGAAATACAGATGGATGGAAAGGACAGGTTGAAATAAAGATGGATGGAAAGCTGGATGGACAGGTAGAAGTACAGATGGATGGAAGGTTGGATGGATAAGCAGAAGGATGGTCAGGGAGAAGATTGGATGGATAAGTGGAAGGATGGATGATGGAAGGTTAGATGGATAGGTGGAAGGCTGGATGGATAGGTGGAAGGCTGGATGGATGGAAGGTTGGATGGATAGGTGGAAGGATGGATGGATGGAAGGTTGGATGGATAGGTGGAAGGATGGATGGATGGAAGGATGGATGGATAGGTGGAAGGATGGATGATGGAAGAACTTTTTTGGTTTTTTGTTTTTGTTTAAATATTTGCAAATCATTTATCTGATGAAGGATTTGTATCCAGAATATACAAAGAACTCTTAAAAGTCAACAAATAACTCAACTGAAAATGAGCAAAGGATTTGAACAGACACTTCTCCAAAGAAAACACATTAATGTGCCAATGAGCACATGAAAACATGTTCAGCAGCATTAGCTATCAGGAAATTCAAATGAAACCACAATGAGACACCACTTCACACCCAGTAGAATAGTTAAAATTTTAAACATAGATATAATAATAAGTGTTGGTAAGGATGCGGAAGTATTGGAACCCTATACACTGCTGGTAGGATTGTAAAATGGTACAGCTACTTTAGAAAACAGTTTGGCGGTTCTTCTCTAAACACAGAGTAATCATATGACCCAGCAATTCTGCTCCTACATATAGATGAAACCCTTTTTCTTGGGGTTCTAGGACGACTTGGCCTGCAGGACAGAGCCCGGCACGCAGGGCCTTTGCGTCTTTTCCCACAAGAAGCGTGGACCATTTCGCCCATCCCAGCCCTACTGGCTTCAGTTTCCCCTCTATGAGAGCCCGCGGGTCTCCACCTGAGAGAATGCAGGTGCTCCCGCGCCGGGAGTGGGCGGGCAGAAGAGCGGGCGGGGGGCGGTCCGGATGCCTCGTCCCGCCCCGCCCCGCCCCTTTCTGCCCTCCTCGGGAGAAGGAGGTGGCCCGGTGGCCCTGGCGGCGCGGAGACTGGCGCAGCGCGGGGAGCACGCAGCGCCGCGGGAGCCCGGGCCAGGTGAGCGAAGCCCGGACGCGGGCCAGGGAGGGACGCAGGTGCTGGAGGGACAGGGAGGGTGAGGGAGCCAAGAGGGGAGGGGACCCCCACCCTGGAGCTGCCCGCGAGCCCAGCGCTCTCAGGGTCAGTCCCTGATGCTCCCCACCCTTTTGCCAGTTCCTTCCACCAAACCCGCTTTTGGGGTCCCCATCGACCTGGATTCCGGCGGAGACACTGTCTGTGACTCCATCAAAGTTTCCTCATGTTCTCTGGGCCTCAGTTTCCACCTCTGGGTAATGGGAACCATAGCCTGTACTTCACTGAACTTCCAAAAGAATGAGTGAAGCCATGTCCAGGGTGGGTCTGGCGCGCGACCATAGCACAGCCAGATCCCGAACACGCCCCAGAGATTTTGTTCACCCAGCAGCATTTGCTGGCCGCCTGCTTTGCGCCAGGCACTGTTCTAGGTGCTGGGACACTCCAGGGAATGAAATCCTCCTGGAGCTTTGCAATCTAGCCTCGCAAGGCATTCTGGCGTCTGTTTTCTCATGACCACCCTGTGAGGAGCCAGAGCAGCCAGAAATATTTGGGTCCATTCGCGGTTGTGGGTACTAAGGTACAGTGAGGTTTTAAGGCCCTTACCCAAGGGCACACCCCAATAAGTGAGTATCCAAGGCTGAGTCCAGCCTTTGCCACAAAAGGCATCCTCTTAGGGTAGAAAGTCAGCTCTGGTCCCATAGACCCTTCCCCAGAACAGAGTCCTCTGGGCCTGAGTACAGGAGGAGGGCTCGCTGTGGGGCTGCATCCTCTCCTCTCCCTCTCGGGGATTTAGGCCCCTGCTCATGATGGTTTGCAGTCTCTCTCATTAAATCCATGAGTGGGCTGGGCGCAGTGGCTCACGCCTGTAATCCCAGCACTTTGGGAGGCTGAGGGTGGCAGATCACTTGAGACCAGGAGTTTGAGACCAGCCTGGCCAAAATGGTGAAACCCCCGTCTCTACTAAAAATACAAAAATTAACCAGGTGTGGTGGCGCGTGCCTGTAGTCCCAGCTACTCGGGAGGCTGAGGGAGGAGAATTGCTTGAACAAGGCAGGCGGAGGTTGCAGTGAGCCAAGATCACACCACTGCACTCCAGCCTGAGCAACAGAGTGAGACTCCTTCTCTAAATAAATAAATAAAGCCATGAGTGTTCGTGCTTATACGGGGCAGGACTGTATTCCTCACCCAGACATTTGGTGAGCAGGGCAGTAACAGAGGAAATTAAAAATACAGCCCCTCTAGCTGCCAGAGTCCCTGCCCTGTGACCACCACCAGCAAAAAAACATGGGGCTCATCAGTCCAGTCACTCAACAAATACCCGTTCTTTCATGCAGCCAGTATATGCCATGCAGGGCAGAGATGCACCTATCTGTATATGTAGGGCCTGGCGCACAGAGGTCCCTAGCACATGGTTGCTGTTGTTACGGTTAATGATCACCTAGCCCTGGTCATCCAGCCTCATCCTCAGGTGGAGAGGGAGGTCGGGAGGGGGGTGGGGGGATGGACGATGGTGACAGTGACTGACAGCCTGGCTTGCCCTGAGTCTAGACTGAGGGCTGGGCACAGTGGCTAACGCCTGTAATCTCAACACTTTGGGAGGCCAAGGCAGGAGAATTGCTTGAGTTCCAGGAGTTCACTACTAGCCTGGGCAACAGAGTGAGACTCTGTCTCAAAAATTAAAAAAAGATCTAGGGAGCTGGATGCGGTGGCTCACACCTGTAATCCCAGCACTTTGGGAGGCTGAGGTGGGAGGATCACTTGAGGTCAGGAGTTCAAGACCAGCCTGGCCAACATGGTGAAACCCCATCTCTACTAAAAATGCAAAAATTCACCAGGCATGGTAGCATGCACCTGTATTCCCAGCTGCTTGTGGGGCTAAGATGGAAGGATCGCTTGAGCACAGAAGTTTGAAGCTGCAGTGAGCTATGATTGTGCCACTGCACTCCAGCCTGGGCGACAGAGAAAAGAAAGTAGTCTGAGGCTGCAAAGAACAGGATCCTCAGTGCTGTCCCCCTAGGCCCATAGACCAGACCCTAAAGCCTGCAGAGGGATTGGGCAGAACGTGTGGTACCAGCCACCCACACTACTGTCGGACCTTGGAGGACCAGAGGCGTCAGGCATCAGGGTGGAGACAGGCACAGCACTTGGAGTCATGTGCAAGTTTCCAGGGTGCAGAGTCCTTTTGGATCCATGTGGATTCTCCTCCTCCTCCTCTTTCTCTTCCTCCTCTTCCAGAAGGCTCTCCCAATCTCCCCAGTCAGAAAGCAGCCACCTCCCAGTCTGGTGAGGTTCCCGCTGGATGATTTGCCCTGTCTTCCTTTGGTACTCCATGGAAACTGGAATTTTAAGGAACTGGTAGATAAGTCAGGAATGCTTAATGTCAACCTCAGTTACACAGCGTGACTTTGGGCCTCAATTTTCTTAGCTCTAAAATCCAAGTCTTGGCTGCCTTGTCTCTGACTCTGTGCAGAGGACAGCAGCCACACTGGAGTTTTTTGTTTGTTTGTTTGTTTGTTTGTTTTTGAGACTGAGTCTCATTCTATTGCCCAGACTGGGGTGCAGTGGCACCATCTCAGCTCACTGCAACCTCCGCCTTCCAGGTTCAAGCAATTCTTGTGCTTCAGTCTCCTGAGTAGCTGGGATTACAGGTGTGCCCCACTACACCCGGCTAATTTTTGTATTTTCAGTAGAGACAGGATTTCACCATGTTGGCCATGCTGATCTCCAACTCCTGGCCTCAAGTGATCCGCCCACCTCAGCCTCCCAAACTGCTGGGATTACAGACGTGAACCACCACGCCGGGCCCACACTGGAGATTCTTGAGATTCTGAAAGGGGCAGGTTCCCTGGGAACTCAGAGAATTTCTAATTTCCACCTGGAGTTCCCCTCAGTCCTAGAGGTCTAATAATTTATGTGACTTGAAACGATTCTAGAGCATTCTTTCTTCTATTTTTTTTCCCACAGGTGGTCGGTTTCTGGGTCTGCATGGCTCAGTAGAGGATGAAGTCCAACCCCCCACGCTCCTCCCTAGAGGCCTGCAAAGCTGCAGGCCAGGGTGAGAAGAGCTGCCCTGTCTGCCAGGCCTGTGGAGAGGTCTCAGGTCCAAGGTCTGGCTCAGGGTCTGAGTCAAGGCCTGCACCAAAGCCTGGTGCCATTCCAGGGCCTGGACTGGGGCCCAAAGCTATTCCAGGACCTCAGGCGGGTTCTGGTACTGTTCCGAGGCCTGGTGCTATTTCAGGGACTGGACCAGGTCTAGGGCCTGGGCCAGGAGCTGGGTCTGTACCTGGGCCAGGAGCTGGGTCCGTACCTGGTCTAGGAGCTAGGTCCGTACCTGGGCCAGGAGCTGGGTCCGTACCTGGGCCAGGAGCTGGGTCCGTACCTGGGCCAGGAGCTGGGTCTGTACCTGGACCAGGAGCTGGGTCGGGACCTGGTCTAGGAGGTGGGTTGGGACCTGGTGTAGGAGCTGGGCCAGGAGCTGGGTCTGTACCTGGGCCGGGAGCTGGATCGGTACCTGGGCCGGGAGCTGGATCGGTACCTGGGCCGGGAGCTGGATCAGTACCTGGGGCAGGAGCTGGGTCTACACCTGAGCCAGAGCTAGGGCCTGGGCTCAGACAGGGGTCTGGGACTGGGCCCAGACCCAGTGAGTCAACAACAACCCCAACACCAGCGCCGCAGCAGAAGACTCAAGCCAAACCTACAAAGGCTGCCAGGCAGAAGGTTCTAGTGACTGGAGGAGGAGGCTACCTGGGCTTCAGCCTGGGATCCCACCTAGCCAAGAGCGGCACTTCCGTCATTCTGCTTGACCGCCGCAGACCCCAGTGGGAACTGTCCCCGGAAACCAAGTTCATCCAGGTACAAGGAACAAGGGTCTTAATAGACTGGGGCAGTGGTGATGGTCAGGGGACAGTGTTTGATGTGAAACCTGTGGTGTGGAGTTTAGGGGCACACTGTTTGAAGCCAGACTGTTTGAGCTATAGCTCTGGCTCTGGTGCTACCAGCTGGGTAGCTATGGTCACAGAAAGGGGACAATAGTAACCAACACCTACTTCACAGGGTCTCATTGGGAGTTGATGAGACAGTGCACATAAACCTAGCACAGCCCCTGTCACCTACAGAGCGTGATGAATGAGCACGGGATGTTGCTCACGGTGCCCTGTAGAATCATTTAGTGAATCCTGCCCCACCAGCCTTTCCTGATGCTACAGAGGCTTGGCCTGGGCTGGGTCAGGGGGCCAGTTCTGAGACCAGGCAAGGTGCAGAGGTGTTATCTCTTGCCTTGGACTTGAACCCCCTGCCCTCATCTCTTCTTCCTCTGGTGCAGGCTGATGTCCGAGATGAAGAAGCCCTGTACCGTGCCTTCGAAGGGGTGGACTGTGTCTTCCACGTGGCTTCCTATGGAATGTCCGGGGCTGAGAAGGTGGGCTCCTCACACACAACACCTGGAGTTAGACAGAGTGGGGTTCCAGTCCTGGCTCTGCCCTCACACCCATGCATTCCCTATCATGCTTCACCTATTATAGGAGGGACTTGGGCTACTCCCACCCTGCATCCTGCATCCATGACACCAAATACCAGTTCTGCCATTTTTTTTTTTTTTTTTTTTTTTTTTTTTTTTTTTTTTGAGACTGAGTCTCACTCTGTCACCCAGGCTGGAGTGCAGTGGCACAATCTCAGCTCACTGCAACTTCCATCTCCCAGGTTCAAGTGGTTCTTCTGCCTCAGCCTCCTGAGTAGCTGGGATTACAGGTGCCACCAACACGCCCAGCTAATTTTTGTATTTTTAGTAGAAACAGGGTTTCACCATGTTGGCCAGGCTGGTCTCAAGCTCCTGACCTCAGGTGATCTGCCCGCCTTGGCCTCCCAAAGTGCTGGGATTACAGGCAGGAGCCACCGCACCCGGCCCCATTTCTGCCATTTTATAACTGTGTTATCTAGGGCAAGTTTATTTAACCTCTTTGATCCTCTTTCATCATCTGGAAAGTGAGGATATTACTATTGGTAATATCACAACCTCTTCAGAGAGCAATGTAATAGTATCCACCAAAACATATGTATACCCGTTGCCTCAGAAATTACACTCATTTGTGTATTTGCAGCATTGTTTTTAATAACAAAACACCAGAAATAACCTATCAGTTGAGGACTATTTAAATAAATTGTGTTTTACAGTCAAATTCTATGCAGCCATTCAAAAGAAAGAGGTAACTCAAAGTGTGCAGATTAAAAAAATAGTTTCCAAGGTGCAAAGCAGTGTTTGGCATTCTCCTGTTTGTTTCCAAAAAAAGCTAAAGAAACTATTTATTTCTATAGTCACACATGCTTATATGCTGATATTAATAAGAATAGATTATCTCGAGAAACACCGGAAATTTAACAGTGGCTGCCTCTGGGGAGGGAAAAGGAAGATTTGGAATCAGGAGTAGGAGGGAACCTTCTTTTTCACTATACACCCATTTTACTGTTTGAATTCTTTTTAACCTTGATCGTGTTGCCTATGAAACAAAAACAGCCACAACAAGAATAAATATAGAGCCAGGTGTGGTGGCTCACACCTGTAATCCCAGCACTTTGGGAGGCCAAGGTGGGAGGATTGCTTGAGCCCAGGAGTTCGAGACCAGCCTGGGCAACATAGTGAGACCCCTATCTCTATTTAAAAATAATAAAAGTAAATTTTATTATTTTTATTTATTTATTTATTTTTGAGACGGAGTTTCGCTCAGTCACCAAGGCTGGTGTGCAGTGATATGATCTCAGCTCACTGCAGCCTCCACCTCCCAGGCTCAAGCGATTCTTCTGCCTCAGACTCCTGAGTAGCTAAGATTACAGTTGCACGCCACCACACCTGGCTAATTTTTGTATTTTTAGTAGAGATGGGGTTTTGCCATGTTGCTCAAGCTGGTCTCAAACTCCTGACCTGAAGTGATCCGCCCACCTCGGCCTCCCAAAGTGCTGGGATTACAGGCATGAGATACCACACCTGGCCAAAAATTTTTAAAAGAATAAATATAGGCTGGAAGCAGTGGCTCATGCCTGTACCCCCAACATTTGGAGAGGCCAAGGCAGGTGGATCACCTGAGGTCAGGAGTTTGAGACCATCCTGACCAACATGATGAAACCCCATCTCTACTAAATACAAAAACATTAGCCAGGCATGGTGGTGCATGCCTGTAATCCCAGCTACTTGGGAGGCTGAGGCAGGAGAATCATTCAAACCCGGGAGGCAGAGGTTGCAGTGAGCCAAGATTGTACCACTACACTCCACCTTGGACAACAAGAGCTAAACTCGGTCTCAAAAAAATAATAATAATAAATATAGCTTAAAAATAAGCATGGAGCTCATCTCCTGGTGTGATGAGAATTAAATGAGATCATGGATCAGGAAGTTCTTGCCCTGTTCCTGGCCCACAGGAGCCCTCACAGCGGCCTAATTTTTGTTTTTCACATCCCAGCTCCCTCGTGAGGGCCCAGCCCATATTACCATGTTCACCTTACAGATAGGGAAACTGAGGCTTTGAGAGTAGGAAAATGACCCAACAGGTTCTGAGCCCATCTTCTGTGCCAGGCACTGTACCAGGTCCTCTCAAGTGTCTTATTGAGTCCCGCCCACCACCCAGGGGAGGAGGTTGGCCCTCACTTTACAAATGAGGTTGCTGAGGGACAGATGTGTGGGCAGAACCTCCTCTGGCCACCCAGGAAGATGGTGGCAGAGCCAGGCACCCACACTCCAGGTGGGCCTTCGGGATCCCTGCCTCTGAACTGAACATCCTGCTGCCCTGTCCCACCTGACCCCAAGCTCAGCCTTCCAGCCTCAGCAAGAAGGCATGGGTAGCACCATGACTTTCTCACCTGTCTTGTCTTTTAGCTGCAGAAAGAGCAGATTGAGTCTATAAATGTTGGAGGCACCAAACTAGTGATTGATGGTAGGTGCTCAGAGCCGGGTATGACCTGCTGTGCCTCTCCCCCTCTCTCCCTTCTCCTGCTGCAGGCCTGGCTCCCAGGGTGTAGGGTCAAAGGGAGGGCCTGTGGGCAGCGCATCCTTCGTGCACTGCAGACCTCCCCAGGGCCCTGCATGGGTGTGTCAGTGTGGCCTTAGCATGTCTGGGAACATGGGGACCAGAGTTACCTCTCAGGGCTTAGGGACTGGAAAAAGAAAAGTTGCCGAAGCTGGCTGGGCGTGGTGGCTCATGCCTGTAATCCCAGCACTTTGGGAGACCAACAGGGGTGGATCACCTGAGGTCAAGAGTTCGAGACCAGCCTGGCCAAAATGGTGAAACCCCACCTCTACTAAAAATACAAAAAATTAGCCAGGCGTGGTGGCGGGTGCCTGCAGTCCCACCTACCTAGGAGGCTGAGGCAGGAGAATCGCTTGAATCTGAGAGGCAGAGGTTGCAGTGAGCCGAGATCGTGCCACTGCTCTACAGCCTGGGTAACAAGAGCAAAACTCCATCTCAAAATAAATAAATAAATAAAATTTAAAAATAAATAAATAAGTCTGGGCGAGGTGGCTCACGCCTGTAATCCCAGCACTTTGGGAGGCCGAGGCAGGTGGATCACCTGAGGTCGGGAGTTCGGGGCTAGACTGACCAACACGAAGAGATCCCATCTCTACTAAAACTACAAAATTAGCGGGGCGTGGTGGCGCATGCCTGTAATCCCAGCTACTCGGGAGGCTGAGGCAGGAGAATCGCTTGAACCTGGGAGGGGGAAGTTGTGGTGAGCCGAGATCGCGCCATTGCACTCCAGCCTGGGCAACAAGAGTGAAACTCCGTCTCAATAAATAAATAAATAAATAAATAAACAAACAGATAAATAAAAAGTTACTAAAGCACCAAAATCGCAGACCCATGTGTGGGCTGCCTGGGCATGTCCTGCCTTATCCCGTATGTCTTTGATTCTAGAGTGTCTTTTTCTAAGTCTCCATCCAGTGAGACCTTCTTCTGACCTGTCTCTGGCAAGGTAGCCCAGGGGTCCAAGCCACAATGAGAAAGAATAAGGAGCAGACCTGGCTCCCAGGGGCCCACAGAGCAGGAACTTGACCTGCACCCTAAGTTAAGGGCAGGAGACTCTTCCCTCCTGAACAGCTGTAGATTCTGGGAGGGTCCTGGGGGTCCAAGTTGTGTGTTGAAAACTTGGTAGAGATCTGCATGACACCTCCTCAGCCGACTCTATGCTCACTTGTGTCCCGTGTGTGTCTGTGTCTTTGCATGTGTGTGTGTGTTTATTTGTTGCTATGTGCACCTGCTGCTGCAGTCTGTGTTCGCCGGCGGGTTCCAAGGCTCATCTATACCAGCACTGTCAATGTTGCATTTGGAGGGAAGCCCATAGAGCAGGGCGATGAGGACTCTGTGCCATATTTCCCATTGGACGAGGTACCTGTCTTCCGGGAGAGGTGGGCAGGACCCGCGGGCCCGGGACCCACAGCTCAGAGGGGAGGGATGGGTGGAAGCAGGGTTGGTTTCACAACTCAGGATACGTCCTAGCAGGAAGGGGCTCCCAAAACTGGGTGGCGTCAGCACTCTCCTGTTTCAGTTGGTCACACCTGCAGGGGCATTGAAATCAGACAGGTCTGGCCTTAGCCTCAACCTGGCCGCATTCTACCCATGTGACCCTGACCCTGAGCAAATCACTTAAGCCCTTTGAGCCTGTTTTTTTTTCTTTTCTTTTCTTTTGTTTTTTTGAGACAGAGTCTCACCCTGTCCCCAGGCTGGAGTGCAGTGGCGTGATTTTGGCTCACTGCAACCTCTGCCTCCTGGGTTCAATAGATTCTCCTGCCTCAGCCTCCCAAGTAGCTGGGATTATAGGTGCATGCCACCACAACCAGCCAATTTTTGTATTTTTAGTAGAGACAGGGTTTACCATGTTGGCCAGGATGGTCTCCATCTCTTGACCTCGTGATCTGCCAGCCTCAGCCTCCCAAAGTGCTGGGATTACAGGCGTGTTGTTTGTTTGTTTTGTTTTGTTTTGAGACAAGGTCTTGCTTTGCTCTGTCACTCAGACTGGAGTGCAGTGTCATGATCTCAGCTCACTGCAACCTCTGCCTCCCGGGTTCAAGTGATTCTCCTGCCTCAGCCTCCCCAGTAGCTGGGACTACAGTCGTGCGCCACCACGCCCAGCTAATTTTTGTATTTTTAGTGGATACAGGTTTCATTGAGTTGCCCAGGCTGGTCTCGAACTCCTGGGCTCAATCAATCCTCCCTCCTGCGGCTGTCAAAGTGCTGGAATTACAGGCATGAGCCACTGCACCCGGACAAGCCTCTGTTTCTTCAACCCAGTATGGTAACACTATCACCATGGGGTTGTGCAGAGCAGGAAATAAGATAACCGATGTGAAAATGCCATGTGAACACAAAAGAGCCATGTGTAGGTAATTCATCCAGCATGTGTCCAGCATCAGCCTTGCAAGGACAGGTGTCTGGGGCTGGCAGGAGCCTCCCTGAGTCGGCTGCCCCTGGTCATTGTTACTGCTCCGAACCCAGTGCTCCTCTGCTCCTGTGGCTCTGGAAGGAGATGCACTGTTCTCCCACCCAGGGGGAGAGGAAAGGCCATGGGGCTCAGGGCCTGGCCATATCCCAGTGGGAGTCCCCAGGGAAGGTGCAGCCCTGGGGCTGGGCAGGCATTGCCAGCAGCATTGCTGACCCTCTCTGGTGGTTCTGTTTTTCCTGGCCTCTGGCAGCACGTAGACCACTACTCCCGAACCAAAGCCATCGCCGACCAATTGACCCTCATGGCCAATGGGATGCCTCTCCCAGGTGAGTATCATGGGGCTCTGCTTGTACCAAATGCACCTGCCCACTGCTGCCTCCTCCAAAATACATGTGTGATTCATGCTAACATGTGTCTGAGGCCCACCTTCCTTCCAAAGGACGGTTTCCCAGGGCCTTGCCCATTCATCATTCAGCACATTCTGAGCACCTGCTGTGTGGCTGCACCCCACCAGGGATACAGCCCAGAAGAAGTCAGGCCCAGTGTCTGCCCTTACATAGCTCACAGCTAGGTGGGGAAGAGACTTGAGCAAACCCAAGTCTCTCTCTTTTCTCCTGCACAGGAGTTGATCCAGTTTTAGGGGCCCTCTTTAGACAAAAGAGTACCAAATTATGAGTGTGGAATGAGATATAACACTTTGGAAGGGCCTGGCAAGGGAGAGGCCCAAAAGCTCAAGCTTCAGCAACTTCCCAGTAGAGTCTACCTTGGCTGTCTTAGTTATTTATTTGTTTTAGAGATAGGGTCTTGCTCTGTTGCCCAGGCTGGAGTGCAATGGCACAATCATAGCTTACTGCAGCCTCAAACTCCTGGGCTTAAGTAATCCTCCTGCCTCAGCCTCCCAAGTGGCTGAAACTGCAGGTGTGTGCCACCATTCCAGGCTTATTTTAAATTTTTTTGTAGAGATGGGGTCTCACTATGTCATCCAGGCTGGTCTCAAACTCCTGGCCTCAAGTGATCTTCCTGCCTCGAACTCCCAAATGCTGGGATTACAGGCATGAGCCACCATGCCTGGCCTTGGCTGCCTTTTTATATTGCCTCTTCTGGTTATAGATGAGTAATAGTAGAAGGCAAATAGTCCGTATTTCTTGAGTGCACACTACATGCCAGGCCCTATTTTGCATGCTATTTTTTTCTTTCAAATACAATTATTAATCTCTTATTTTTTTTTCTTTGAGAAGGAGTATTGCTCTGTCACCCAGGCTGCAGTGAAATGGTGTGATTTTGGCTCACTGCAACCTCTGCCTCCTGGGTTCAATAGATTCTCCTGCCTCGGCCTCCCGAATAGCTGGGACTACAGGTGCATGCCACCACACCTGGCTAATTTTTGTATTTTTAGTAGAGATGGGGTTTCACCATGTTGGTCAGGCTAGTCTAGAACTGCTGACCTCAAGCGATCCACCTGCCTTGGCCTCCCAAAGTGCTGGGATTATAGGCATGGGAGTCTGTGAGCCACCACACCTGGCCCCATTCTTTATTCTACTTTTCCCTTTATTTTAATTTTATCTCATTTTTTTATGGATTCTCCTCCCACAGGTTGCTAACTTTATATGCAAAGGTCTGATTAACCCTTCACAGTACCCCTTTTAGGTAAAAACCATAGATATCCCTTGCTTTCTAAGCTTCAGAACCAAATTTATTCAAATAAATTTCGTGCTATCCAAATTATCACTATTTGGGCCGGTACAGTGGCTCACGCCTGTAATCTCAGCACTTTGGGAGGCGGAGGTGGGTGGATGGCTTGAGTTTAGGAGTTCGAGACCAGCCTGGAGAACATGGCAAAACCATGTCTGTACAAAATATATATATATGTATATGGGCTACGTATATATATGTGTGTGTGTATATATATATATATATATATATAGCTTTCTAAAATTCAGAACGTAAAAAGAATCAGATAACTTGGTTTCCCTTCACTATCAAAACTATCTAAACTTGAGAGCCAGGTGGATTTGGAGAGTCGGAGGCTTAAAAATTATAATCCTCACTGGGTGCGGTGGCTCACACTTGTAATCCCAGCACTTTGGGAGGCTGAGGCGGGCGGATCACAAGGTCAGGAGTTCAAGACCAGCCTAGCCAATATGGTGAAACCCCGTCTCTACTAAAAATACAAAAAAATTAGCTGGGCATGGCAATGCGTCCCTGTAATCCCAGCTACTCAGGAGGCTGAGGCAGGAGAATCCCTTGAACCCAGGGAGCAGAGGTTGCAGTGAGCCGAGATTGTGCCACTACACTCCAGCCTGGGAGACAGAGCGAGACTCCATCTCAATAATAATAATAATAATCCTCAATGTACAGGTGAGAAAACAGACAGATGAACTGACCTCACTCAAGATCATCCAGCTGTTAGGTGGTAGAGGTGGGATTTGAACCCCAGGAGAGTTTAACACCAGAGCCTGGGGCCTAATCACTGTGCAGTGCTGCAGCCCCAGCTGAGCAGGTCCCTGAGCATCAACTCTTTTCCCTAAAATCTTCCCCACCCCCAGCCCCCACCCTACTCCCCATCACCCTGGGCCAGTTAGGCCTGGACCCCTGATTCCAGTAGAAATATCCAGCTGTTCTCCCAGGAGTTTCAACCTTGTGCAGTTGAATAATATTTTCTCTACCTGGGGCCTCTGCCAGCCAGCCCAGTAGCCTGTACTCTAGACACCTAATCCTCCAGCCAAGAATTATTTATATGAGCATCTGCAGCTTTCCATGGTCAGGAGAGTCATGGATACCCTGGCCCTCCGTGAAGTAGCTGTTCAATGCCCCGCCTGCCAACGTCAGCTGCAACCCGACCTCCCCCCACTATGCCCAGGTGACCCAGAGTTTAAAATTAGCTGCAAGCTGTTTACAGGAAATCTCACCCAATATCTGCCTTCCAGGAGTCCCGCTGCAGTCACCTGGGGTCATTTCCACTCCCTACTATCCAAGCGGGTTCCTGAAACTGTTCTTCTGACTCGGCGCAGAGGTCCGTAGTCCTGGGAGCAGAGTCCTGAGGCGTGCAGATCCTAGCTCAGTGTTAATGCAGTTATGTCCTCCCGTCTTCTGTCTCTGGGTGTGTTAGTATCCTGTGGCAGCTGTGACAAATGATGCCACCCAAACTTGATGGCTTAAAACAATAGAAATGGGCCGGGCATGGTGGCTGACACCTGTAATCCCAGCACTTTGTGAGGCCAAGACGGGAGGACTGCTTGAGCTCAGGAGTTCAAGACCAGCCCGGGCAACATGGCAAAACTCCATCTCTACAAAAAAATACAAAAATGACCTGGTGTGGTGGTGCACACCTGTACTCCCAGCTACTCGGGAGGCAGAGGTGGGAGGATCACCTGAGCCCAGGGAGGTCAAGATGGCAGTAAGCTGTGACCCTCTCTCAAAAACAAATGAACAAAAGACAATCGTTTCTTCTCTCACCATCCTGGAGGCCAGAGTCTGAAATCAAGGTGTCTGCTGGGCTGTACTCCCAGAGGCTCAAGTAGGCTACACTCCTTCCTTTTTTTTTTTTTTTTTTAGTCTCCCAACCACTTGGGAGACTAAGGTAGGATGATTGCTTGAGCCTGGGAGGTTGAGGATGCAGTGAGCCATGACGCACCACTGCATTTCAGCCTGGGTGACAGAGTGAGACCCTGTCTCTAAAAATAATTAATTAAATAAGTCATTTTAGGCTGGGCACAGTGGCTTACGCCTGTAATCCCAGCACTTTGGGAGGCTGAGGTGGGTGGATCACCTGAGGTCAGGCATTCAAGACCAGCCTGGCCAACATAGCGAAGCCCCTCCTCTACTAAAAATACAAAAATTAGTGGGGCGTGGTGGCAGGTGCCTGTAATCCCAGCTACTCGGGAGGCTGAGGCAGGCGAATCACTTGAACCTGACAGGTAGAGGTTGCAGTGAGCCGAGATCGTGCCATTGCACTCCAGCCTGCGCGACAGAGCAAGACTCTATTAAAAAAAAAAAAAAGTCATTTTAAATATTTTCTAAAACTCTTTTTTAAAAATAGTTATAGTGTTCTATAGCACTATATAGTGACTATAATTAACAACTATTTATTGTGTATTTTCAAATAGCTAGAAGAGTGGATTTTTTTTCTTTGGGACAGGGTCTCGCTCTGTCGCCCAGGCTGAAGTGTAGTGGCGCTATCATGGCTCACTGCAGCCTCAAAGTCTTGGATTCAAGTGATTCCCCCACCCCAGCCTCCAAGAACATTGGGCCTGTAGGTGCACACCATGGTGCCTGGCTAATTTTTTTTTTCTTTGTCAGAGATGGGGGTCTCGTTTTATTGCCCAGGCAGTAGATGTGAATGTTCCCAAGACAAAGAAATGTATTAATAGATATGCTCATTACCCTGATTTGATCATTACACACTGTATGCATGTAGGTAAAAACCTTAGGTATCCCTTACGCTCTAAACTTCAGAGCCAAAACATCACACCTTACCCCACAAATATGTACAATTATTATATGGCAATAAAAATAAAAGAAAAATTTTTTAAATCTTAAACATGAATTATGAGGATAAACTGAATACTTTGTAGGTGTTATTTTATTTTATTTTTTAATAAATAGTAGAGACTCACTATGTTGCCCAGGCTGGTCTCGAACTCCTGGGCTCAAGCAATCCTCCTGCCTTGGCCTCCCAAAGTGCTGGGATTACAGGCGTGAGCCACTGCTCCCAGCTAGTAGTAGGTGTTCTTAAGACAAGACTGACATATGTCTGTGGCAGCCCTTCAGACTGTAACCCCAGACCGCCCCAGGAGATACATGTTCACCTGCTTCTGCCATTTGGGTCCCTCCAGTGGAGAATTTGGGAAGCCCTAGATTGAGCTCTGTCAGGGTCTGGGGAACTCCGCTGAGATAGAGCAGTGAAAGGGGTACAGACCCCGGCTCTTTCCTTTCTCCATTGATTGGAAAGTGTAGCAGCTGCTGCCACTTCCAAAGCACCCATTTTCCATGTGAGGAAACCAAGGCTGAGCTGGCTAAAAGACAGGGTTCACTGTTTGCCTTACTGCTGAGAAGCGGAGGTATTAGTGGAAACGGTGTGGACTTCAGGTCCCCATCTCAGCTCCACTGCGCTGATCTGTGTGACTGGAAGCAAATCACATCCCTTCTCTGAGCTGTGGTTCTTTTATCCATAGGCAGGGATTATAACATCTCCAACCTTGGCGTATCAGAGCACCAGGAACATAGAAGGACCTCTCTGAGAGTCCTTGTCTCTTAGATATCTATTATATAGTCCTTATCTATACATAAGGACCTCTCCTGGTCCTTATCCAACTGCTGATTAGAAAAAGGGAGAACAAGGCCGGGCGCGGTGGCTCATGCCTGTAATACTAGCACTTCAGGAGGCCAAGGCGGGTGGATCACCTGGGGTCAGGAGTTCAAGACCAGCCTGGCCAACATGGTGAAACCCCGTCTCTACTAAAAAATACAAAAATTAGCTGGGCATGGTTGTGGGCACCTGTAATCCCAGCTACTTGGGAGGCTAAGGCAGGAAAATTGCTTGAACCCGGGAGATGGAGGTTGCAGTGAGCCAAGATTGCGCCACTGCATTGCAGCCTGGGCGGCAGAGCAAGATTCCATCTCAAAAAAAAAGAAATAAAGAAAGAAAAAGAAAAAGGAAAAGGAAAAGGAAAAAGAGAGACCAAGAGCTATGGGCATGAGGGCATGTGCATCTATGTGCATCTGTAAAATGGGCACAGTAGTACTCTCAAGGGGCATCAAAGAAAATCACTCTGCCGAGTGCTTGGTAAACAGACCGGCCGTGCAGATGTTTGCATCTGGCTCTTACCTTTGTGACTGCACTGTGAGCAATGGGAGGGCAGGGACCATTTATTGGTCATCCTTACATTCTTCACAGGATCCATCCAGGGTGGGGGGCAGGGGGATTGGAGGTGGGAGTGAGACTCTGAATAGTGTCTGTTGAATGACTGACTAAGAGAATAATAAATTGAACGAGGAAGCCCCTGGGCCGGTCTTCCCCTCTAGCCTGTCCAGGTAAGCACCAACAGATGGAGGTGGCCTCTCTCTCCCTCTCCCTGTGGGCTGCTCCTCCCCTGACCCCTGACCACGCTTCCCTGTGTGCTAGGAGGAGGCACTCTTCGGACGTGTGTGCTCCGGCCTCCAGGGATCTACGGCCCTGAAGAGCAGAGGCACCTGCCCCGTGTGGCGGTACGTCATCCCCGCCTTCAGGACCCAAGTCAGAGAAGGATCCTGGCTGAGGTGTACACTGGTCGGGCCCTCCCAGCCCCTGGTCGCTGCATCAGTCTCGAGGCTAAGTGTCCTGAGCCTGGAACCCTCAGTTCTACAAGATGTTCCTGCCCCCACTGGTCCACAGGCCCCTTGGAGCTCCTGGCAGGAACAGAGCTCTCAGAGTGTACCAGCCAAGCCAAGGCACGGGTAGAGGAGCCATAGAGCTGTGACCCCAAAAAGGCAGAAGAGAGCCTGTTGCCCTCACTCCCATGTGGGCTCCCTGAAGCCTGGATGGTTTATTCCATGCTGAGAGCACAAGTGTCTTCATACAGAAAGCCTCTAAAGGGTCGGGTGCCAGAAATACAGCTACAAGGGGCTATAGGCCCTGTCCTCGAATTTCTCAGGGAGACAGACACCACAGTCACAGCTTCAATGTGGGGAGGGCTGTGGAGAGAGGAGCACAAGAAGATGGGCCTGGCAGGGGAAACCCAGGAGGGCTCCCTGGAGGAAGTGATGTCTGTGTTGTTTGAAAAAAGAAAAAGGAATTAACCAAGGAAATGAAGTGGTAGAGAGAAGATAGGCCAAACAGAGGGGACAGCTTGGGCACAAACCTGGAAGTGAGAAAGGTCATGATTGTTTTAGGAAGCAGCAAGAGGTCCCTGTGGCTGGATCTGATCTGGGAGTACGGGATTATGAGGAGCTAGAGTTATTGGCGGGGAGAAGTTCCAGTCTGCAGTTTCAGAACATTCCTCTGCTTGGCTATATGTCTTTTTGTTTATAGTCAGGGTCTCACTGTATCACCCAGGCAAGAGTGCAATGGTGTGATCATGGCTCACTGCAGCCTCCACCTCCTGGACTCAAGCGATCCTCCTGCCTTCTGAGTAGGTGTGACTATAAGTGTGCACAACCATGCCTGATTGACTATTTTTATTTTTTGTAGAGATAGGGTCTCCTTATGTTGCCCAAGCTGATCTCAAATTCCTGGCCTCAACCAATCCTCCTGCCTCAACCTCCCAAGTTGCTGGGATGACAGGCGTGAACTACTGGACCCAGCAATCATTTTTTTTCTTTTGAGTTAACTGGGTTCTTAAGGAATGTGGTCAACCCCAGTGACTCTCTCCCCATTCATTTATTCATTCATTCAACGAATACTTACGAACTCCTAGTATGTGCCCCGCACTGTTCTAGGTTTGAGGACAGATCAGTGAACAAAACAGATGATTCCTGTCCTTGTGGCGTTTATCTTCTCATATGAAGAGACAGATAATGAACATGTTAAATTATAAGGTATGTTCAGGCCAAGTGCGGTGGCTCATGCCTGTAATCCCAGCACTTTGGGAGGCCGACAGGGATGGATCAATTGAGGTCAGGAGTTCGAGACCAGCCTGGCCAGCATGGTGAAACCCTGTCTCTACTAAAAATACAAAAAATTAGCCAGACGTGGTGGTGGGCACCTGTAATCCCAGATACGCAGGAGGCTGAGGCAGGAGAATCGCTTGAACCTGGGATGGGGAGGTTGCAGTGAGCCGAGATTGTGCCATTGCACTCCAGCCTGGGCAACAAAAGCGAAACTTCATCTCAAAAAAAAAAAAAAAAAGAAGATTCCAGGCACTGTGGAGAAAAGGAAAAAGCGAGGTAGGGTGAGGGAATTGGGCTTGTCAGGTAGTCACGGGGGGGCTCATTTAGAAAGGGACATTTGAGCATCCACTTGACAGAGGTGACAAAGTCTGAAAGGCTCTTCCTCCAAATACCTTCCAGACAGTGGGAACAGCTCATCCAAAGCCCTGAGATGGGAACCTGCAGCAGTGTCCAGGAAGAGCAAAGGGGCGGTGCAGCTGTGGTGGAGCGAGTGAGGGGGTTTGGTAGGAGATGAAGTCACAGAGGAGCTGGGGCCAGATCAGGAAGGGTTTGACAGCCATTGTCAGGACTTCAGCTTCCAGCCTAGCAGGATGGGAGCCCCTGGAAGGTTCTGAGCCGTGGAACAACATGGTTGTACTTAGAATTTTTAAAGGTCCTCCTGGCTGGGCATGGGAGCACATGCCTATAATCTCAGCATTTTGGGAGGCTGAGATGGGAAGATCCCTTGAGCCCAGGATTTCAAGGCAGCAGTGAGCTATGATTGCACCACTGCACTCCAGCCTGGGTGACACAGGGAGACTCTATCTCTAAAAATAAAAGGATCCCTGGCTGAGCACGCTGGCTCATGTCTGTAATCCCAGCACTTTGGGAAGCCGAGGAGGGAAGATTGGTTGAGCCCAGGAGTTCAAGGCCAGCCTGGGCAACATAGTGAGATCCCCATTTCTACAAAAAAATTTAAAAAGTATCCAGGTGTGGTGGTATTCATCTATAGTCCCAGCTACTCGGGAGGCCAAGGCAGGAGGATCGCTTGAGCCCGGGAGTTCAAGGCTGCAGTGATTGCACCACTGAACTCTAGTGTGGGCAACAGAGCCCGACCCTGTCTCTAAAAAACTATGAAAGAATCAAAGGATCTGGCCCGGCATGGTGGCTCACACCTATAATCCCAGCACTTTGGGAGGCCGAGATGGGTGGATCACCTGAGGTCAGGAGTTTGAGACCAGCCTGGCCAACATGGTGAAACCCTGTCTCTACTAAAAATACAAAAATTAGCTGAGCATGGTGGTTTGTGCCTGTAATTCTAGCTCCTCAGGAGGCTGAGGCAGGAGAATTGCATGAACCCAGGGGATGGAGTTTGCAGTGACCAAGATCTTGCCACTGCACTCCAATCTGGATAACAGAGCAAGAATCTGTCTCAAAAAAAAGAAACAATCAAAGGATCTGCCTGGCTGGGCAGAGAACAGACTACAGGGGCTGAGGGTGGACAGAGGGGGACCAGTTAGGAAGCAACTGTGGCGTCCAGGTGAGAGGAGGGTGGCTGTCAGAGTAGCGAGAAGCTATCAGATTCTGGACAGATTTTAACAGTTGAACCAATTGGATTTGCAGGTGGGTTGGACATGGCGTTTAAGACAAGGGGGAGTCAAAGGTGGCTTTAGGGTTTTAACCTGAGTGGTAGAGTGAACTGACTGGTCCACTGGGAAGGGAGGGAGGAGCGGGGTGGGAGAGACGATCAGATGCTCGCTCCAGGAGCTGGTGAGTTTGAGTTTTCTGTTAGACAACCCGTTGCTGATATTCAGAGAGCATTGGATACATGAGCCTGGAGCAGAGGGGCCTGACCTGGAGCTAGAACCTGGGGAGTCATCAGCATCTAGACGGAATGTAAAGCCACACCGGACACAAGCCTGTTTATCACCCACTCCTCTCCACCAGGGCCACATCAAGAAGAGGCTGTTCATGTTCCGATTTGGGGACCACAAGGCACGGATGAACTGGGTCCACGTACACAATCTGGTGCAGGCACACGTGCTGGCGGCCGAGGCCCTCACCACGGCCAAGGGCTACGTGGCTGTGAGTCCCCTCTGATGCCCCCAACCACCTTCCCCACAGGGCTGCAGGCAGAGCGTCCCATCCCTAGGGGATTTCTGGATGGCACACAAGATTTCCCTCCAACTTAAGAAGGCTGGTGGGACTCTCAGCCCAGGGGAGCTTGGGGGAAGCAGGTAGGTGGGGTGTGGAGTTCTTTATAGAGCATCTTTAGCTCTTCTCTATGGCCATGTGAGGTTGGCGTTGTTGATCCCAGAATAACAGCTGCCAGATGCTAAGCCTCCACACATATTGTCGCATTTAATCTTCACAGTAGTCCAAGAAGGAGATCCCATTATTATCCTCCCATTTCTCAGATGAAGAAACTGAAGTACAGAGAGGTTAAGCAACTCCATGGAGGTCACACAGCTAGTCAGTGTGGTCGTCCTGGAATTCACAGGGAATAGTTCACGTGTGTCCTCAGGTATTGGAGCTGCTCCAGAGAACTCAGGGTTGGAGCAGCTGCTGGGAGCCATCTGGAAGGGTGGGGCAGGCTGCTGGGGAGAAGGCTGACCGTCCCCTCCCACATGTCCCCTTCAGAGTGGGCAGGCGTACTACATCAACGATGGGGAGAGCGTCAACCTCTTTGAGTGGATGGCCCCACTGGTAGGTGCACAGATGCCCACCCACCCCGAATGATCATTCTGGGATCCCTGACCTTCTCTTCCTTTTTATTTTTTTTTTTAATTTTTTGAGACAGAGTTTTGCTCTTGTCACCCAGGCTGGAGTCCAGTGGTACAATCTCAGCTCACTGCAACCTCCCCTCCCAGGTTCAAGCAATTCTCATGCCTCAGCCTCCCGAGTAGCTGGGATTACAGGCACACGCCACCACGCCCAGTTAATTTTTTGTATTTTTAGTAGAGATGGGGTTTCACCATGTTTGCCAGGCTGGTCTCAAACCCCTGACCTCAAGTGATCCACCCACCTCGACCTCCCAGAGTGCTGGGATTACAGGCATGAGCCACTGTGCTCGGCCTGCGGCCTTCTCTTCTTGTCCTTTTCGATTTCCAAAAAGCCAGAAGATTTCACGTCAAAAACCAACTCTTTGCCCAGTGAGGTGGCTCACATCTGTAAGCCCAGCACTTTGGGAGGCTAACACGGGAGGATCGCTTGAGGCCAGGAGTTTGAGACCAACCTGGGCAACAAAGCGAGGACCCCTGTCTCTGCAAAAATAAAAATTCAACTAGGCAGGCATGGTGTTGGCACACCTGTGGTCCCAGCTACTTGGGCAGCTGAGGCGGGAGGATCTCTTGAGCCCAGGAGTTCAAGGCTGCAGTGAGCTATGATTGCACCACTGCACTCCAGCCTGGGTAACAGAATAAGACCCTATCTCTAAAAATCAATTTTTTTAAAAAAACACCTCTGGCAACATTGGAACTGGCTGGAGCCCTTGAGGGGCGCCATGTGTTCCTCAGTTACCTGCAGTTCCCTTCCACCCTGCTTCCAGGCGTTTGTTTTGTTTCATTTTTTTGAGACAGTCTCACTCTGTCACCCAGGCTGGAGTGCAGTGGTGCGATCTCAGCTCACTGCAACCTCTGCCTCCTGGGTTCAAGCGATTCTCCTGCCGCAGCCTCCTGATAGCTGAGATTACAGGTGCACACCACCCTGCTCGGCTAATTTTTTGTATTTGGCTAATTTTCGTATTTTTAGTAGAGACAGGGTTTCACCATGTTGGCCAGGCTGATCTCGATGCTTCCAGATTTATGTTGGCTTCTAGCCCTGTGGAGTTTTGCTTGTGAGCCACCCATTATGTGTTGAGGCTCGGAAGGAGGCATGTGGAAGAGACAAAAGCGCAAGGGAGGTGTTTGGCTTTGGGGCCTCCCCACACGGCAGCCCGGGAACTCTGGTGTCCTCTCTGAGCAGCCCAGACTCCTAGCAGCCAGGCTTGCCTGGAAGGGGTAGACCAGAAAACCCAGGCTAAAGGACACAGGTTTCCTCTTGACCTGGAAAGTTTTTATGCCAGTGAAGAGTTCACCTTATCCCATGCCAGCCCATTTCTGCTGCATATCCTACCACCCTCCACAGAAAAGTCAATTCTGGAAAAATCAGATTCTACATAAATGCCTTAGAGTGTCTCTAGGTATAGACAGATGTAGGTGATAATTAAATGATGTGAATGATCCCAAGTTAAAAAGCTACCTGGCGGGTGTAATGGCTTATGCCTGTAATCCCAGCACTTTTGGGAGGCTGAGGCAGGAGGATCACATGAGGCCAGGAGTTCAAGACCAGCCTGAGCAACACATCAAGACCCCTGATTCTCTGCAAAAAAAAAAAAAAAAAATTTTAACTAACCCATGCTTTCAATTCCTCCTTGGGTTTTCTGGGTCAAGGTGCGGATTTCATTTCAATACTGGCACAGGCCTGGGGTTGGCTGCAGGGTCTGCCCCCTGGGGTGGGTTGGTGGGGAGACAGGAGGTACCTCTGCTGGTCCCCGGTAGAGGGAGCATGTGGTCTTTCCACACCAGCCCCTGAACCACTTGTTCTCACTCCAGGTCGTGTTTCTTTGCAGTTTGAGAAGCTGGGGTACAGCCAGCCCTGGATCCAGGTGCCTACTTCCTGGGTTTACCTGACAGGTAAGGAAAGGAGTGTGCGTAGTAAAGCCCTCCATGTGCCAGGTGTACCTTGCATTGCCTTAATTGAAACTCAGGGGCCAGGCACGGTGGCTCACGCCTGTAATCCTAGCACTTTGGGAGGCTGAGGCAGGCAGATCACCTGAGATCAGCAGTTCCAGACCAGTCTGGCCAACACAGTGAAACCCCATCTCTACTAAAAATACAAAAATCAGCCGGGTGTGGTGGCGCACGCCTGTATTCCCAGCTCCCTGGGAGGCTGAGGCAGGAGAATTGCTGTAACCCAGGAGGCAGAGGTTGCAGTGAGCCGAGATCCCGCCACTGCACTCCAGACTGGGTGACAGAGTGAGACTCTGTCTCAAAAGAAAAACAAGAAAAGAAAAAGAAACTCAGGCAGGACCAGGACTAGGGTGAGGACAGTGAGGCACTGTGGTCACAAAATTTAAGGAGGCCACGCAGCAGCTCCAAGCCTGAGTTTGCACTTGTCTGGTGCCGGAAGCAAGTGCCTCCTTAAATTCCACACCCTAGGTGTCTCACTTCCCTCACCCTAGTCCCACCTGCAAGGCAGCTATGATGGGCCCATTGTAAAGATGAGGTGACCCGAGGCTCTGAGAGGTTAGTGACTTTCTCAAAGTGCCACAGTGAGAATGCGGGAGAGGCGGAGAGGCGGAATTCACAACTGGGCTTGGTGGGCTCTTTGTGGTGCTGCTGGGAGGTCTCATGCCAGTCAGGAGGAGAGAGAACCCTGGGGCTGTTCTGTCCCCCAAGGTCACCCTGAAGTTAGGGCTACTTTAGGACAAACGGAGGCTCCATTTTGATCCTAGATTCTCCTCCTGTCCCTGAAGGTCAGTCTCTGCTCCCACCTCCACCCCCGACAATGCGTCTTGGCTGCTCCCCTTCCCTCTGTCCCCAGCACCCATACAATGGCCTCCTCCCAGCTGGAAGGCAGAGCAGCCTTCAGACATGGAGTGACCAGCCTGAGGGGATGGTGGCCCTCCAGTCCCAAATAGCTGTGTTCCAGGGACTCCTTGGCAGGATCTCTTGTGTTTTAAATGCATCGAGTGGCTTGCCATTAAAAGCAGGGGGTTGCAAATTTTTGTTCACCAGGGAACACATGCAGGGCAACTTCTCATGCACAGCATTGCCGCAGTGATTGGTACTCCCGGCCCTGAGCCACGGCCGATGGCACTTGGAGAGGATTGTAAAGGCGTTCCCAGTTCCCAGTGGGCTAACAGTAATTCAGTGCTTCTCAACCAGGGCTGCACTGCACAGTCACCTGGGAGCTTTTAAAATAGAGAAATGTCTCAGCCACACTACCGACCAATTAAATTGGGATTAGCAGGGAGGAAGTGGGAGGAAAGCATCAGTATTTTTTATTTTTTTAGAGTTAGGGTCTTGCACTGCCACCCAGGCTGGAGTGCAGTGGCATGATCATAACTCACTGCAGACTCAACCTCCTGGGCTCAAGCAATTCTCTGCCTCAGCCTCTCAAGCCTCTAGGACTACAGGCTCCTACCACCAGGCCCAGCTAATTTTTATACTTTAGTAGAGATGGGGGTCTTGCTATGTTACCCCAGCTGGTATCGAACTCCTGGCCTGAAGCGATCCTCCCACTTCAGCCTCCAGAGTAGTGGAGGTAACAGGCATGCACCTCCATGCCTGGCTATTTTCAAAAATTTTTTAGAGATGAGGGCGTCTCACTTTGTTGTCTAGGCTGGTCTTGAACTCCTGGCTCCAAGAGATCCTCCCTCCTCAGTCTCTTATGCTGGGATTACAGGCATGAGCCACCACACCTGGTTCTCACAAGTATTATTTTTAAATTGGTCCCACATGCAGCCCAGTTTGAGAACTGTTACTCCAACCTCTTTCTCTCCTACTCCAGAGAGCATTGGAGTAGAAGTGAGAGAGAGATTATTATATGGATAACTTTGAATCTGTTCAGATTTATTTAAAAACTTCAGTCGTTCAATTTTTTTTTTTTTTCTGACGGAGTCTTATTATGTTGCCCAGCCTGGAGTGCAGTGGTGCAATCTCAGCTCACTGCAATCTCTGCGTCCTGGGTACAAGCGATTCTCCTGCCTCAGCCTCCCCAGTAGCTGGGATTACAGGCATGTGCCACCACGCCCGGCTAATTTTTGTATTTGTAGTAGAGACAGGGTTTCACCATGTTGACCAGCCTGGTCTCGAACTCCTGATCTCAGGCAATCCGCCCGCCTCAGCCTCCCAAAGTGCTGGGATTACAGGCTTGAGCCACTGCACCCAGCCTGGTCATTTAATATTAAAAACAAGTTACTTGTGACATATTTCACAGCTAAACAAGGCACCCCAGCAAGGGCTGCTGATTTAAAGGAATCCAGTGACTTCTGCAAAGTGACCTCTAGCAAAGCAAATGGTGTCCCCCATTGATTTGTCCCCAAGGGCCTCCCTGGAGTTTGCATAATGTGAGGCCCCTGGTCACTGGCCCCCTCCTTCCCTGCAGCAGCAGTTATGGAGCGCCTCCATCTGGCCCTGAGACCCATCTGCAGCCTCCCACCGCTGCTCACTCGTAGTGAGGTAAGTGGGCTGCTGTTATGGGACCTAGGCCCTGCTCCCCATCCCTCCCTTCCTACCTCTCCCCACCATCCCCACTGCTGCCACTCCTTACCCCTTTGACACCATGATGACACATGCTTGTCTGAAGTCTCAGAACTTTCCATGTGGGCCCAAAGCTGGTGCTAGCTCTGTTATGATCACCCCAACCTCTGGGCTTTTGCTGAGGCTGTGCTTTCTGGGTCTGAAATGTGACAGCTCCAAGCCTATCCATCATCACTGTTTCTTCATTCATAAGCATCTTGTCTTTCCAGCCAGACTGGAGGTTCCCAAAGGCAAGTTTCAGGCCATTCACTTCTTTGAATGCTACCAATCCCACCAACTCTCAACACATACATACACACACACAACAGCCTGGTGGTCCTAGGCTCATAGTTCATGCTTACTGAATAATGAGTATATATTAAGTACCTACTACATACAGAATATAATTATTTTTATGAGACAGGGTCTCACTATATTGTCCAGGCTGGTTTCAAACTCCTGAGCTCAAGAGATCCTCTTGGCCAGGTGTGGTGGCTCGCACCTATAATCCCAGTGCTTTGGGAGGCTGAGACAGGAGGATCACTTGAGGCCAGGAGTTTGAGACCAGCCTGGGCAACATAGCAAGACCTCATCTCTACAAAAAATTTTAAAATTAGCCAGGCAAGGTGGTGCATGCCTTTAGTCCCAGCTCAGGTGGGGGATTACTTGAGCCCAGGAGTTCAAGGCTGCAGATTGCACCACTGTACTCCAGCCTAGGCAACAGATGGAGATCCTGCCCCTAAAAACCAAAAAAAAAAAAAAAGATTCTCCCCCCTCAGCCTTCTAAATAGCTGAGATTACAGGCATGCACCACCATGCCTGGCTCAGAATACTATTCTCATAATAATGATGATGCAGGTTTATATTTGCTTAGTTAAAAGAGAGGATGTTTTCATCACAGATTGTAAATAGCAAAGTAATCGGTGGTATTTGAGGTTATTTGCAAAAATCCTTCCAGTCCAGTCGGGCACGGTGGCTCACACTTGTTCCCAGCACTTTGGGAGGCTGAGGCGGGTGGATAACCTGAGGTCAGGAGTTTGAGACCAGCCTGGCCAACGCAGTGAAATCCTGTCTCTACTAAAAATACAAAAATTAGCTGGGTGTGGTGGCACATACCTGTAGTCCCAGCTACTCGGGATGCTGAGGCAGAAGAGTCGCTTGAACCTGGAAGGTGGAGGTTGCAGTGTGCTGAGACCACACCATTGTACTCCAGCCTGGGTGACAGCACAAGACTCCATCTAAAAAAAAAAAAAAAATTACTTCCAGTCCACTCTCGTTTTATTGTCTCTGATGCCCTGCTAAGTTAAAAAGGTCAAAAAAAAATCGTGATCTCCATTTTATGATGAAAAATTGAGCACTAGGAAAATTATTTGTCCAAGGCCACACCATACTGGAATTGGCTTCAGACTCCATGTTCAGTGCTCTTTAACAAGGGGAGTCAGAGGGGGAGAGTGGAGAATGGGCCACAGAAAGAAGTAGTCACCTATGGCTTCTCCTTTGAGCCATCCGGATCAGTGGAGGAGAGAATAAGATGATACTGACAATCTCTTGAGTTGTGACAGTATGCCAGGCACTGTGCTTTATCTCATTTAACTGAGTTGTAGACAACATTGTCCTCTCCATTTAGAGAGGAGGAAATGAGACACACAGTGAAATAACCTGCCCGTGATCACTCACTTAAATGGTAGAGCTGGGATTTGAACCCAGACCTCAGTGATTTCAAGCTTAACCATTAGCTTGTGAAAATGCATCAGGAATCACATCCACATAAAATAGCTGCCAGGGTGCAGCTGAATTGTGGTCAGGCAGGGACTTGGCTCCTCTCCCTCTTGTTTAACTTGGGGATTTCCTTGTTCAGCTCAGGGGCAATGTCCTTAACTGTGGAAGTTCCTTGGCTGTGGCTCGGGTACCCTCTGCTGGTCAATCTGTGACACATCAACCAGCCCTCCAGTTTGACTTTATAGCCTTTTATGCATTTAACATAAATGTTACCAGGCACTGTGCTGAGCAACGGAGGCAAGAAGACATAGTCCTTGCCCTTAGGGAGCTCCTAGTTCAAAGGGGAAGACAGCCCACTAACCAGGCAACTCAACACTGTAATTAGAGCCATTCTTGGGAAAATCGCGAGAAACTCCAGTGCACACAGAAGGGGCGCCTCAGCCAACTCTGAGGAAGTCAGAGAAAGCTTCCCAGAGGTGACATCTAGAGACATCTAGGTGTATTAGGGACCCTGCTTATCTAGCGTAACTCAACTCCTGTGCTCCCCAAAGCCCTGCACTTACTGACTAGGAAAAAAAGGGACAAATACTGGCCTCTCTCCTCACCCCCCATTAAGCATCCAAGACCACAGGTTTGACCCCAGGGGCTGTTTCAATGCCATGGGAGAATCCAGCAGCTGGTGGATTCTTCCCCAGGGTCCGGCTGAGGAAAAAGAGAGGAAGAAATGAGTCAGGTGGGAGAACATCTCCAGGTGCCAGCACAGCAGAGAAGAAATTAGGCTAGAACCTGGCTCCCCTGTGCGACCCCAGGCAAGTCACTCAACCTCTCTGACCTTTTTCCAAGTATGCACAGAACAGATAGTGCTAGTACCACCTGAGAGGATTAAATGAGGTAGGGCATAGAAAGGATTTAGTCCAGGCCAAATGCAGGGTGTGTGTTCCTTAACTGCTGATAGCTATCATTACTACCCTTCAAACCAGTGGGCCCCAAGCCATCTGGCAGCAGGGGAAACACAGCTTAGACCCTGGAGAGCAATCAGTTCTGCATAATCGAATTCCTCTCTTAGGGAAGCTTAGTTAATAAGCGAGGGCATGAAGGCTGCGACTGGGGCCCTCCTGGTCACAGTTGGTCTGGGGTTGGGGGCAGGAAGCCAAGGTCGTTTCCTGCAGATGTTTCTGGCAGGCGTTCACCTTCTCCTAGCGGATGCCTAAGAATGTATCAAGGGCCTCCTGAGTCCCAGCACCGTGCTAGGCCGGGAAGATGAGTGTAGGGGTGAGACCTTTGCTTCTTAGGGACCAAGGAGTTAAATAGGGTGCGAATTCAGCGGGGCTGGAGGGGGCGACGCAAAGGCGGCACCCTCCAATAAAAATGAACATGTAAGGAAGAAAGGAAGACCTCTCTAATGAGGGCATCGCAGGAGCAAGACGCTGCACTCGGGTCCTTTTAAATCACTATGTAATGGAGGGGAAATCCCTGCCCTCTCTTTTCCCTTTCCGTAAACAACGAAGTAGAGGATGTCCTCCTCCCACGAGGCCCGCCCTCGGATGCCCCGCCTGTCCCCGCAGGTGCGCAGCGTGGCCGTGACGCACACCTTCCAGATAGCCAAGGCCCGCGCCCAGCTCGGCTACGCGCCGGATAAGTTTAGGTTCGCCGACGCCGTGGAGCTATACGTGCAGTCCACGACCCGGCGGCCCCGCGGCTCCACGGCGCGGACCCTCCTGCGCCTGCTGCTCAGGCTGCTGCTGTTCCTCGGCTTGCTCGCCCTGGCCCTGCACTTCCTAGGCCTGCAGCCTCTGCACGCCGCCGTGGAGCGCCTGTGACCGTCCGCCGTCCGCCGCCCGCTAGGGTCGGCCCCGCTGCACCCTCGCCCACGCCCGGCTCCCTGGGCTTGTACCAGCCCCTGCCCCGCCTTCTGGGTTTGAGCGCGCCTCCGCTCCGCCCCTTGAATCCTGGTCACGCCCCCGAGCCGCTCTCCAGACCTAGCCCGGACCGCCGACTTCTGGCCACGCCCCTATCTACTCCCAGACCTTGCCTTGCGCCCTTCCTGTGTTTTGGCCCCGCCCCTGTCCTGTCCCGCCCCGCCCTCCGAAGTGGGCACGCTCCTGCTCCGCCCCCTGAATCCTGGCCACGTCCCTGGTCGGCCCAGACGCGTAGCCCCGAGTCTCTTTCCATGTTTTGACCACGCCCTTGACCCGCCCTTCAAATTGGGCACGCCTTCTTCCCCGCTCACTGATTTCCTGGCCTAGCCCCTGAGCAGACCTCCAGACCTAGCCCCGCCCCCGTTTTATAACCCCGCCCCTGCTTCACGGCTTGGGCACGCCTCTTCCCCGCCCCCTGACTTCAGAGCCTAGTCCTGAGCCGCTCTCCAGGCCTAACCCCGCCTTCATGTCATAGCCACGCCCCTTCCCGCCCTTCCATGTTTGGGCACGCCTTCTGAGTCCTGGTCACGCCTCTGTCCCGCCCCCTGAATCTTTCCTACGTCCATGACCCTCCCTCCAGGCCCTGGCCCTGCCCCTTTTTTCCTCCCTCCGGCCTGTCCGGTTTCTGATATGGGCCAAGGCTCACAGCTTCCTCCGCCTTCTGGACCTTCTCCTAGTCCCTGCCCAGTCCCGGCCCACCCCCAGATTCTCCCTCATTCTGGTTTCGCCCCCTTTCTGGTCCTCCCCGCGCGCTTGAGCCCACCCTTTGGCTTCTCCTTTTGGGTCTGTCCTTGCTCCTGCCTCTGGACCCGGTCCCGCCCTTCTCGCGTGTAATTGAGTCCTGGCCCCGCCCCCTCCCTCTCTGGCTTCACCCCTTTCCAGCTCCGCCTCCCGGGTAGGTTCTCCCCGGAACCAGGCTGCCGCGTCGCTATGGGCTAACGCAGGCTCGGGTGACGTTGGTATGAGTTTGCGCCGTCGGCTGCTGCTCTGTCTGGTAACATTGCATTCGATCCACCCCGACCCAATGTTCTGGGCTTCTCATTCACACAGATCTGTGTGTTGACAGCCAGGGTTTGGGGAAAAACCGAGACTCAAGCTTCTGCCGAGCCCGACTTGGCCTTTTTGGGTTCCTGTCTGAGGATGACAGCATAGTAAGCACAGGTTTTAGTACCAGAAAGAGCATGAAAAATTTAAAAAAAAAAACTCTTAAAATAATTGGATGTCTCGATGAAGTACCAATAAAGCTATAATGGGAAAAATAGAGTTTAGTTGGTTATATTTTATGATTTAGTACTGTTTCTATTTATTAATTAGAGGTAGTGGTAATCACCATAATCTTTAAAGTTTAAGGTCACGAAACTTCTTTATCTAGCCCTGCTCTCCACAGAAACTTCGCCTCCTATCATCTTGGTATCAGTTATCAGTTGTAAGTACCAAGACATCAGTGTGTAAATACAACCATGTATAGATCATAATATGCACACGTGGGACTGGCAGAGAAGAAAAGCACCACAAGCCTGAGGTGGATGGGATCGAAAGGGCTCATCAGAACCAACATGGCCACCGCAGTGTGTGTCCCACTCTGCTGAACAAGGTGAGCAGTTTGGGAAGGAGCTAAAAAAAAATGTATGCTCCTCTCTGCTAGGCTGAATTTTATGTGTGTATATAATTTTTGAAAGAATAATAATCCTATGTCTGTTTAATGCTTGACAGTGTAAAAGAGCTTTCATCTATGTGATCTTATTTAATTCTTACAGCTACTCTTAAATAGGGTTTATTACTCTCCTTTTATAGATGACGAAAACTGGGGCTTTGTCTCATTCCAAAGAGCAGAGGAGGGTGGGGGTTTCTGCTCTACAGCTGGGGGAATTTGGAGGAGCACCGCCTAAGCCGCCACTGGCCTAAACACAACACGTGGTAACTTCTACTCTTCTACACTCTGGCCATGCCAAGGCTTGCGGTTGAACTCTGGTCTCGTTCTCTCAGAGCCGCAAACCTCGGACCATTTGAAGCTGGCGGTCCTGGGGCTTCCTTTCCTCTCGATAACATGTTTACATCCAAACTCACTTCCTTCCTCTCTTTCTTCTCCCTGCTAATCCTGGGAAATCTGTTCTTCGAGCAGGAAAAACAATCTCACACTGCTCACGTTATTTTCTAGATCTTTTGACTAGTGCCAAACCTACTTTTGAAAATCCAAAAGCCAAGAATCAATTTATTTGTTTTCTGGATTTCTCCAACTCATCTATTTCCTAACACTCTGGAAGCAGAATGTGTAAACCCTGGGCATGGGGACAACATGGATCGCTATGTCAAAAAAGCTTTTTTCCTTTCAAGCATCTTTATCCAATGGAAAAGGAGGTGGCATCCCCACCCAACAGGAAAACTGAATCACTGTAAGAATTTTTGAGACTGCCCAGACCACTAGCCTCCATGAGGTTCTGAAAGGGCAAGTAGGAGGTTCTAGCTTACTTGGAGACGCTAAAGAGAAGCATCGCAAATGCAGAAAACAGAATTGTCACAGTGGGCAGCCCAAGGTGACATAGTCGATCTGAAGGGATTATCAAGACAAACTCATAGGCTTTCCATTATGGGTGCTGAAGCTATTCCCAGTTGTAAACCCAATGCCAGGCATCTAAAACATCCTCAAGTCTCTCTCATCTTGAAAATATCTTCCCAGCAGGGCACAGTGGCTCACACCTGTAATCCCAACATTTTGGGAGGCTAAGGCTGGAGGATTGCTTGAGGTCGGGAGTTCAAAACCACCCTGGGCGATTTGGTGAGAACCCTGCTTCTACATAAAAAAAAATTTTTTTTAATTAGCCAGGTGTGGTGGCACCCAGGAGGCTGAGGCAAGAGAATCACTTGAGTCCAGGAGTTTGAGTCTGCAGTAAGCTATGATTGCACCACTACACTCCAGCCTGGGCAACAGGGTGAGACCCCATCTTTAAAATTTAAAAAAATCCTCCTTTGATTCCCCCATTTTCCCTCCCACAACTGTTCCTTTTGCTCCTCCTTTTCAAAATCAAATTTTGTGATGAATTGACCATACTTATGTTTCCATTTCTTCTCCTCAACCCATTCCAAAATGGCTTTCAGATCATCAATGATCTTGTCCATAAATCTTAATAGATATTTTTCCGTCTTTATTTTGCCAATTATCTTAGCTGTGTTCAGCATAGTTGACTGCCCCCTCCTTCTTGATCCGCATTTCTTGGTCTCTATGAAACCACACCTGTTTTCCACGTATATTGCTGGCCAGTCCTTTCCCGTCTCTTTCGCATCTCTTTCACTGGCTTTTCTTCCACTGCCCTCCCTTTAAGATGATGTCTCTCGGGTCTCTGTCTTGGCCCCTCTTCTCCCTCTGTGGGATCTTTCTGGATGAGTTCATCCCTTCCCATGGCCTCAGTCTCTAATACCTCCCAAATCTGTATCATTTCCTTGGAGTGCTCTCTTGACCTCCAGAAATCTATGTCCAACCTCCTACTCAACCCCATATCCCACAAGAATCTCCAGCTCAATGAAAATCAAACTGAAGTCATCATCTCCCACAAACCTGCTTTCCATCTATCTTGTGTTCCCTCCCAGGAGAGGAGAGGCACCACCAGCCATCCAATGACCCAAGCCCAAATCCTGGGCGTCACTTTTGACGTGATCCTCTTCTTCTCGACATGCTCATCTGTGGATTCTGTCAAATCTATCTCTAAAATGTCTCCCTGACTCACTCCTTCTGTCCCGCACCCGGCCACTATTGTGGTACAAACCACTGTCCTTTCTCCTAGACAATTGCAATAGGCATTGAATGGGACCTCCTGTCCCTGCTGCCAGCGGGAACTTTCTTTTCTTTCTTTGTTTCTTTGTTTCTTTCTCTTTTTTTTGACACGGAGTTTCACTCAATCGCCCAGACTGGAGTGCAGTGGTGCGATCTCGGCTCACTGCAACCTCCGCCTCCCAGGTTCAAGCAATTCTCCTGTCTCAGCCTCCCAAATAGCTGGGATTACAGGTGCGTACCACCATGCCCAGCTAAATTTTGTATTTTTGGTAGAGACGGGGTTTCACCGTGTTGGCCAGGCTGGTCTCAAACTCCTAACCTCAGGTGACCCACCCGCCTCAGCCTCCCAAAGTGCTGGAATTACAGGTGTGAGCCACCGTGCCCAACCAGTGAACTTTCTAAATTCCAAATTGGAACATGCCACTCTCTAGCTCAAAAGCCTTCCATGGTTTCCCATTGCCCTTGGGAAGGGACCAAGTTCAAAGCCTTAACTCGGCATTCATGGCCCTCTTTGCCTGTCTCTTCGCCTCACCTATTGCCAATACTCCACCTCCACTCTCTGTGCAGCTGCCCTGAATTACCTTCACAGCGTCTCAGCCTTACCAGGCTCTTTAGGAGTTCCCTCTTGGAAATCCCCTCCCACGCCTTCACTTGGCTAATCTCAATTTCAGGCCCCAGCTAAATGTCACTTCCTTGCTTCTCAGGGGCCAGGTTAGCATGCTGTACTGCCTAACACTCCTCACAGGTGTAATTAATTAAAATGACAATGTCTGCAAAGTCGATGGGTTCAAAAACATGCCTGCCTTGTACACCACCACAGCCTCAGGACGAGCACGGTTTCTGGCACATAGTAGGCCCTTCATAAACAGCTCAACAACTGTTTATAAATGAAGGCCCCTAAATCAAGCCTGAAAACCAAGTAAGAGGTGAATCAATGAAGCAGAGACCTCAAGGTTGGCACCCCCACATAGGGCCAGACCCCTACTACTCCAGGGTCACCTGACAACAGAGGTTTATGGGGTCCCTGGAGCCCTCTAAAGTACACGGAGCAGGCCAGAAAGGGACCCCCGTCCCTAACTCAGGTCATGATTACAACCACCCCCAACTAACCCCAGGAAGACCCAGACAGGCTGTTGGGAACTTTTCAAGCTAGCTCAGATGCTTTCCCCTGGAAATGGGGAGATGTGTTTTGTTTTTTTGTTTTGTTTTGAGGGAGCTGGATGGGTAGGTGAAAGAGAGGTTTGTGTATTGGGCTAGACAGTGAAAGAGCCTGCACTGCAGTTTCTGCCTTTTCTCTTCCCTTCCCCCTTCCATTAAAAAAAATCCATTATAAGCAATCTAAAGCTTTAAAAAAGAAATACATCAGAAAGGAGAAAAAAGGAAGAGAAGTTGGCAAAGGACTACATAAAGAGATGGTTTATGGATAGAAAAGTGAGACCTTCTGAGGTGTGGCAGCGGTGGGATTCGAACCCACGCCATCGAAATGACTGGAGCCTAAATCCAGCGCCTTAGACCACTCGGCCACGCTACCTCCCGATCGTAGGGCTTCCTATGCCGGCATATTAGTGTGATGACGGAGGCGCCCCGCCCTCAAAGTTTGCGCATGCTCAATATAGAACCGCTGTCTCCTGCGTTGCTCACGGAGACTTGGAGTCACAGTGCTCTCGCGATCAGCAGCAGTAAACACACTAGGAACGCACTATTAAAATGAAGAGTGCCTACATATCAAAAATTAATATTTTTAATATTAAATCCTCACAAGTGTGTTTGGATTTGATTTTGAGTTTTCCTTGGGCGTGATCCTGCCTACAGCCACGTAGGGGCGCTCCCGTGCTGCCGCTTCCTCCCGGGTGGGCCGGGATCTTGCGTGGAGCCCCAGTTTGTATGTTGGGTCCCCAAGGTGCAGACGCTCTGTCCAGTTCAAGGCCCCTCTGTAGCCCTGAGTGGCCTCATGTCCTAGCCCTTGCCCTCGCGATGTAAGAATCAAGAGTTCAGGGAGGAAAACCATTGAACGTTGTTGCAGATTCTTTGCATGTGTGGGCTCCTAACATATCAAAAACTATTAAGCTTTCATAAGCTGTGCGACCCATTTTACAGAGGAGGAAAATAGAGATGCTAAGTAACTAGCCTCGGGTGCCCCAGCCAGCCGGCATTCCACAGCCTCCCAAGACGTTTGTTCGTACGTGCAGAGGATTTTAGTGCTTTTAGAAAAAAAAAAAAAAAGCAATAAATATAGAGTATAACCTAGCAAAATTCCATTTCCTATCATCTCGAATTATTACTAACATTTTGCATATTCGCTTCAATTTTTTTTTTTTTTTTTTTCCTGAGACTGAGTTTCGCTCCTGTTGCCCAGGCTGGAGTGCAATGGCGCGATCTCGGCTCACTGCAACCTCCATCTTCCAGGTTCAAGCGATTCTCCTGTCTCAGCCTCCCAAGTAGCTGGGATTACAGTCGCATGCCACCAACGCCCGGCTAATTTTTGCATTTTTAGTAGAGACGGGGTTTCATCATATTGGTCAGGCTGGTCTCGAACTCCTGACCTCAGGTGATCCGCCCGCCTCGGCCTCCCAAAGGGCTGGGATTACAGACGTGAGCCACCGCGCCTGGCCTGAAATTGTTTAAATTAAAATTAAAATTAACACTCTAGATAAAATTCAAGTCTCCTTTGATGTCCCCAAGTTCTATTCCCCCTTCCTTCTCTTTCAGGAGTTTCCCATCTTTTCAGTATGCATTTTCCTAATTTCACAATCACATAGGGTTGTCTATTTCCTTGCACGTTTAAGGAAAATGGCAAACAAAAATCCAAGGTTGTAGAGACAGTTGGGTAAGTGGGAGTGGCAGTCTGTATAATGACCCCTAAAGATGCCCACACTTGAACGTGTAAATATGTTACCTTCCGTGGCAAAAGGGACTTTTGCAGTTGTGATTAAATTAAGGATCTTCTGATGGGGAGAGGAGCCTGGATTATCCAGGTGGTCCCAATATAATCACAAAAGTCCTTATAAGAAAGAAACAGGTAGCCAGGCGCGATGGCTCATGCCTGTAATCCCAGCACTTTGGGAGGTTGAGGTGGGCAAATTGCTGGAGGTCAGGAGTTCGAGGCCAGCCTGGCCAACGTGGTGAAATGTCATCTCTACTAAAAATACAAAAAATTAGCCAGGCATGGTGGCATGTGCCTGTAATCCCAGCTATTCGGGAGGCTGAGGCAGGAGAAGCACCTGAACCCAGGAGGCGGAGGTTGCAGTGAGCTGAGATCGCGCAACCGCACTCCAGCCTGAGCGACAGAGCGAGATTCCATCTCAGAAAAGAAAAAGAAAGAGGCAGGAATTCAAGGAGGTATGAGGGTGAAAACAGAGGTCCCAGTGATGTAGCCACAAGCTACAGAATGTCGGCAGTCTCTAGAGGCTGGAAAAGGTAAGGAAATTGATTCACCCCTAGAGGCACCAAAAAGGGAACACAAGGTGTCTGACACCTTGATGTTAGCGTTTCCGACTTCCAGAACAGTACCACTATAAATCTGTGTTGCTTTAAGCCACTAAATTTGTGTTAATTTGTTACAGCAGCAATAAGAAACTAATCAAGTGGGTAAACCCATGGGCTTGGGAATGACACAGTCTAAACTCCCATGAGCTGTGTGATCTTGGAAAAGTCACTTCTCTCTGGGCCTCAGTTGCTCATCCCTGTAATGGAGTGATAATGATAGTATCTACCCCACAGGATTTGCTGTGAGGATTAAACTCATTCATTCTGCAAATGTTTCATGAGCACCTACAATGTGTCAGGCACTGCTCCGGTTATATCAGAGGATAAAGTCAATACAGATTAAATGTGGTAATTTGGCCAGGTATGGTGGCTCACGCCAGTAATCCCATCCCTTTGGGAGGTTGAGGTGGGAGGATTGCTTGAGGCCAGGAGTTTGAGGCTACAGTGAGCTATGATCATACCACTGCACTCTAGCCTGGGTGACAGAGAGAGATCTTGTGTCTAAACATGTGCCAAGCATTTAGATGAATCTCTGGCACATATGAGAAGGGTGACGGTGATGACTTTGTTCTCTCCTGGTATCTCAAGGGTTCCCACCACAAGGGTTCTTTTTGGTTTTTGTTTTCTTCTGTTTTGTTTTGTTTTGTTTTAAGACAGAGTTTCGTTCTTGTCGCCCAGGCTGGAGTGCAATGGCATGATCTTGGCTTACTGCAACCTCCGCCTCCCAGGTTCAAGCAATTCTCATGCCTCAGCCTCCCGAGTAGCTGGGATGACAGGCACCCGTCACCAAGCCCAGCTAATTGTTTTTGTTTTTTTGTATTTTCAGTAGAGACGGGGTTTTGCCATGTTGGCCAGGCTGGTCTCAAACTCCTTGACCTCAGGTGACCCACCGGCCTCAGCCTCCCAAAGTGCTGGGATTACAGGAGTGAGCCACCGTGGCCCAGCCACCACAAGGGTTCTTATACAGGCACTGGCCACTTGGTGGTATTCCACACACATCTCTCCAAACACCCTGTTTCAAGTAGGGGGTCTCTCCCAGGATGATACTGGGCCCTGCTAGGAGGTCAACTCCAGGAAGGCAGGTGATGGTGTCTTGTTCATCCACTGCTGTATCCTCAGGACCTAGAACACTGTTGGCAGCAGGAATATTCCTTGAAAAAAAATAGTTTTGCATTCTTGGTTAAGTCCACTCCATCTTGCCACATGAACTTAAGAGTCAGAGACAGATGCTTTCAGCTGGAGCTGCCCAATATAAGGGCTCAGAGAACTTTTGTCTGGACTTGAGTTTCAGCGAGGAACACCCATTACTTTTGCAAAAGTTATTTTGTGACTTGTGACTTGCCCTCTGTGGCCACAAGAAGGAAGCAGCGTCCTCTTTAGGTAAATTCCCCTACAATTGCTCAAAGCATCTTCTGGCAGTTAGTCCATCTGCCAACAGCATCATGTCCCCTAACTCTGTCTCTGATCATTTAATGCAAGTCAATACCTGTCCTGCACCTACTAGGCCTCATCAGGCAAAAAGCAGGCCTTGCGGGCTCGGGGAGGGGGATGAGAGCTGTTTCTGGAGTTGCTTAGAACCCTTGTGCTGGAGTTGCTTCTGTAACAGAATAAAAATCCAGTGGTGGAGCCAGACGCGGTGGCTCATGCCTGTGATCCCAGCACTTTGGGAGGCCGAGGCGGGCAGATCACCTGAGGTCAGGAGTTTGAGACCAGCCTGTCAACATGGTGAAACTCCGTCTCCACTAAAAATACAAAAATTAGCCGGGCGTGGTGGCACACTCCTGTAATCCCAGCTACTCAAGAGCCTGAGGCAGGAGAATCACTTGAACCCAGGAGGCGGAGGTTGCGGTGAGCAGAGATCGTGCCACTGCACTCCAGCCTGGGCACAAAGCAAGACTCCATTTAAAAAATAAAATAAAATCCAGTGTTGGACGCAAGGCCGCCAGTTCCTCTGCTCCACCCTGCATTTCTCCAGGCCCCGTCGCCCTGCTGGCCTCCCACAGTCCTGCTGACGAGGCGTCTCTGGTGATTCATGCCTTCAAGGGTGACGCTGCCAGGGCAGCTCATATGCAAAGCCCATGCAAAGCCCAGCCACAGCCAGGCAAGGGTGGGGAGGCCACAGGCGCCAGAGCAGCCGGGCTATGTTTGGTTTTTTATTTTTTATTTTTCTATGTGACATTTAAAAATAACTTTTGCAAAAGTAACCCATTTTCCTTGTTGAAACTCAAGCGAAGAAAGGAAAAGCACAAATAAAAAAATATCTTTTCATGTCTCCACCCAGTTAAACTCTGTCAATACTTTGGTAAGGGACCTGGGTTTTGTCTTTTTAAAATTTGTAATATAGGCCGGGCACGGTGGCTCACGCCTATAGTCCCAGCAATTTGGGAGGCCGAGGCTGGTGGATCACCTGAGGTCAGGAGTTCGAGACCAGGCTGACCAACAAGGTGAAACCCTGTCTCTACTAAAAATACAAAAATTAGCCAGGTATGGTGGCAGGCACCTGTAGCCCCAGCTACTCGGAAGGCTAAGGCAGGAGAATTGCTTGAGCCTGGGAGGCAGAGGTTGCAGCGAGCTGAGACTGCGCCACTGCACTCCAGCCTGGGCGACAGAGTGAGACTCTGTCTCAAAAAAAAAAGAAAAAAAATTGTAATGTAATGCATGCTCGTTGTACATTTTTTTTTAATGTCAAATCAAAAGAATAAGATAAAAAAAAGAAAAAAGTCAAATCACAGGCATCAAGTTAACAGGGAAATTCTCTCCCTCACCACAGCCCTCCTTCACAACCGAATCCCACAGCTCAGAAGTAACCATTATGAAGAGTACCAGTTTGGGCTGGGCACAGTGGCTCACGCCTGTGATCCCAGCACTTTGGGAAGCTGAGGCAGGCGGATCACCTGAGGTCACTGAGGTCAGGAGTTTGAGACCAGACTGGCCAACATGGCAAAACCCCATCTCTATTAAAAATACAAAAATTAGCTGGGCATGGTGGCGCCCTCCTGTAGTTCCAGCTTCTTGGGAGGCTGAGGCAGGAGAATCGCTTGAATCCAGGAGGCGGAGGTTACAGTGAGCCAAGATCATGCCACTGACCTCCAGCCTGGGTGACAGAGCCAGATTGTCTCAAAAAAAAAAAAAAAAAAGAAAAAGAAAAGAAAAAGAGAAAAAGCCGGGCATGGTGGCTCACACCTGTAATCCCAGCACTTTGGGAGGCTGAGGCAGGCAGATCACTTGAGGTCAGGAGTTTGAGACCAGCCTGACCAACATGGTGAAACCCCATCTCTACTACAATACAAAAATTAGCTGGGTGTAGTGGCGGACGCCTGTAATCTCAGATACTTGGGAGGTTGAGGCGGGAGAATTGCTTGAACCCTGGAGGCAGATGTTGCAGTAGGCTGAAACTGCGCCACTGCATTCCAGCCTGGGCAACAAGAGTGAAACTCCATCTTAAAGAAAAAAAAAGAAGAAAGAAAGTACTTTCCAGATCTTTTCCTGTGCAAATATATAGGTGAATGAAAACTCGAAGCCCTGATGTGTCCCACTCTCATCCTGGGGCTGGCTTTACACAGGGTAGGAGAGGAACATGCGATCTAAAAGAAGAGTGGGGGTCGAGTGTGGTGGCTCATGCCTATAATCCCCGGCACTTTGGGAGGCCAAGGCAGGTAGATCACCTGAAGCAGGAGTTCAAGACCAGCCTGGCCAACATGGTAAAACCCCGTCTATACTAAAAATACCAAAAATTAGCTGCGCTTGGTGGCAGGTGCCTGTAACCCAGCTACTTGGAAGGCTGAGGCAGGAGAATTGCTTGAACCTGAGAGGTGGAGGCTGCAGTGAACCAAGATTGTGCCACTGCACTCCAGCCTGGGTGACAGAGCAAGACTCTGTCTCAAAACAAATACACAAATAAATTAACTAAATTAAATAAATACAAGACGAGTGGTGTCTCATCACTTCCTTAAGTCTTTCAGTAGCTACAGGTGGGCCATCCAGATGGCTCTGTGTTGGGCATTTCTCATACCTAGTAGGCCCAGGACCTCTGAGCCAAAGAGGTGAAACACACAACCCAAGCCCACTGTGCACAGGGAATTTGGGCAGTTAACAGTTTGGAAACCAGACCCTTCCTGTGGTGCCTGCGGCCAGTGCAGCTCTTCAGCCCCACCCTGAGCAGATGGGAGGATTACACCTGTCTTGTTGCAGTTGGGAACAGCCACGTGACTGTGACTGTAAGACCTGGGGCTCTATCACCATGGTGAGATGGAAACACCATGAGTCTTTTTTGTTTTGTTTTGTGACAGCTTTATTGCTGTTATAATTGCTGATATAATTCACACACTTTTTTTTTTTTTTTTTTGAGACAGAGTCTTGCTCTGTCACCCAGGCTGGAGTGCAGTGGTATGATCTCAGCTCACTGCAACCTCCACCTCCCAAGTTCAAGCGAGTCTCTTGCCTCAGCCTCCCAAGTAGCTGGGACTACAGGCATCCACCACCACACCTGGCTAATTTTTGTATTTTTAGCAGAGACGGGGTTTTGCCATGTTGCCCAGACTAGTCTACAACTCCTGGGCTCAAGTGATCCACCTACCTCGGCGTCCCAAAGTGCTGGGATTACAGGTGTGAGCTACCGCGCCTGGCCCATACACCCATTAAAAAAGTATAATTCAGTGGTTTTTAGTGTATTCACAGAATTGTGCAACCATCAGCACAATCAATTTTAGGACATTTTCATCACCCCAAAGAAGAAACCCTACAACTATTAATAGTCACTCCCCCTCTCCCCAAGCTCCCTTCCCAGCCCCTGGCAACCACTAATCTACTTCTCTCTTTATGGATCGATTGTCCTATTCACTGATATAAATGAAATCACATAGTATGTTGTCTTTTGTGTCTGGCTCTTTTCACATAGCATATTTTTTAAGGTTCGTCCGTGTTGTAGCATGTATCAGCACTTCATTCCTTTTTGTTGCCAAATAGTATTTCATTGTATGAATCTACTGCCTTCTTTTCTTTTTTGAGATGGAGTCTCGCTCTGTCGCCCAGGCTGGAGTGCAGTGGTGTGACCTCGGCTCACTGCAACCTCTGCCTCCCAGGTTCAAGTGATTCTCCTGCCTCAGCCTCCCGAGTAGCTGGGATTTCAGGCACATGCCATCACACCTGGCTAATTTTTGTATTTTTAATAGAGACGGAGTTTCACCACGTTGTTGCCAGGAGTTCAAGACCAGCCTGGCCTCAAGTGATCCGCCCGCCTCGGCCTCTCAAAGTGCTGGGATTACAGGCATAAGCCACCGCCTGGCCTACTGCATTTTAATTATGCATTCATCAGTCATTTGGATTGTTTTCACCTTTTGCCTATTATGAATAATATTCCCATGAACATTTTGTATAAGTTTTTGTGTGGACATATGTTTTCATTTCTGCTAGGATTTGAATTGCTGGGTTATACGGTAACTTCATGTTTAATTTTTTTTAAGAATTGCCAAACTGCTTTCCATTCCTACCAGCAGTGTATGAGGGTTCTAGTTTCTCCACATCCTTGCCAACACTTGCTATTATCTGAGATTTTGATTATAGTCATGCTAGTGGGTAGTGGGTGTGTTTTGACTTGCTTTTTTTGGTCACCCACGCTGGAGTGCAGTGGTGCAATCATAGCTCACGGCAGCCTCCAACTCCTGGGCTCAAGCTATCCTCCCACCTCAGCCTGTCGAGTAGCTGGGACTACAGGCACACATCACCGAGCCTGGCTAATTTTTCTATTTTGTTTTTTTGTAGAGATGAGGGTCTTGTTATGTTGCCTTTGCTGATCTGGAGCTCTTGGGCTCACACCATCATCCCACCTTGGCCTCCCAAAGTGCTAGGATTACAGGCATGAGCCACCATGCCTGGCCTTGCATTTTCTTAGTGGCTAATGACGTTGAGCACCTTTTCATGTCCTTATTGGCCATTTGTATATCTTCTTTGGAGAAATGTCTATTCCAATCTTTGGCCCATGTTTAAATTGGAGTATTTATCTTTTATTATTGAGTTGTAACAATTCTTTATATATTCTAGCTGCAAATCCCTTATCAGATATGATTTGCAAATATTTTTTCCCCATTCTCTGATTGTCTTTTCACTTTCTTTTTTGTTTGTGGTTTGTTTTTGTTATTGTATTTTGAGAGAAGGTCTTACTCTGTCCCTCAGGCTAGAGTGTAGTGGCGGGATCTTGGCTCACTGCAAACTCTGCCTCCCAGGTCCAAGTGTTCTTCCCACCTCAGCCTCCTGAGTAGCTGGGACCATAGATGCAAGCCACCACATCTGGCTAATTTTTGTATTTTTTTATAAAGATGAGGTTTCGCTATGTTGCCCAGGCTGGTCTCAAATTCCTGAGCTCCAGCAATCTGCCTGCCTCCCAAAGTATTGTGATCACAGGCATGAGCCACTGAGCCTGGCCTTTTTCATTTATTTATTTAATTTTTACAGACAGGGTCTCACTCTGTTGCCCAGGCTGAAGTGCACTGCATGATCATAGCTCACTGCAGTTTCAAACTGCTGGGCCCAAGGGATCCTCCTGCCTCAGCCTCCTGAGTATCTGAGACTACAGGCACACACCACCATACCTGGGTTTTTTTTTTTTTTAATGTTTTATTTTAGAGACAGGGGTCTTGCTATGTTGCCCAGGATGGTTTTGAACTCCTGGCCCCATTGATCCTCCTGCCTTGGCCTCCCAAAGCTCTGACATTACATGTGTGAGCCACCTTGCCCGGCCTTGAGTAATTTTATTTTACCGCAGTAGACATCTCCTTGAAGGCAAATGTTTCCCCCAATTCCTAGCACCATATTTGGCACACAATAGGAGCTTAATAAAATTTGCCATAAGAATTAATGCTCAGAAACTCTACTATTACATCCTATCTGCTCAACTCCCTGGAAAAGAGACATTCTCTTTTTATGGTTACTATAAAAGGCCCAGATTAGTATTTCACTGGCCTAACTTGGATCACATGCTCATCCCTGAACCAATCAATGAGGCTGAAGGGATGAAATATGCTAATTGGCCAGGTCTGGTCATGTGTCCATTTTTGGAGCCAGGGGAGTGGGGAGGGCTATTTTCCTGAACTGAAATAGGGTGAACTGGTTCCCTGAAGACTAACCAAGACGCTAATGCAAAGAAGGACACTCCTGCTGGGCAGACAAAAATGACAGAGGCTCAGAGAAGTAAAATAACTTGCCCAAGGGCCATAGAGCTTTAAGCAGTAGCGTCTTTTTTTTTTTTCCAATCTTGCTTTGGGCTTGGACAGACTAGTTCAGCATCTTTGATCTTCCCTTCCTGCCTGACGGCCCCAGGGTCAGAATTCCAGGTGCAATTTTGTCTTGCCAAAAGCTGGAGTTTACTCTCTTTGGGGTTTATAAATAAGGAAAAAAGTTCTTTGGAGAGCCTGAACTTTGAAATCAGAGAAGTCTGGATTTACTGCTGGCTCTGCCTTTTCTAGCTGCCTCACCTGGGGCATGTCATTATCTCTATAAGCCTCAGTTTTGTTCTTTTTTCTTTTTTATTTTTTTGTTTTTGTTTTTTTGCGACGGAGTCTCATTCCTTCACCCAGGCTGGAGTGTAGTGGCGCGATCTCGGCTCACTGCAACCTCTGCCTCCAGGGTTCAAGCGATTCTCGTGCCTCAGCCTCCAGAGTAGCTGGGACTACAGGCGCGCCCGGCTGCTTTTTTGTATTTTTACTAAAGACAGGGTTTTACCGTTTTGGCCAGGCTGGTCTCGAACTCCTGACCTCAGGTGATCTGCCGGCCTCGGCCTCCCAAAGTGCTGGGAAGATGGAATGAGAGAAATCCCTCAAAACATGTCATTGTTACTACTTTTCTATCTAGAATGTGTGAAATTTCTAAAATTTCACTAACAAAGTATCTGGAAGGACCTAATATTAAAGTGTTCACAGTAGCTATTAGTTTTAATTCGTTTTCTTTTTTATACCTTAGCCACTCTACCACTCATGCCACAGGTATTTATTAAGCATCTACTGTGTGCCACCCAGGCCCTGTGTCAAGAGTTAGGAATAACTAAAGGAGATACTAATTTTAAAACTACACAAATAATTGCAATCGTCATACGTGCCTGTTTTTACAAAGCAGAAATCAGGAAAAACAAAGTATTTCCGATAAAAAATATTTTAAGGTTATGGATAGAGATACATACAAACAAGCGATGGGCTTGGATCACTAATGATTTTGGAAAGGACAGGAATACAGGAACTAAGCGAGAAGCAGGCGAGAATGGCGAGGCGCGGCGGGAGAGGACGGAAGTTGGTCACTCCCTCGAATTGCCCCCTCGCTGCCGGATGCTAGGCCAGCCTTGAGCAGGAGAACCGGACACTGTGTACTCAGCAGGGGGAGCCAAGACTTAGCGCTAACCATTGCACCTGGGGCTGGGAGCCAGCGCCGGAGCCAGGAGGCCCGCTAGGCGGCTGCAGGCGCTGTGATGGCCACCTGGGGGCGGCCACGTGAGCGCCACGCCGTGCGCCCGCCAGGCCAGCCCCGCCCCTGCCCGCCCGCTTCTGCTCAACCTAGACCAGCCCCAGCTTCAGCCTCAGCTCCCCTCCTTCCTGGATCGAGCGCCCGCACTCCCGGCCCTGCAGCCACCCGAGTCCCGCTCGCTGTCGCCTGCACGCGAGTCCCCCCTGGCACGCGCTCCCACATCCCGGGATCGTCCCAACGGCCCCTGCGCCCTTCCTGGGATCACTCCGACTGCCCCGCGCGCCCTGGGATCGGTCCATCTACCCCGCGTGGCCCCAGCTGCTTGCCCGGAGCGCCAGCTAGCGCTCCCCGCTCTCCGCTCCCCGGCACTCTCGGGGGGCCCGCCCGCCCTGCACCCTGGAGCTCCGGGCCGCGAGCCTCTGCCAACTCCTCTGGACCCTCGCGGCCGTGGGCAGCGGCTGCCGCGCCTGTCTGCCCGAGGGAGGTAGGTGTGGACCGCGGCCGGCAAGGCTGTGGGGGGCTGGGAGCCCGCGCTGCAGGCCTGTGCGCCCGGGTGCAGCTGGCGTCTGGAGCGTGCTGGGTCTGGGCTTGGGAATGGGGCCGGAGAAGGCATGGAAGGAGAGTGTGGGGGCGCTTCTCCTCTGGTTGTTAAACTCTCTGGGGCTAAGTGCTTGCTTTGGAGAAATGGGGAAGTTGTGCGGATTAAAGGCGATGTGGATATGGAAAGCAATTGGCAAGCAATGGGCGGTGATCTGGCTGCAAGTGACAGAGAGTTTGGGGGCCTCCCCCCTCGGGGCCCCTAGAGTGTGGGCGCATCGCTGCCTTCCTGTCCCCTGCAGGGCTCAGAGCCGCATCCCCCACCTTTCCCCTGAACTAGAGGCCTGCGTCAGCCCGAATTCCCGGAACCTCCAGGACTGTATAGACGCGCCCTTGCTGCATTGTTGGCTGCGGGAGTTTGTTGGCAGGCGCTGCTGACATGTGTGCCAAGGGGCTGGGCATTAATAAGCCGGTGGCCGCGCGGGGGTGGGGGCCTCCCGGGTAAGCCCCGGCCTAGATCCTTTTGCGCGCGCCTGGGGGATTTCGGGGAACCAGCCCAGCTGCGCCCTGAGTGTGACAGATGGGCCGCATGGGGAAGTGAGATCTGCCCAGGGGGACGGTCCCAGGGAGCCCGACCTCTGGGACCTCGGTGGTGGGTGCTTCTTCAGCCAGGAAAGCAGGAAACACTAGGGCTGGAGTCCTGGGTTGGAATTCTAGCTCATTTATGCTCTCTGGCCCTCGGTTTTCTCATCGGTAAAATGGGTACAGTATTAGTATCTACCACTTAGTATCCTTGGAAAGAGTAGATGAGTATGTATATGTCAGGTGCTTGGAACAGTGCCTGGCACACAGTGTCATAGTCTATGGCCCCGGGAGACATCTGATGGCCAAGAGCCCTGTGGTTGAGGGCCCTGGACAGGCTGTGAAGTCACAGCGAATTGAGTCACGTAGTCTATCCTAATGTTTTTAGCGAGGAGGAAACCGAGGGTCAGAGTGATCCCCAGGCCCACAGAAGCTCCCTAAGAGGAAGCCAGTCACATAAACAGATTCTAAAAAGCGAGATGGAGTAAATGGGAATACAGAGCAAGCAGGTGGGAGCTGAGAATGCCCACTGTGTGTGTAAAGGGGAGAGGGTTATGGGGGAAGGCTTCCTGTAGCAAGTGCTGTTTAAGCTGAGCTGGGGAAGAGGCAGGTGGAAGGAGGTAGAGTTCAGAGATGGCGTATGCAGGTGTCTTCCTTCTGTGTGGCCTCCACAGCACCCGATGTTCATTCCTTTGTTCAGCTATTAATTCAACAACTACAGTAAAACCTCTCAAGGACATGAATTTCAGTGTAACATGGCTGGGATTGGCGTCCGCCCTCCTCTCAGCCCCCATTCTCAAAGAAGGGGGTGGGGTCCGAAGTTCTTATCCTCTGCAGGGAATGGGGAGGCCAGAAGACAGAACTGAAGTGGTCACAGTTTACACATAATCATCGGTGTACATTCCAAGAGCTACCGGTGTTTTGGGCCAGGGGCGTGGTGGCTCAGGCCTTTAATCTCAGTACTTTGGGAGACTGAGGAAGGTGGATCACTTGAGGTCAGGAGTTTGAGACCAGCCTGGCCAACATAGGGAGCCCCCATCTCTACTAAAAATACAAAAATTAGCTGGGCATGTTGGCATGAGCCTGTAATCCCAGCTACTCGGGAGGCTGAGGCAGGAGAATCGAGAATCGTTTGAACCCAGGAGGTATAGTTTGCAGGGAGCTGAGATTGCACCACTGCACTCTAGACTGGGCAACAAAGCGAGACTCTGTCTCAAAAAATAAAAAAGATCCACCAATTTGTTTTTCTTGTGCTTTTTGTAACTGTACAGTACTTTTTGGCTGATTACGGATATATCACTGGCTGGGTGTGGTAGCTCACACCTGTAATCCCAGCCACTTTGGGGGTGCTGAGGCGGGAGGATTGCTTGACCCCAGGAGTTCAAGACCAGCCTGGCTGACGGGGTGAAACCCGGTCTCTATTTAAAAAAAAAAAAATCTCTGATTTGCTTTTAAAACATTTTACTGTATTATGTGGCAGAGAAAGCTATGGGTCACCAGTACCCATGTTCTCGTCCTCCTGGGGTGCTCCCTGGATGAATTTTCCTAGGCTTCCTTACCATTCGGTAGGGCCACACGGCTGAGTTTTGGCTGATGAAATGTGAGTGTGTCCATTTCAAGCCTCGACCCTAAAAACCTCTCACTCTTTCCTTATTTGTTGGACAAGTCAAGGCGACTTTGAAGGCCTAGAGGAGGGCAGAGCCACAAGCCAGAGGGAGTGTTTGTTGTTTTTGAGATGGAGTCTTGCTCTGTTGCCCAGGCTGGAGTGCAGTAGTGTGATCTCAGCTCACTGCAACCTCTGCCTCCCAGATTCAAGTGATTTTCCTGCCTCAGCCTCTTGAGTATGAGCTGGGACTACAGGCACATGCCACCGTGCCCAGCTAATTTTTGTATTTTTAGTAGAGATGGGATTTCACTGTGTTGGCCAGGCTGGTCTCAAACTCCTGACCTCAAGTGATCCACCCGCCTCCCAAAGTGCTGGGATTACAGGCATGAGCCACCATGCCCACCCGGGAAGGATGTCTTTAGGGTTGTTATCTTGCTGTGGGGAGAGTCCCCAAAGCAGTCTTGTCCAGTTTTTGGCAGGGTTGTCGTCTGGTTGCCGGGACTCTGGGAGCTGTGTGAAGAAAGCCAAGGGTGAACAGCAGAAGCTTGGACTTGTTCAAGCTCGTTCTCCGGGATTCACTATTTCTGGTCCAGTTCTTACACCTGAAGCAGAACAACTGAATGATCAGGGCTATAGACAAAGTAATAGCGGCAGGTTGAACTAATTTAAAAGAATCAGTGTTTTTTGTTGAGGGAGATTGGTTCTGCTGACCTGAAAGCTGCAGGTTATTACCCTGATGAACTGAGAAGGCTCCTAGAAGGTGGTTAGAGCGATGACCTTGTCTCCACCTGGGATGAAAGCGGCTTGGGCCTTAAAGTGTTGCTGGATCAAATTCTTGCAGCCAAGGCTGATGAGCACAAGCAAGGAGGCTTCTTTTTTGTTGTTGTTTTGAGACAGGGTCTTGCTCTGTCACCCAGGCTGCGGTGCAGTGGCACAGTCACAGCTCACTGCAGCCTGGAACTCCTCGGCTCAAGTGATCCTCCTGCCTCAGCCTCCCAAGTAGCTGGGACTACAGACATGAGCTACCACCATGGCTGGCTAACTTTTAATTTTAGTGTAGAGATGGGGTCTCACTCTGTTGCCCAGGCTGGGCTTGAACTCTGGGCTCAAGCGATTCTTCTGTCTGGGCCTCCCAAAGTGTTAGGATCACAGGCATGAGCCGTGCCCAACCATATAAGAAGGCTTCAGACAAAGGAAGGAGTGAGTCACTAACACGCTGATGATAAAGCAGAAAATAACAGTGCTCCCCACAACCCCCAAAGTCCCAGGGCTGTGGGACTCCTAGAGAAGCGTCTCAAATGGCTCCAGAGTCAGAAGGTGGATGGCGTTCTGTTCTCCAGCTGTGAAGCTTTCGAGCTCTAGCAAGGACTAGCAAGCCAGAGGAAGCACCCGGAAGTAGGTGGCTAAACTGCGGAAAATTGCCCTAGGCCAGCGTTTCTCTAACTTCAGTGCACATCAGCATCCCCAGCAGGACTTGCTTACACTTTGATTGCTGGACCCATCCCCAGAGTTTAATTTAGTAGGTCTGTAGTGAGGCTTGAGAATTTGCATTACCAGCAAGTTGCCAGGTGAGGCTGCTGCAGTGGCTGCTGCGGCAGCTGGTCCCATACTTTTAGAAGCGCTGGTTAAGGAAGTGATGACTGCATTGAAAGCTCTGGATTCAGCCCGCACCAGCTTCAAACCCAACTCTAGTCATGTGATTTGGGATAAGTCACATAACCTCTCTGTTCCTTAGTTTTCTCATCTGTAGAATGAAGCTAAGAGCGACTAACTCCTGGGGTTCAGGGGAGGCTTCATGAAGGAGGTGATATCTAAGCTGAGACCTGAGGGATGAGCAGTCAAGTTGGCCAGGGGATGAGTAGGGAGGACAGGCTGGGGTGTGTACCAGACAGAGGGCATAGCATGTTCAGAGCCCGAGGAGGAAGGAGTGCCTGCCTTCTAGGGAGCTGGGAGGAGTTATGTAGCAAGTGCTTTGTAAGTGATACTGAAATGCTACCAATCTGTTCTGGGCAGGATCACAGTGGAGAGGAAGCCAACCAGGGTATGGAAAATGGGCTGCTGGACGGGCTCAGAAATGGTACAAGTTATTTGTGCTCTTTCATTGGCCAGAATGCAGTCACATGACCTTACCTAGCTGCAAGGGATGCTGGGAAATGTCCGTGGCCAGGCAGGGGAGAAAGGATTCCTGGAGGAAAGCCAGCTCTCTGTGCCACCTGTGGTTTTCAGGCCCCCTCTCTCACTTCTTCTCCACCTTGCTCACTTTGCTCCACTCTGTTGAGTAGATGAATTTTACAGATGAAGAAGCTGAGGTTCAGAAGGTTAAGTAATTTCCCCCAGCATTCCTCAGCTGACTGTGGCAGGGCCAGGACTTGAATTCATCCCAAAGGCCTTGTTTGGCTAGATCTGGTTTTGGTGCTTATCAGGTCCTCCATGAGCCAGTCTTTCCCACTACGACCTCAGCCATGTCATTGGACTAAGTAACTCCTATGTAGTTACAACACAGTAGGTTGTTTTGTTTGTTTTTGTTTGTTTGTTTTTTCGGAGGTCTGGGGGCGGGGGGATAGAGTCTTGCCCTGCTGCCCAGGCTGGAGTGCAGTGGCACAATCTTGGCTTACTGCAACCTCTGTCTCCTTGGTTCAAGTGATTCTCATGCTTCAGCCTCTCAAGTAGCTGGGACTATACAGGTCGTGTGCCACCACACCTGGCTAATTTTTGTATTTTTGGTAGAGATGGGGTTTCTCCATGTTGCCCAGGCTGGTCTCGAACTCCTGGCCTCAAGTGATCTGCCTGCCTCGGTCTCCCAAAGTGCTGGGATTACAGGGGTCAACCACCGTGCCCAGCCACAACCCAAAAGTCCTTCTGTTTCTCCATTATATCAGCAGGAAACTGCCAGCTTTTCTTCACTTACTCGTTCATTCATGCAGCATGCACTTGTGCATTTATGGTGTGTGCCAGGCATTGTGCTTTGGGCTGGGAGCTGCAGAGGAACAAGACACACGGCCCCTTTTGTTCAAGACACTCACATGGTCTGGCCACCGAGAGGGCTGGGCACACAGTTCATGTGAGAAGTGAGACGTGCTGTATCCCTGAGCTGACCCACCAGGAGTAGAGTGTACCGTGGACATGCAGAGAGTGCCCAGCAAGTGATTAAACATTACAGTTCAAGCTCCCTTGTGCATTTTGCTAATCAAAGCTATAATTATATTTTGTGTTTCATATTCCAAAATGCATTTTTCAGATTCCTGAAACAATAAAATAGCCCTTGCATGATGACAGTTTTATATGCAGAAAACACAGTGTACTGCAATGATATTTTTACGAGCCTTTAGCAGAGCAAATGATGACGTATCTCTGGCTTCTGCAGCAGGTTGCTGTTTACATCGGTAAGTTGATTTCTCTGTCTCTTTCTTTTTTTTTTTTTGAGACAGAGTCTTGCTGTGTCACCCAGGCTGGAGTGCAGTGGCACGATCTTGGCTCACTGCAACCTCCGCCTCCCAGGTTCAAGCAATTCTTCTGCCTTGGCCTCCTAAAGTAGCTGGGATTACAGGTACACACCACCACACCCAGCTGGTTTTTGTATTTTTAGTAGAGATGGGGTTTTCACCATGTTGGTCAGGTCTCAAACTCCTGACCTCGTGATCCGCCTGCCTCGGCCTCCCAAAGTGCTGGGATTACAGTCGTGAGCCACCGCACCTGGCCTTCTCTGTCTCTTTATGGTATGTGGGGAGATTTGTTTTTAAAAGGAAAAGGGGAAGAGAGGGTTGGGGAGGGCTCCTTAAAATTACACCAGAGGCTGGACACAGTGGCTCACACCTGTAATTCCAACACTTTGGGAGGCTGTGGCTGGAGGATCACTTGAGTCCAGGAGTGGCAAGACACCATCTCTACAAAAAATTTTTTAAAATAAGCCAGGCATAGTGGCACAGGCCTGTAGTCCCAGCTACTCAGGAGGCTGAGGCGGGAGGATCCCTTAAGCCCAGGAGTTCAAGGATGCAGTGAGCTGTGATTATGCCACTGCACTCCAGCCTGGATGAGAGATCAAGACACCCACCCAGTCTCTTAAAAAAGAAAGAAAGAGGCCAGGCACAGTGGCTCACGCCTGTAATCCCAGCACTTTGGGAGGCGGAGATGGGTGGATCACCTGAGGTCAGGAGTTCAAGATCAGCCTGGGTGACATGGTGAAACCCTGTCTCTACTAAAAATACAAAAATGAGCCAGGCATGGTGGCACACACCTGTAATCCCAGCTACTCAGGAGGCTGAGGCACAAGAATCACTTGAACCTGGGAGATGGAGTTTGCAGTGAGCCAAGATGTAGTTGCTGCACTCCAGCCTGGGCGACAGAGTGAGACTCCATCTCAAAAAACAAAAGAAAGAAATTCCACCAGATTCATTCTAGAGCTGGGTTTCTCAGCCTCGGCACTGACATTGGGCCGGACCTTCTTCACTGCAGGGGACTGTTCTGTTTATTTTAGGATGTTTGGCAGCATCCCTGGCCTCTATCCACTAGATGCTAGTTGCACCCCTAGAGTTTCAACAACTGAAAATGTCTCTAGACATTGCCAAATGTCCCTTGAGGGAGCAAAATTGCCCAAGGTTGAGAGCTGCTCTTCAGGACTTCGTTAGTTTCCAATTGCTGCTGTAACAAATTGCTGCAATTACTTAGTGGCTTTAAAACAACACATTTATTATCTTATAGTTCCTGGGGATCAGAAGTTCTAAAATCTAGGTGTCAGCATGGCTGTGTTCCTTCTGGAGGCCCCAGGAGAAAATCGGTTTCTTTGCCTTCTCCAGATTCTAGGGGCTGTCCTCATTCCTTGGGCTCCTGGCCCCTCCCTTCCATCTTTGAAGCCAGCAGTGTGGCAACTTCACACCTTTCTGTCTTTGGTCACATCTCTTCCTCTAACTCTGACCCTTCTACCTCCTTTTTATAAGGATCCTTGTGATTACACTGGGCTCACAGGATAATCCATGACTGTCTCCCATCTTAAGATCCTTAATCACATCTGCAAAGTCCCTTTTGCCATATAAGGTAACATATTCACAGGTTCCAGGGATTAGGATGTAGCCATCTTAGGGGAGCCATGTTTCTGCCTGCCGCAGACAGTCTGGCCTCAGGTTATAATGAAATTTGCTTGTGGAGGGTTTGTAGGGAGCGAAGTGATTTAGGGAGTCGGGGACTGGAGGATTATTGGGACATAACAGCAGCTAGTACTTTTGAGAGTCAAGTCTATCCCAGACACCATGTGCCTAATCTCATTGTATCCTCAGAACAACCCCTGCAGGGGTACTGTTAGCTGACCCCTGTTTACAGAGGAGGGAACTATCCAAGGAAGGCTTTCTGGAGGCCAGGTGCAGTAGCTCATGCATGTAATCAACTTTGGGAGGTCGAGGCAAGAGGATCGCTTGAGGCCAGGAGTTCAGAGGCAAGAGGATCACTTGAGCTTGGGAGACTGAGGCTGCCGTGAGCCATGATTGCACCATTGCACTCCAGCCTGGGTGACAGAGTGAGACCCTGTCTCAAAAAAAAAAGAAAAGAGACCAGCCTGGGCAATGTAGGGAGACGCCCATCTCTATAAAAATAAAATAACATAATTAGCCAGATGTGGGTGGTATGCACCTGTAGTCCCAGGTACAATGGAGGCTGAGGTGGGAGGATCACTTGAGCCCAGGAGTTGGAGGCTGCAGTGAGCTATGATTGCACCACTGCACTCCAGCCTGGCCAACAGAGCCAGACTCTCTCAGCAACAACAACAACAACAAACCCAAAAGAAACAAACAAGGAAGGCTTTCTGGAGGAGGTCAACATTTGAGCTGCGTCTTGAAGAGATTAAAGGGTTTTGCTAGTGAGTGGGAAAGGGATTCCAGGCAGAGGTGTTACTGGTGGAGGGTGTCCAGGTTCTTGGCATTTTGAGCAAAGAATTGGACAAAACACACGAACAAAACAAGGAAAGAAAGCAACGAAAGCAAATATTTACAGAAAACAAAAGTACACTCCACAGGGTGGGAGTGGGCTTGAGCAGATTGCTTACAGAATTGCCTGGGGTTTAAAAACCCTCTAGAGGTTTCCCATTGGTTACTTGATGTACACCCTATGTAAATGAAGTAATGGCCTGGGATCAGTCTGATAGGTTGTGGAATGCGACCAATCAGAGGCTGAAGTGAAGTTACAAATGAAGACTCCTATACAAACGAGGACTTGGCCAGCACCAGCCTGATTGGTTGTGGGAAGGGACCAATCAGAGGTAACTTCAGTTTTTCATCTGCCACGCAGGTAAGTTGGGGGTTGCAAAGGGAGTAGCCTCTGGTCCTTTTGTTACTTGGGCTTGGAAAGTAGGGGTTTTCCTTTTGATTTAGTTCTAGGAAGTCAGCCTGAATCAGCCTTAGGTTCCCTGCCTCCAGACCCTATTCGCCTGCCTCAGAGGCACCTGCAGATAGATACAAGGGCAAGGAGGTGAGGAGAGTTTGGTGGTGCATGGAGATTGATTCTTGGACTTGGAAACTTGGGAAGCTGAGATGGCAGGGAGGAAGGGACGGATGGGCTGGACTCTGTAAATTGGTCCTTTCATTCTGATGTACTATTTCTCTCAATAGTTTAAATAAATGTTTATGAGCACCCATTATATGCTAGGGGTGCAGACATTAAGACACTGATGTGAACTCTTAGCTTGATGCTTGACTTAATCACTCCTAATGCTGCATCCCAGTAAATAAACACTGAGCAGCCAGACACGGTGACTCACACCTATAATCCCATCTCTTTGGGAGGCTGAGGCGGGTGGATCACTTGAGGTCAGGAGTTCAAGACTAGCCTGACCAACATGGTGAAACCCCGTCTCTACTAAAAATACAAAAATTATCCAGGTGTGGTGGCGGGTGCCTGTAATCCCAGCTACTCGGGAGGCCGAGGCAGAAGAATCACTTGAATCCGGGAGGCGGAGGTTGCAGTAAGCCGAGATCACGCCACTGCACTCCAGCCTGGGTAACAGAGGGAGACTCCATCTCAAAACAAAAGAAACACTAAACATAAGGGTATTTGAGTTCATGTTGAGCACCTGTGCACTGAAGGCAATACAAGGTATGGGGGGAGGGATGGAGACAGCAGTGCAGACCTTAGGATGTCACAGCCCACCTGACAAGTCTATTGTCTAGGAGAGGGTCCCAGCTCCTAATGGTGGGGCCCAGGATTCAAACCCTGGCCATGCGGCTGTAGAGGACAAGCTGTTAGCCACTGTATTGGGCTTTGGTTTTTGTTTCTTGTTTGAAGGAAACTCGGGACTCCAGCTAGGGTTTAAAATATCTTCAGAACAAGCCAGGTGCAGCCCTCAACAGCCTAGCGCTGTGTAGTTCCGCTCCCTTAAGGTTGCCTTTTCAGAGGTAGACTGTCACTTCTGGACCTAGCAGCTCCTGTCATTGTCAGAGGAGAGTCCAGTGTAGCACCTGGTGTGCAGTCAGTCTTTCACGTGCATTATTTGTCTTTCTTATTTCCATAGAAATTACGCCTTTTTGAGGTTGATAAGCTTTTGAGGTTGATAAGCAGATAAGTAGCTCTTCTGCTTACTTATCACTCATTCACAGCACAAAAGCCACACTCTCCCTTCTCTGAATTCGTGTTAAACTGTGAGAAACTCAGCTTCTTCTAGTTGGTGGAATAAGACAGTGTCCTTGGCATGGTATGTAAAGGAACCAGATGGCTGGGCACTGTGACTCATGCCTGTAATCTCAACATTTTGGGAGGTTGACGCGGGAGGATCACTTGAGACCAGGGGCTTGAGACTAGCCTAGGCAACACAGCAAGATGCCGTCTGTAATAAATAAATAAAGGAACCAGAAGAAGACCTACCAGTGTAGGGATAGGGTGGGGAAGGGAAGTAGTAAGGGGAAGTAGAGCTAAAGTCTCATTTATCATACCTGGAAATCAGAAGATAGGATGAAAATAGATAAATTAAGAAATAATCAGGGCCGGGTGCAGTGGCTCATGCCTGTAATCCCAGCCCTTTGGGAGGCTGAGATGGGTGGATCCCTTGAGTCCAGGAGTTTGAGACCAGCTGGGCACATGGTGAAATCCCATCTCAACAAAAATATACAAAAATTAGCTGGGTATGGTGACGCGTGCCTGTGGTCCCAGCTACTCCGGCGGCTTATATGGGAGGATCACTTGAGCCTAGGAAACAGAGGTTGCAGTGAGCCAAGATTGCGCCACTGGACTCCAGCCTGGGTGACAGAGCAAGACCCTGTCTCAAAAAAAAAAAAAAAAAAAAAAAGAATCAGGAAGCGTATTATTTAGTGATATATATAGATAGATAGATAGAGAGAGAGAGAGAGAGAGATGCGAAGGATAACACTGAGAATAGTTGGAAGTAGTTGCCTCTAGGGTTGGGAAGTAGGGCTGCCCGTGCAAAGTTGCAAAGGTTGTTCACTAGAGTTGAGCAGTACCCCACCTATATGATCATATACAGTGGCCCTAGTAAGAAAAAGGTGTTTAAAGCATTTTTAAAATTATATATAAATAATATACAATGGCCCAAACCCTGGCTGGGTTTGGACAGAGTCTCACTCTGTCGCCCAGGCTGGAGTACAGTGGCACGATCTTGGCTCACTGCAAACTCTGCTTCCCAGGTTCAAACAATTCTCCCACCTCAGCTTCCCGAGTAGCTGGGATTACTGGGATTACCGGCTCGTGCCACCATGCCCCGCTAATTTTTGTATTTTTAGTAGAGACGGGGTTTCACCATGTTGGCCAGGCTGGTCTCGAACTCCCGACCTCAGGTGATCCACCTGCCTTGGCCTTCCAAAGTGTTGAGATTACAGGCGTGAGCCACCGTGCCTGGCTGGTTTGGGGATTTTCATATTGCATGTGACAGAAAACCTATCTGTAACTAGCTAAATAGCCCTTTCCCCTACTGCCCCCCAAAAGGCGGGGTTTATTGTATCATCTGATTCAGAAATCTACGCTGGGCTTGGTAGTTTGGTTTCGGGAACATCTGGATTCCAGGTCTCAAATGACATCATCGCTATTCATTTTTCTCTTTCTCTGGTTCTGCCCTCCACCACGTATCAGCTTTGTTCTGTGTTGGCCTCAGCCCCATTCTCAAGTTCACATTCAGCATGAAAAGGCTGATCACCTCTTCCAGTCACTCAAGCAAAAAGCCCCAGGTTTGCTGCAATGGGCTAGAATAGTTTGACTGTAATCACATGACCACCTCTAAGCCAATCTCTGTGGCCAGGCACCCCAGTGGTTGGTTTAGGCCTGGATCTTGTGACACACTCCTGAACACATGACTCGAGGGTGGGGCAGAGGCAGATCCTCACACAGAAGCTGGTGCGTGATTCCAGGTGGCTGATCAATCACCTGTGTCCACTGTGGTTGTAGTCAAGGGCGTGTGGGTTGTGCTGTGCTGGGCGTACACTAGTGTGTGCATTGGCCAGCTCGGGGTGCCACGTTATTGGCTTTGGGATGCTGGTTCCCAGGAGTGGCGGTGGGAAGATTCCACCTGCTTTCTATGGTAGGAAGGCAGGTCCTGGGGTGAGGGTGAGCCCCGAGGGGGACCAGTGGCCACTGTGGCTTGACCCGCAGGCCTTGACCTGAGCATTGCAGGCATAGTTTCCTGCCCCTGTAACTGCCAGATCGAGACCCAGTGAGACAGTGGTTTCCGTCGCCAGAGACTGAAATAGTGTATTCCCTGAGGACCCCTGAAGAAGCTTGGCTTTGCTACGAGCCAGACGTCCAGGTCACAAGTCTGGCTGGGACCCAAGGCTCAGTCCCTTTATAATAGCTGTTGAGTTCACGGAGTGAGTACAATTATGCATCCCCACTGAGGCTCAAGAGGTGAAGTCACATAGCCAGTTAGTGGTAGAGATGGGGCTTGAACCTGGGTCTTCCTGACTCACTCAGCTACCTTTCCATAGAAATAGGGACTGGAGGCCGGGCGCAGTGGCTCATGCCTTTAATCCCCAGCACGTTGGAAGGCCGAAGAGGGTGGATCACTTGAGGGCAGGAGTTCAAACAAAAAAATTAAAAAAAAAAAAAAAAAGAGAAAAAAGAAAAGAAATAGGGACTGGGAGGAGAAGATGTGGATGCCTGAGTGAGGTAGAGAAAGCTTTCAAGAAAAATCCTGATGTCTTTCAGCTGGAGTCCTATTCTTATCACAGGAGTAGATCCTTTCTTTGGGCCAAGGGAACCCCAGGATAGATAGAGACCCCTAGGAGGCTGGGCATCTTGCCTGGTGTTAGAACAGGCCTCCTGGAACTGACTTAAAGGCTAAGGAAGGTTCCTTGCTTGTTTGGGGAAATCCAACATCCTCCAGGTACCCAGTCTTCATGTGCAAATGTAAGAGTATCTGCCAAGTTAGGACTATGGATTGAGGCCACAGTTTTCCCAGGTTGACCCTGCCCAGGCACCCATTTGTCATAAAGGTTGTGACCTTTAGGCCAGGTGCAGTGGCTCACGCCTGTCATCCCAACACTTCAGGAGGCCAAGGTGGGAGGATTGCTTAAGGCCAGGAGTTCGAGACTAGCCTGGGCAACATAGTGAAACTGTGTCTCTACAAAAATAAAAAATTAGGTGGGCATAGTGACACACACCTGTAGTCCCAGCTACTCAGGAGGCTGAGGTAGGAGAATCACTTGAGCCCAGAGATCAAGGCTGCAATGAGCTCTGATTGCACAATTTTACTCCAGCCTGGGCAGCAGAACAAGACCCTTTCTCAAAAAATAAAACTTTACAAAAAAGAGGATGTGACTTTTTATGATATGGGAGAGAAGGAGCTACTGTTACCAAATAAAATTAGCAAGTAGAAAGGAAAAAAGAAAATTACAGTAGATTATACAAGTTTAGCTATCAGAGTATGAAGTTTCTGAATCCAGGATTGTTATGCTGTCCCATGGTATAAGAGACCCAGGTTCTGTTTGTCTCATAGCTCTTCCAGCCTCAGCACAGGGCCATCCGCCTCATGGTCTAGGGTAGCTGCTTGAGCTCCGGCAATCACATGTGCATTTCAGCCAGCAGGTTGGAAGGAGAGCCAAGGGGCACACTCCCTTTAAGAACCCTTCCCTATGGTTGCACACAGTCCTTCTTATATCCCATTGACTAAAACTTGTTCACATGTTTATATCTATCTGCAAAGGAGTCTGGGAAATGTATCCTGAGTGGCCACGTGACATGCTTAGCCAAAACCCGGTGGTTCTCTTATCAAGGAAGAAAGAGTGAACAGCTATTGGGGGATAGTTTGCCACAGCTGCCTTAAGAGCAAATTTATGACAACTCAAAAGCCATAAAACAGATGACACTCACTTAGCTCTGGAATGCATATCAAGTGCCTGCTGTGTACAAGGCGCTGTGCCAGGCAGGGTCACAGCTGCTTGTCTTCATTTCCCAGGGCCGAGGAGAACGTCAGGTCTGTGGTGGGACATGGCCGAGGGCCGAGCTCCCCACACTGTAAGATGAGGGAGTCGGCTCCGTGAATTAATTGGGTAAGGAGCCAGATTTGCTCGCTAGCAGCCCAGATCCTGAATCTGAGCGTGCTTTTTTTTTTGTTTTTTGCTTATTTGAGATGAGGTCTTGCTCTGTTGCCCAGGCAGTGGCACAATCTCAATTCACTGCAGCCTCTGCCTCCCCAGATTCAAGTGATCCTCCCACTTCAGCCTCCTGAGTAGCTGGGACTACAGGCACACACCACCACGCCCGGCTAATTTTTGTATTTTTTCGTAGAGACAGGATTTCGCCATGTTCCCCAGGCTGGCCTCGAACTCCTGAGCTCAAGCGATCTGCCCACCTTGGCCTCCCAAAGTGCTGGGATTACGGGCATGAGCCATCACGCCTGGCCCTGGATCTGAGCTTTTAACCACCGAACTACACTGTCTGGAGGTCTGCAGCTTGGGGCTGTGGTTCTGGCCCTCCTCCTGGCACTGTCCTGGCCCCCAGTGGCCGCTGACTAGGCTGGGCCTGCTGGCAGCTCCTGGCACCACGCCGTGTTGGTCAGCAGGGATTCTGGCCAAGGGCTGACCAGGGCAGAGTAGGCGCTGGGGCTGGGAGCAGCTGACAGTGAGGAGAGGCCAGTCCAGGGCTCAGGGAAGATTCTGGTGACAAGCAGGATCAGGTGGCTCTGGCATTGGATCCAGGCCTGTGACTGTGTCTTGCCCAGAGGATAAGAAACAAACTCAGTAGTTCACGTTGGTTTTCAAACGGTGAGTATAGAAATCAATGTGTGGGTGGTGTGTTAAGGAAAAAGATTAAACAGAAAGAAAAAACAGAGGACTTAAGTAGAATAGAAAATAGCAAGAGTGGGCCAAACACAGTGGCTCACATCAGTAATCCTAGTGCTTTGGGAGGCCAAGGTGGGAGGATCACTTGAGGCTGGAAGTTCAAGACCAGCCTGGCCAACATAGTGAGACTCTGTCTGTACAAAAATAAAAAACTTTAGCCGGGCATGGTGGCATGGACTGCTCTGGAGGCTGAGGCGGGAGGATCACCTGAACCCAGCTGTTGGAGGCTACAGTGAGCTGTGATCACACCACTGCACTCCAGCCAGGGCAACCTGTCTCTAAAAATAACATTTAAAAAAAAAAAATAGCAAGAGCGCATTATACAAAGTAAGGCTAAGCACAATTTCTTGAAATTTTACTGTCCATTTTATAAGCATGTAGTGGGTTAGGATATAAATATATTTCCTGCTTCGGTAGCCAGAGTACCAAAGCCTTGGCTCTAGAAGACTGTGCACCTGATGGACAGCACTGTCAAAAAAATTGGAATTATTGGTTTGATGTAAAAAAATTTTTAAACTAATTTACTTACTATTTTGTGTCTAAAGCAATCCAGCTTTGTAAAAAAGTTAAAGCAGTATAGAAACATACAAAGTTTTAAAAAGCTGGCCAGGCTCAGTGGCTCATATCTGTAATTCTAGCACTTTGGGAGGCCAAGACGGGCAGATCACTTGAGGTCAGGAGTTCAAGGCCACTGTGGCCAACATGGTGAAACCCCGCCTCTACTAAAAATACAAAAATTAGCTGGGTGTGGTGGTGGGCTCCTGTAATCCCAGCTACTCGGGAGGCTGAGGCAGGAGAATCGCTTGAACCTGGGAGGCAGAGCTTGCAGTGAGCCAAGATTGTGCCACCCCACTCCAGCCTGGGCAACAGAGCAAGACTCTATCTCAAAAAAAATTAAAAAATTAAAAATAAAAAGTTTCCTCCAGCTCTACAGCTGCTTATTTCGAGTGCTGTACAGTTCCTGTGGATTTTTCAGGGAAGTTTTCATGCATGTACACAGGTCCTTTTTCTTTTCTTTTCTTTTTTTGGAGACAGGGTCTTGCTGTATTGCCCAGGCTGGAGTGTTGTGGTGCAATTTCAGCTCACTGCAGCCTCTGGGCTCACTTGAACCTCCTGGGCTCAAGTGATCTTCCCACCTCAACCACCTGAGTAGCTGGGACTACAGGCACGCACCATCACACCCAGCTAATTTTTTGTATTTTTTTTGTAAAGTCAGGGTCCCATTATGTTGCCCAGGCTGGTCTTAAACTTCTGGGCTCAAGCGATCCTCCCACCTCGGCCTCCCAAAGTGCTGGGATTACAGACATGAACCACCACATCCGACTTTCTTTTCTTTAAAACTTTGGCTTTCTTGAGATAAAATTCACATACCTTACAATCTGCTCATTTAAAATGTACGATTCTGGCTGGGAGCAGTGGCTCATGCCTGTAATCCCAGCACTTTGGGAGGCTGAGGTGGGCAGATCACAAGTTCAGGAGTTCGAGAACAGCCTGGCCAACATGGTGAAACCCCGTCCCTAAAAAAAAAAAAAAAAAAAAAAAATACAAAAATTAGCTGGGCACAGTGGTGCGTGTCTGTAGTCCCAGCTATTTGGGAGGCTGAGGCAGGAGAATCACTTGAACCTGGGGGTGGAGGTTACAGTGAGCCGAGATTGTGCCACTGCACTCCAGCCTGGGTGACAGGGTGAGACTCCATCTCAGATAGATAGATAGTACAATTCAATGGTATATTCATAGTCATATAGCCACAGTCAATTTTAGAACCTTTTCATCAACTCAAAAGAAACCCCATACCCATTAGCAATCATTCCCCATTTCCCCCAACCATTCCCACCACCACACCCTACCTCCATCCTCAGGCAACCATTAATCTATTTTCTATTGCTGTTGCTTTGCCTTCTCTGGAAGTTTCATATACAGAGAATTAGTCAATGTATATAGTCTTTTGTCACTGCCTTTCACCTCCCCTAGTGGTTGTAAGTTTCATCCATATTGTAGTGTATGTCAGCACCTAGGAGTGGAATTGCTGGATCATACGGTAACTCAGTGTTTAACTTTTTGAGATGTTGTTTTTTTCTGTTTTTTTTTTTTTTTTTTGGTTTTGTTTTGTTTTTAGACAAGGTCTCACTCTGTCACCCAGGCTGGAGTGCAATGGCACAGTCTCAGCTCACTGCAACCTCTGCCTCCCAGGCTCAGGCAATTCTCTCACCTCAGCCTCCCAAGTAGTTGGGATTATAGGCATGCACCACCACGCCTGGCTACCTTTTATATTTTTAGTAGAGACAGGGTTTCGCCATGTTGGCCAGGCTGGTGCCAGAGTGTTTTCTAATTTCTTAATTTTTGGGTATGGCGTAAGGAAGGGGATCAACTTCATTTTTTTGCATGTGGATATTCATTTATCCCAACACCATTTGTTGAAAAGATTCTTCCTTCCCTGTTGAATCATCTTGGCTTGTTGAAAATCAAGTGACTGTAAAACTGAGAGTGAATTATCTTGGCACCCTTGTTGAAAATCAGGTGGCTGTAAATGTGACAGTTCTATCCTACAATCTTCCTGAACTCTTTCTTGATTATTTTTGTGTGTTTGTGGGTATGGGACCGTCCCCTTTCTAACAGTCACGGAGTATTTCATGGTGTAGAGAGAAATACTGTAATCTGTATAATGAGCTTCTATTGGACATTTGGGGTTGTTGGGTTTTGTTTTGTTGCTGTTACTGATTGTGCTACAGAAAGTGCTTTTAGGCCAGGCGTGGTGGCTCACATCTGTAATCCCAGCACTTTGGGAGGCCGAGGCAGGCGGATCACCTGAGGTCAGGAGTCCAAGACTAGCCTGGCCAACATGGTGAAACCCCGTCTCTACTAAAAATACAAAAATTAGCCGCGCGTGGTAGTGGATGCCTGTAATCCCAGCTACTCAGGAGACTGAGGCAGGAGAATTGCTTGAACTCGGGAGGCGGAAGTTGCAGTGAGCCGAGATCATGCCACTGCACTCCACAGAGCCAGACTCTGTCTCAAAGAAAAACAAACAAACAAAAAATGCTTTTAGGGCCACTCCTTCATTCTGGGAAAGTGCATTGAGTGCCTTCTCTGTGCCAAACACTTTTGGAGGTATTGGGCATACAGACAATAACAAAGTAAACGGGGTGATTTCAGTTTGAGAAAAGCACAATGAAGAAATGAAGCATGCCTGTAATCCCAGCATTTTGGGAGGCCAAGGCAGGAGGATCACTTGAGCCCAGGAGATTGAGACCAGTCTGGGCAACATAGGGAGACCCTGTTTTTACAAAAAACAAAGAAAATTGGCCAGGCTTGGTGGCATACACCTGTGATCCTAGCTACTTGGGAGGTTTGAGTGGGAGGATTGCTTGGGCCTGTGAGGTCAAGCAGTGACCTAGGTGAGCTAGGATTGCACCACTGTACTCCAGCCTGGATGACAGAGCAAGATTCTGTCTCAAAAAAAAAAAGAAAAGAAAAGAAAAAGAAAAAAGTCCGGATGTGGTGGCTCACGCCTGTAATCCCAGCACTTTGGGAGGCCCAGGCAGGAGGATCACCTGGGGTCAGAAGTTCAAGACCAGCTTAGCCAACATGGTGAAATGCCATCTCTACTAAAAATGCAAAAATTAGCTAGTTGTGGTGGTAGGCACCTGGAATCCCAGCTACGCGCGAGGCTGAGGCAGCAGAATCGCTTGAACCTGGGAGGTGGAGGTTGCAGTGAGCCAAGATCGCACCATTGCACTCCAGCCTGGGTGACAAGAGTGAAACTCTGTCTCAGAAGAAAAAAAAAAAAGAACAAAGAAAGAAATGGAACGGGGTGATATGCAAGGGAGTGATTGGATATGCATGTTGGGTTAAGGGTTCTTTGATTTGGGGATTCACAGAAGATTTCACTGAAGAGGCATCTGTGAGCTGTGAGCTCAATGATGAGAAAGAACCCACTGTTAGAAAGGTTGTTCCAGGCACAAGGAACAGCAGGTACAAAGGCTCGGAGGTCGGAATGAACTTAATGTGTTCACAGAACAGAAAGAAACCCAGTGTACCTGGAGAGCAGCCAGGGCCGGAGGAGAAGTGGGCAGCACGCTAGATGAACGCAGCTCTTGCAGCCTTACCAAGGCATTTGGATTTTATTATGAATGTGAAAGGAAGCTGCCAGGGGTGGGCGTTAAGCAGAGGAGTGCCTCGATCTAATTGATGTGCTAAAAAGAGCACTCTGCTTAAGAAGCCATTCCTTTCCCAACCTGGTTCCAACATTTGCAAACACTGAGTTCTTAAAAGTGGAATGACGACTGGGTCAGCGGGTTTCGAATTTAAAATGTGCCTGGGTGCTGCCAACTGCCTCCCCAAAAGATAGCTCTAGGTTTTACCCCAAGGGTGCCAGCTCCTGCGATAGCCTGCAGCATTTGGGGTGAGGGTCGGGCGAATTCGCAGCCCTGGGCCCCAGCACCCACTCTCTGGCCCTTGCTTTCCTTGTAGGACCTTCGCCTCTGCATTTGTCCAGTAACTCTGGCTGTGCCGGATACTGCTTGGGTAAAACGGGCACCCCAGGAACATGGCAGACGAAGATCTCATCTTCCGCCTGGAAGGCGTTGATGGCGGCCAGTCCCCCCGAGCTGGCCATGATGGTGATTCTGATGGGGACAGCGACGATGAGGAAGGTTACTTCATCTGCCCCATCACGGATGACCCAAGCTCGAACCAGAATGTCAATTCCAAGGTTAATAAGTACTACAGCAACCTAACAAAAAGTGAGCGGTATAGCTCCAGCGGGTCCCCGGCAAACTCCTTCCACTTCAAGGTGAGTGAGCCACCTATTCCACCTTCCCCACCTGGCTTAGCTGCTGTAAGGGATGGAGGGTTGGAGTCGCTGGTTGGGGACTTCTTCGTATTTCCAAACCCTGGACAGTGCTCTAAACTCTGAGCTGAGGATATACTTGTTAAGCAGGGAGGGTATTATTGATTTAAAATAAATTTCATTACCTTGGAACTGGGTGTTTTTCAAATAGTAGCCCAGGACACACTACGGAGTTGTGAAAACCTTTTGCTGAGTTTTGTCCAATGTTTTGTTTTGTTTGTTTATTTATTTTAGCTTTCTTTAGAGACAGAGTTCTCCTCTGTCACCCAGGCTGGAGTGCAGAGGTGCTGTTCTTTTTTTTTTTTTTTTTTTTTTTTTAAAGAAATGGAACAGAACAGAATAAAACAGCAACTATTGGGGAACATTGCAAACTGTAAAGATCTTATTTCTTTGTAAAAACGTTTATTTATTTATGGCAATAGAAAATCCCCAAACTAAGGACCTTATTTCTCTTTCTCTCTTTTTCTTTCTTTTCCTTCTTCTTCTTTTTTTTTTTTTTTATAAACGTGGTCTCGCTTTGTTGCCCAGGCTGCAGTGCAATGGCACAATCATGGCTTACTGCAGCCTTGAATTCCTAGGCTCAAGCAAGCCTCCCACCTCAGCCTCCTGAGTAGCTAAGATTATAGGCTTGTACCACTATACCCGGCTCATTAAAAAAATTTTTTTTGTAGAAATGGGGTTTCCCAGGCTGGTCTTGAACTACCACGCCCAGCCACTTGTTGTTAATTTTTTGAAAGAATTTATTTAACAACATAATTTTAGGTCAGGCGTGGTGTCTCACACCTGTGATGCCAGCACTTTGAGAGGACAAAAGGGAGGATCACTTGAGCCTAGGAGACCAGCCTGGGCAACATAGTGAGACCCTGTCTCTCAAAAAATAAAATAGGCTGGGTGCAGTGGCTTACGCCTGTAATCCCAGCAGTTGGGGAGGCCAAGGCAAGTGGATCACCTGAGGTAGGAGTTCTAGAGCAGCCTGGCCAACATGGTGAAACTCCATCTCTACTAAAATACAAAAAATTAGCCGGGTGTGGTGGCGCACACCTGTAATCCCAGCTACTTGAGAGGCTGAGGCAGGAGAATCACTTGAACCTGGGAGGTGGAAGTTGCGGTGAACTGAGATTGCACCACTGCACTCCAGCCTGGACAGCAAGAGTGAAACTCCTTCTCAAAAAATTAAAATAAAATAAATACATTTATTATTCATTTTATTTTTTTGTATTCCACTCTGCTGCCCAGGCTGGAATACAGTGGTGGGATCTCGGCTCACTGAAACGTCCGCCTCCTGGGTTCAAGTGATTCTTGTGCCTCAGCCTCCTGAGTAGCTGATATAACAGGCATGTGCCACCACACCCAGCAAAAGTTTTGTATTTTCAGTAGAAACAGTTGCACTGTGTTGGCCAGGCTGGTCTCAAACTCCTGGCCTCAAGTGATCCACCTGCCTCAGGTTCCCAAAGTGCTGGGATTACAGGCATGAGCCACTGCACCCAGCCTAAAATAAATTTAAAAACATAATTTTATTGAAAACCGTTTGGTAGGTGCCAGCGTGGGTACTTGATTACATGAAATTTGCATTTATTTATTACATATTATATATCTGTCACCAGGCTATGCACTGAGTACAGACAGGCAAACAGCAATTGTTTACAGACTTAACAATCTCCCCATTTATCAGCAGAGACATTCAAGCGGAGAAACAAATATAATAACTATTAGTTACTTTGATAGAAACTTGTTTTAGGGACACTGAAAAAAATGATCTCATTTAACATTTATAGCTATCTTGGCTGGGCACAGTGGCTCAAGCCTGTAATCCCAGCGCTTTGGGAGGCCAAGATGGTAGGATCGCTTTAGGCCAAGAGTTTGAGACCAGCCTGGTCAACATAGGAACACCCCATCTTTATTAAAGAAAAAAAAAAAGAAAAAATGCTTACAGCCATCCTATGTAGTTACAGCTATGAAGGATAAACCAAATTCTTTTTTTTTTTTTTTTTTTTTTTTTGAGATGGAGTCTCACTCTGTCGCCCAGGCTGGAGTGCAGTGGCACAATCTCAGCTCACTGCAACCTCCACCTCCCAGGTTCAAGCAAGACTAAATTCTTATGAATCATTACTTTTGAAACAATACCTAGTATTGTGTGTCACACATTATAGGTGCTTAATAAGTGTTATTTCCCTCTCTGTTGCCACATTCCAGGAGTGTGGTCCTAATAATTTGTCACTGATTATGAGAATTAATATATTTTTTAAAACCTTTCCACAAATTAATTACCTTTTCCCAAATTTGTTTACTGATTAAAAGCTCATACTGTGGGCTGGGCGCGACGGCTCACACCCGTAATCCCAGCACTTTGGGAGGCTGAGGCGGACAGATCACAAGGTCAGGATTTCGAGACCAGCCTGGCCAACATAGTGAAACCCATCTCTACTAAAAATACAAAAATTAGCCGGGCATGGTGTTACAATAAAACTCCAGCCAAGGAAAAGACAAAGAGACCTTTGGAAACCAAAGAGAACTTTATTTAATTCAGGTACCCGGGCCGACAGCAGGCCCACGCCTAAAATGGCTGCCGACTGGGACACAGAAAGCAGGCTTGCTTATATGTCGTTTGAGGAGGGAAAACAAGGCAGGATACAGGTTTCAGACAAAGACAGTAAATTATTTAACACGTGACAATTCTGAGAAAACATATAATTTAGTTATCTTGACCAGTCAACTTTGAAGCTGGACAGCTCGAGCTTCGGGGTAAGGGAAAACAGGAATTACAGAAATACGCGGGGGTCTGGAGGCAGGCAATAAGCTTGGAAGATTGAGATAAGCTCATAGCTGCAACTTGTTAGCAATGCTGGGAGGGGCTGCTTAAATTTCTTAGCCTATGTATAACTTCTAAATAACCTATACTTAATGTTAACTATTACTTATGTTTATTATTTTTAACTTTATTATTACTTATTTTATTTTCCTTCCACAATGGTGGTGCATGCCTGTAGTCCCAGCTTCTCAGGAGGCTGAGGCAGAAGAATCCCTTGAACCCAGGAGGCAGAGGTTGTGGTGAGCCGAGATCGCACCACTGCACTCCAGCCTGGGCAACAGAGGAGACTCCATCTCAAAAACAAAAAACAAAAAACAAAAACCTCATACTGTGGAAGGTTTCCGTCTCAAGTGTCTTCTACATTTGTCCAATTTTGTGTTGAATATTTTGAAAGCACCCCTGCATATGCGTGTATGTGGGTACAGAGACATATGTGCAATGTGATCCTTCATGTTGGTTATCGTAAAAAAACAAACAAAAAAACACTTTTTAGAGTTGGACATCCTTCTCTGGACTGAGGAAAAGTGTACTTATTTTGGTAGGGATTTGTGTTCATACCATAGCAAAGCTGGTATAAAGAAGACGGGGAGAAGCCGGGCGCGGTGGCTCACGCCTGTAATCCCAGCACGGGCAGGCAGATCACCTGAGGTCAGGAGTTTGAGACCAGCCTGGCCAACATGGCGAAACCCCGTCTCTACGAAAACACAAAAATTAGCCGGGCGTGTTGGTGCCACCTGTGGTCCCAGCTACTCGGGAGGCTGAAGCATGAGAATCACTTGAACCCAGGAGGCGGAGGTTGCAGTGAGCCAAGATTGTGCCACTGCACTCCAGCCTGGGTGACAGAGCGAGACTCCATCTCAAAAAAAGAAGAGGGGGAAAGGCGAACATTATTGGACTTTTTATAATAACTGGTGGGGGTAAAAAATCAAAAGTGCAATACCATTACCCTTTCTTAATCAAATCCTCACAAACAGTTAAGTATCAGTACTGTAAACAAAATGCCTATTACCACTTGGGGATTTGAAATTAAAAATAATCTTCCATAACTTCTGAATTAATCTGTTTTTAGAAAATTAATAATTTTAGTTCTTGGAGATAGTTGGGTAATGTTTTCCCTTTAGGCCTAGAGTTCTAGCTGGAGTTACTCTGGGGCAGGCAGCTCCAGAAATAGCCCCGTGGGTCTCCTCTGGGGTCCGGGGGCCCCTGAAGGGGCAGGTTTCCACTGATCCTGTTTCCTGTCCTAAGGCAGCTTTGAAATGAACACCCACCCCGAGGAGGACAGCTCAAGTGTCCGCAAGAGGGGCTGATTTAAATTACAGGCATTGGTTCTCACAGAATGCTGTGTTTACGTTAGAACAAAGTGATGTTTCTTTCCTTCTTTTTTTTTTTCGAGACAGGGTCTCACTCTGTCGCCCAGGCTGGAGGGCAGTGGTGTGATCCTGGCTCACTGCAACCTCCACTTCCTAGGTTCAAGTGATTCTTGTGCCTCAGCCTCCCAAGTAGCTGGAACCACAGGTGCACGCCACTATGCCCTGCTAATTTTTGTATTTTTCGTAGAGATAGGGTCTCGCCATGTTGCCCAGGCTGGTCTTTAACTCTTGGCCTCAAGTGATCCGCCCGCCTCAGCTTCCCAAAGTACTGGGATTACAGGCATGAGCCGACATGCCCAGCCTTTTCTTCTTCTTTTCTTTTTTCTTAGAGACACGGTCTTACTCTGTCACCCAGGCTGGAGTGCAGTGACATGATCATAGCTCATTGCTGCCTTGAACTCCTGAGCTCAAGCAATCCTCACACCTCAGCCTTCTGAGTAGCTAGGACCACAGGTACATGCCACCATGCCTAGCTGATTTTTAAAAAAATTTTTTGTAGATATGAGGTCTTACTATGTTACCCAGGCTAGTCCAAAGATGAAGATGATTCTATGTGATTTGACCTTTTTTGTTGTTGTTATTGTTTTACATTTTTTTGTAGAGAGAGGGTCTCATACTATGTTGCTTAGGCTGGTCTTGAACTCCTGGGCTCAAACAATCATCCCACTTCAGCTTCCCAAAGGGGGATTACAGGAGTGAGCCACCACGCCTGGCCATGATTTCACTCTAAAACAGTGCCTACTATTACATATAGTATGTGTGTGTGCAAATCCATAAAGAGCCTTTGGCACAAGCCTGGTCCATAATAAAGTCAAAAAATGTTAGCATTTTTATATATGTAGTTAAGTTAAAAAGCAAGTTGAAATATAGTATGATGCTTTTTTTTTTCTTTTCTGAGACAGAGTCTTGCTCCATCACCCAGGCTGGAGTGCAGTGGTGCAATCTCGGCTCACTGCAACCTCTGCTTCCCAGGTTGAAGCAATTCTCCTGCCTCAGCCTTCCGAATAGCTGGGATTACAGCCGCCCGCCACCACGCCTTGCTAATTTTTTATTTGTTTATTTATTTATTTATTTTTTGTATATTTAGTAGAGACGGGGGTTTCACCACGTTGGCCAGGCTGGTCTTGAACTCCTGACCTCGTGATCCACCCACCTCGACCTCCCAAAGTGCTGGGATTACAGGCATGAGCCACCACGCCCGACCTGATCCTATTTTTATTAAAAATGTATATACATATATATTGGTATCTGCATAGCAAAAACCATTTGAAGGGGAAGTTTGCACCCAGCAGTTAGTGGCAGTTCTCTCTATGGGAGAGGTACCATTAAAGGGGGGCTTTGTATATTTTTTAAACATTTTAAACTTTTAAAGTTACACATATGTATCACTTATGTGGAGAAAAAGATGTTGTTAAGAAAAATAAAGTAAAATAACCAGGTAACTTCCTCTTCCTCAAATACATTGATAAATACCCCCTCCTCAAAACTCATCACTTCTGGCCGGGCACGGTGGCTCACACCTGTAATCCCAGCACTTTGGGAGGCTGGGGCAGGTGGATCACGAGGTCAGGAGTTTGAGACCAGCCTGACCTACATGGTGATACCCTGTCACTACTAAAAATACAAAAATTAGCCAGGCATGGTGGCACATGCCTGTAATCCCAGCTACTCAGGAGGCTGAGCCAGGAGAATCACTTGAACCTGGGAGGCTGAGGTTGCAGTGAGCCAAGATCGCGCCATTGCACTCCAGCCTGGGCAACGAGAGCGAAACTCTGTCTTAAACAAACAAAAAAAAAAAAAAAAAAAAAAGCTTCATCACCAGGATGGGAGTGTCTTCTAGGTCCCTCCGCTCCAGGACCTTTCTAGGCTCTGTTCATCCCCTCCACTCACACACATCTGGAAGCTCCTGGAATGGGCTTCCCTTTTTCACACCTCTGCCTTATAAAATTTCTTTCAACTGATGTCCTGGTCTATCAAAATTACAGTTCTGCCTCCTTCAGAACCCAGCTTTAATTTTTATTTTTTTAATTTTAAAGACAAGGTCTTGCTGTGTTGCCCAGGCTGGAGTACAGTGGCATGATCATAACTCACTGCAGCCTCTAACTCCTGGGCTTGAGCGATCCTCCCACCTCAGCCTCCTGAGTAGCTGAGACCACAGGCGTGCACCACCACACTTGGCCAACTTCTTAATTTTTTTTTGGAACGATGGGGTCTCATTACGTTGCCCAGGCTGGTCTTGAACTCCTGGCCTCAAGCAGTCCTCCTGCCTCAGCTTCCCAAAGTGTTGGGATTACAAGCATAAGCGATTGAGCCTGGCCCAGAGCCCAGATTGAAGACAACCTTTCCAGGCTTTCTGCTCTGCCTTCCGTGGGGCTCTTAGCAGACCTTTATGTGTGTGAGTCATTCTCCAGTGTCGTTCTTTGTTTGAGTCAGCACCTGACTGCAAGAGTAGGGTTGTGTCTGATGCGACCTCCATTCCCTTGGTCCTGCGTAGTAGGACTTGATAAAATGTTTGACTGTGTGTGGACGGGAGTTGGCACTTCATTGCTTACTTTCTAGGTTATCGAAAGCAGGCTCTGTTGGGTTAGTGTTGCCAGGGGTGGCTTCAGAGGGAGACAACAGCTCAGCTTTCCAACCTTTGTTCCCTCAGCATCCCATAAACCTAAGTGGTTTTTTTTTTAACGCACTGTGACCTGGAAACTTGGATTGTTTAACCAAAATGGCCCGCTGGCCTCCCTCCAAGGAACACACCCAGCAGGTATTGGGTGTGGATTGTGAAAGGTCAGATTCTATCGCTGTCAAGCCCAGCCTTCTGCCCAAGCTCCCGTGGAGACGTGGCAGAACCATTCAGGGGGCCGCCCTCTCCATAGAATATCAGGCAGTCATCCAAAGATGTTTATAGAGTTTATGATAACGTGGGAAAGTGCCTCTGCTCCAGAGTTAAATCTAAAAAGAATACAGCATGATTATAGCTCTGTGAAACTCGCACGTACACATACAGCCAAGGCCTGAGGGGAAGCACATCACCAGGGCAGCAGGAATTGTCTTTGGATTGGATTAGGAGGGACTGTGTTCCTTTTCTCCTTCTCTGTCATTTCTACATTTTCTAGAATAAGCATAGGGAGCAAATACATGTTTTTAATTTGTTATTAAGGTGGGAAATTTTATTTTTAAATATTATTTTCAGCCAGGTGCACTGGCTCATGTCTGTAATCCTAGGACTTTTGGCGGCCGAGGCAGGTAGATCACTTGAGGTCAGGAGTTCGAGACCACCCTGGCCAACATGGTGAAACCCCGTCTCTACTAAAAATACAAAAAAAAAAAAAATAGCCGGGCATGGAGGTGGGCACCTATAATCCCAGCTACTCCACAGGCTGAGGCAGGAGAATCACTTGAACCTGGGAGGCAGAGGCTGCAGTGAGAGATTGCACCACTGCCCTTTAGCCTAGGCAACAGAGCGAGACCCTCTCCCCTGCCCCCTGGCAAAAAAATATTTTCCTGATCTGAGAATATCTCAGAGCTCATTCCACATCAATACACATAGATCACCTTATTTAAAAAAATTTCTTTTGAGATAGGGTTGCCCAGGCAGAAGTGCAGTGGTGTGATCATAGCTCACTGCATTGAAATCCTGGGCTCAAGTGATCCTCCCACCTCAGCCTCCCGAGTAGCTGGGACCACAGGCATGCACCACCATGCCCAGCCTGTTGTTGGTTATTTAATGGCTGAATATCATTTCATTGTTGGAAGCACCATAATAAATGTAGCCAGCCCCTCCTTGTAGGGTATGTAGGTTATTTCCAGTCTTGTCCTGCCACAAACAGCACTTCCTTGTGCATGTGTCTTTGCACCCATGAATGGGCGTGCCCACCAGAGGACCCCCCCCAGAGGTGAACTGGCTAGGCAAAACGTTTGTGTGTTTAAACTGGGATAGGTGTTGTCGGTTGCTCCTCAAAGAGGTTACACCATCGTGTGTGCCCCCCATGATGGGTGGGTACACCTGCTTCCCATGCCCTTATTTGGCCAACTTTGGTGATTACACTCATACTTGTAACCCACTGAGGGCAGCTCTAACAGCATGATCAAAGAATAATGATTGCCTTGGGAGGCCGAGGCTGGTGGATCACCTGAGGTCAGGAGTTGGAGACCAGCCTGACCAATATGGTGAAACTTCATCTCTACTAAAAATACAAAAATTATCTGGGCGTGGTGGTGTGAGACTGTAGTCCCAGCTACTCAGGAGGCTGAGGCAGGGGAATCACTTGAACCCGGGAGGCGGAGGTTGCAGTGAGCCAAGATCGCACCACTGCACTCCAGCCTGGGCAACAGGAAAAAAAAAAAAAAATTTTAGCAGTTTTTGGAAATATAATTCACATGCCATACAATTTACCCATTTAAAATGTACTATTCAAAGCCTTTGAGTATATTCATAAAATTATGCATCCATCACCACAACCACTTTTAGAACATTTTACCCAAAAACTAAATTCTATACCCCTTAGCCATCACGCTCTAATATACACATCCCACCCAGCCCCAGGCAAACACCAGTCCACTTTCTGCCTCTCTGGACTTGCCTTTTCTGGACGTTTTACATAAATAGAATCATACAACATGTGGCCTTTTATGTCTGGCTTCTTTTGCTAAGCATAATGTTTTTTGTTGCTTTTTTTTTTTTTTTTTTTTTTAGGGGCGGTTTCACTCTGTTGCCCCTGCTGGAGTGCAGTGGTGCCATCTCTGCTCACTGCAACCTCTGCCTCCCAGGTTCAAGTGATTCTCTTGCCTCAGCCTCCTGAGTAGCTGGGATTACAGGCAACATGGTGAAACCCCATCTCTACTAAAAATACAAAAAATTAGCCGGGCATGGGGGCGCACACCTGTAGTCCCAGTTACTGGGGAGGCTGAGGCGCAAGAATTGTTTAAACCTGGGAGGCAGAGATTGCAGTGAGCTGAGATTGTACAACTGCACTCCAGCCTGGGAGACAGAGCAAGACTGTGTCTCAAAAAAAAAAAAGTGCAGATATTTTGCTATTAAGATCTTAGTGTATAGTTCAGACTTTACTGTATTTCACTTTAAATATACACAAATATGGACATTTTGTTGCTACTGTAGAATCATGCTATATATGTCTTCAGTAACCAGTTTTTTTCGGCAAGCAAGAAATCATCATGTCTTTTCAGATCAGTAAATATGGATGTAGTGTCTTGATGGCTCTGTCAGCCCATTGTATGGCTACACCACAGTTTCTTTAAGCATTGCCTCTTGTGGGATACTTAGGCAGTTTCCACGTTTGTTTGTTTTTGAGATGGAGTTTCGCTCTTGTTGCCCAGGCTGGAGTGCAATGGCACGATCTCAGCTCACTGGAACCTCTGCCTCTCGGGTTCAAGTGATTCTCCAGCTTCAGCCTCCCAAGTAGCTGGGATTACAGGCATGCACCACCACGCCTGACTAATTTTGCATTTTTTAGTGGAGATGGGGTTTCTCCATGTTGGTCAGGCTGGTCTCGAACTCCTGACGTCAGGTGATCTGCCTGCCTCAGCCTCCCAAAGTGTTGAGACTACAGGCGTGAGCCACCGCGTCTGGCCAGTTTGTTTGTTTTTTAAGAGATAGGGTCTCATGCTGTTGCCCAGGCTGGAGTGCAGTGGCACAATCATGGGTCACTGTAGCCTCGACCTCCTGAGCTCAAGTGATCCTCCCACCCCAGCTCCCCAGGTAGTTGGGACTAAAGGCATGCGCCATCACGCCTGGCTAATTTTTGTATTTTTTTTTTTGTAGAAATGGGGTCTTGCTATGCTGCCCAGGCTGCTCTGGAACTCCAAGTGTCAAGTGATCCTCCTGCCTTGGCCTCCCAAATTGCTGGGATCACAGGCATGACCACTGTGCCTGGTTTCCAGTTTTTTGCTGCTGTATTCCATGCTGGGTTCCACTGATAATTGTACCAAACCTCTAAGTGCATGTGGCATAGATTGTGGCCTCTACACACCACTGTTGGTCTCTTTCCATTCCAGAGCCTCACTGTGTTCCCCCACTTCTTCCCGCTTCTTTTATTTGAGCCCTTGAGTTTGGTTAAGCCCATTACTGCTCTGCAGGAGGGGAGAGTAGTTGGGCTGTCTCTGAGTTGTATTTCTTTTTTTTTTTTTTTGCCTCGACTTCCCAGGTTCAGGTGATCCTTCCACCTCAGCCTCCTGAGTAGCTATTACTACAGGCGCATGGCACCATGCCTGGCTAATTTTTTGTATTTGTAGTAGAGGCAGGGTTTCGCAATGTTGCCTAGACTTCTGAGCTGTATTTCATAAAGTCTGCAGAAGTGATGATGGGGAAAAAAATGATTTTATAACATGAAGTGACTGTAACAGGTGATAAAGGCTTGGGTGAGTCACTGGATGTGTCCTCAAGTAACCAGGGGCCTTGATTACTGTGATAATGGCAATAATAACAGTAATATAAAATTGGCAACAACAGTGATAACATCCCACGTGCCAAAACATTTGCAAACACATTGCCGGCACTCCACCCTCACTCCTGGCATACTCGATGAAGTAAATTATTATTACTATAGTAATCATTATTATTATTTCCATCTCCCTTTCCTGGTATATAATTATTATGATTTCACTATTATTTATTTTTATTTTGTACTCTCAGACTTTGAAGAACCACAGCCTTTCTATTCTGTAGCCAGAATTATGTTTTCCTTTTTTTATGAAATATCCACAGACCTCTTTTTTTTTTTTTTTTTTTTTTTTTTTTGAGACAGAGTCTTGCTCTGTCACCCAGGCTGTAGTGCAGTGGTGCAATCTCAGCTCATTGCAACCTCCACCTCCTGGGTTCAAGCGATTCTCATGCCTCAGCCTCCTGAGTAGCTGGGAGCACAGGCACACGTCACCACGCCCAGCTAATTTTTATATTTTTTGTAGAGAGGGGGTTTCACCATGTTCACCAGACTGGTCTCAAACTCCTGGCCTCAAGTGCTCCACCTATGTCGGCCTCCCAAAGTGCTAGGATTACAGGCATGAGCCACCACACCCGGCCCATAGCCCTCTGTTCTATGTAAGATTAATTAACCTACTCAACAACTGAGTTCCGGAATCCTTAGAAATAGAGGATATTAGAGCTGGCACGGCCTTAAGAATCATCTAACCTGGCCAGGCGCAGTGGCTTATGTCTGTAATCCCAGCACTTTGGGAGGCCAAGACAGGTGGATCACTTGAGTCCGGGAGTTTGAGACCAGCCTGGGCAACATGGTGAAACTCTGTCTCTACAAAAATACAAAAAATTAGCCAGGCGTGGTGGCGTGTGCCCATAGGCCCAGCTACCCGGGAGGTTGAGGTGGAGGTTGAGGTTTCAGTGAGCCATGATTCCATTACTGCACTGCAGGCTGCGCAACAGAGTGAAACCCTGTCTCAAAAAAAAAAAGAAAAGAAGAAAACTCGTCTAACCCAGTAATTTTTGTTTCTTAACTTTGATTTACACAGGCATTACCTAAATACATTCTCATTGTAAAAAGAATGCAAACAACATAGATAAACTGAGGTCTCTTTGAGCAACTTCTTATCCCTTTCTATTCCCAGAGATAAGAATTATATTAGTTTCATATAAATTACTTTTCAGACCTCTTTTTGTGCATTTGCATATAAGTATACATTTGTGTGTATGTCTACAGACACACACATCCTTAGAAAATCCATGGTATTGATTTGTGGGTTTCCGCCACCAGTAAGTGGTATCATAGTGTTTGTATTGTTCTGTAACTTGCTTTTTTCCCCCCTAAACAATAGGTCTTAGAAATTGCCCATGCTGGGTGCGGTGGCTCACGCCTGTAATCTCAGCACTTTGGGAGGCCAAGGTGAGTGGATCACCTGAGGCCAGGAGTTCAAGACCAGCCTGACCAATATGGTGAAACCTGATCTCTACTAAAAATACAAAAATTAGCCGGGTGTGGTGGCACTCACCTGTAATCCCAGATACTCAGGCAGCTGAGACAAAATTGCTTGAACCCAGGAGACGGAGGTTGCAGTGAGCAGAGATGGCGCCACTGCACTCCAGCCTGGACGACAGAGTGAGACCACGTCCCCCACTCCCTGCCCGGGGGGAATACAAAGATCACCCGTGCTAGCATCTTATTTTGAGTATACCAAGTGTATGTGATCATCCCCCTACAGATGGGCAGTTTGTACTGCCTGATCATTATGGCATTATAAGTGCTGACCTTGAGGCTAGAGTTCAAGACCACCCTGGACAACATAGAGAGACTGTCATCTCTACACACACACAATTTTTTAAATTAGCTGGGCATGATGGTGAGCACCCATAGTCCCAGCTACCTGGGAGGCTGAGTTGAGAAGATTCGTTGAGCCCAGGAGTTGGAGGCTTCAGTGAGCTATGATCCCACCACTGCACTTCAGCCTAGGCAACAAAGTAATAAATACCTGGTCTCAAAAAAAAAGAAAAAAGGAAAAAAAAAAAAAAAAAAAGCACTGATCATCCTTGGACCAGCTTACCTGGACACACCTGGGTAGGTGATAGGAATGGCTGGGTCAGAAGTCGGTGCAGAAGAAGGTTCATAGCCACTGCCAGGTGGCTCTCAAAGATGGCAGTACCTGCTTCCATTCCCCACCTGATGGTAACATTACTGGTGATTTGTAGCTCCAGCAGGAGTCACCCATAATAAGCACTGCCACCCCAGTGAGCCACTGTTTTTGGTGGGAGTGTGTCTACCCTGGGTGCAGGGGCCACAAAAAAGTGGACCACCAGCAGCCAAAACCTTCTTCATCCTTGTTTGTAAACAAGGAAATGGAGGTTCCCACAGCCAGTCAGTAAGCTGGAACCAGAGTCAGGGACATGAATGTTAGTACAGTACTTTTTATACTGTGCTTATTAAAAAAAAAAAAGTCAGTTGCATTAATCCCACCTGTTGCCAATAAGGTCTGGCATGACTCTGTTCTGGGTTTGGAAAAAAGGTAATTTTTATTCTATGAAATACCACACCCTCTAATTCTGCAGTACTTTCCTCCCTGTTTTGTGGTTGGTGCCACGGCATCCAGCCAGGAGGTAATTTCTGTTGCTAATCTTCACTGAATGGGGACGGTCCCTGTTAGTGGCTTACGGAGTGGCGGAGTCGTTTGAGAGAGGCACTGTCAGAGAATTGTGTGTCGTAGACAGAGAACAGGGCACCTGTACAGACATGCTTGGAAGGGTGGCCTGCTGAATTCTCAACCCTGCAGGCTCTCCTGACAGGTGGAGGTCGAAGGCTGTCCCTGCCATTTGTAGCAGCCGGAATATGAGCTGAGACTGGTGCTTTAAGTTACGGGGATTGGGCTGGGCGTGGTGGCTCATGCCTGTAATCCCAGTGCTTTGGAAGGACAAGGCAGGAGGATCACTTGAGCCCAGAAGTTTGAGAACAGCCTGGGCAACATACCGAGATCCTGTCTGTACAGAAATTTAAAAAATTAGCCAGGCATGATGGCAAGCGCCTGTCATCCCAGCTATTCGGGAAGCTGAAGCAGGAGGATCACTTGAACCCAGGAGTTTGAGGCTGCGGTGAGCTGTGATCATGCCACTGCATTCCAGCCTGAGTGACAGAGCAAGACCCTGTCTCTTTAAGAGAAAAAGTACAGGGGCCAGGCTCATGCCTGTAATCCCAGCACTTTGGGAGGCCGAGGCAGGCGGATCACAAGGTCAAGAGATCGAGACCATCCTGGCCAACATGGTGAAACCCTGTCTCTACTAAAAATACAATAATTAGCTGGGCGTGGTGGCGCAAGCCTGTAGTCCCAGCTGCTCAGGAGGCTGAGGCAGGAGAATCGCTTGAACCCAGGAGGCAGAGGTTGCAGTGAGCCGAGATCATGCCACTTCACTCCAGCCTGGTGACAGAGCCAGACTCCATCTCAAAAAAAAAAAAAAAAAAAAGGTACAGGGACCGAAATTCAGAAAAATGTTTTAGACATACACATGTCTGCTGTGGGGTTATTTACAACAGGGAGCAATCAGTGACAAGCTTGAAGTCTAACAGTGGAGAGCAACAGGTGAATAATCAAGTCAATAACAAAAAAGTTATACAGTAGATTATTATGCAACTATTAAAGCAGGATGCAAATAACTTATAAATTTTATAGTTATCTGATGTACTGTCTGTGCCAAAAGAATTTTAGTGATTTGTTTACTGCTTCTTGGAGTATAACTTGGGATAAATTTTTTGGCAGAGAACTCAGTCATTTCTAGATTTTAAATGTGATCCAGCAGTTACATTTCCCAAAAAATATGTACTACTGAGATCTTGCACAAGCGCCCAAGATTTGGATAGGAAGATGTTCACTTCAGCACTGTTTGTACTAGGAAATGTTGGAGGGAACCCAAACATTATTCAATTGGAGGTTAGGCAAATACCTTAAGGTACATTTATATAATTATATATCTGGTAGTTCTGGAAATGAAAGGAGGTTACCCCAGCCAGTCTGCACATATGACATGGAAAGATGTCCAAGATCTTACATTAAGAAAAGTCAGATGCACAACAGAACATGTGGTGTGGTCCAATTGCTCTTTCTTTTTATTTTGTTTTATTTTTATTTTTTTGAGATGGAGTCTCACTGTGTCGCCCAGGCTGGAGTGTAGTTGTGCTCTCTTGCCTCACTGCAACCTCCGCCTCCTGGGTTCAAGCGATTCTCCTGCCTCAGCCTCCCAAGTAGCTGGGATTACAGGCTCGTGCCACCATGCCCGGCTAATTTTTGTATTTTTAGTAGTGACAGGGTTTTACCATGTTGGCCAGGCTGGTATCAAACTCCTGACCTTGTGATCTGCCTGCCTCAGCCTCCCAAAGTGCTGGGATTACAGGTGTGAGCCACCGCGCCCGGCCTAAACTGCTCTTAAATATGTGTTTATGTTCACAGAGGCATAGGAAAAAATTTTGCAGAATGTCTACATCAACTGTCAGCTGTGGTTTTCAGAGGAAGTGGATTAGGGAGGACTTCCGCTTTCTAATTCAGAGTTCTATAGTGCTTGCAGTTTTTATGTGATGTGGATCATACTTTGGAATCAGAAAAAAAAATTGAGATCACTAAATAAAGCACAAAATCCCATTGACCCACTCTTCTGTAAGGAGGTGAATTATATTTTATGGTATGATACCAATCTTATTAAAAAATGCATGTAGGCCGGGCAAGGTGGCCACGCCTGTAATCCCAGCACTTTGGGAGGCCAAGGCGGGTGGATCACCTGAGGTCAGGAGTTCGAGACTAGCCTGGCCAACATGGTGAAACCCCGTCTCTACTAAAAATACAAAAATTAGCCAGGCATGTTGGCTCACGCCTGTAATCCCAGCTACTCAGGAGGCTGAGGCAGGAAAATTGCTTGAACCCAGGAGGTTGCAGTGAGCTGAGATCACCCCACTGCACTTTAGCCTGGGTGACAGAGGGAGACTGTCTCAAAAAAAAAAAAAAAAAAAAAAAAAACATATAGAAGATCTGGAAAAGAATTAGTCTACGGCATTGCTCCAGTGGATGGTATATGGTGGATTTGACTTTTGTCTTCTGTATTCTCCAACTTTTAAATTAAGTCTAAATTAGCTACCAAAATAGAAGAAAAGAATTACAGGCTTTATTTTTTGAACTCTGCAGAGGTAAAAAAGCCCCAGCAGGCTAGGTGCAGCAGCTCATCTCTGTAATCCTAGTTCCTTGGGAGGTTGAGGCAGGAGGATCACTTGAGGCCAGGAGTTCGAGACCAGCCTGGGCAACAAACGTAGTGCAACCCGGTCTCTGCAAAATAAAAATAAAAATAAAAAAATTAGCTGGGCATGGTGACACACAAGTGTAGTCCCAGCTACTCAGGAGGCTGAGGCAGGAAGATCGCTTGAGCCCAGGAGTTTTGAGGTTGCAGAGAGCTATGATCACACTACCACCACGTAGCCTGGACAACAGAGAGAGACCTTATTCCTATTTAAAAAACAAAACAAAAACCCAAAAACAAAAGAAAGCCCTAGAGAGAGTGAGAGGCCTGGGCTCTGTGTGTGTGTATTGGAAGGCCCAGCTCCACTGCCTGAGCTGCTTCTATTTTGAGCAGGACCCAGTGCTGGGGATGAGGTGAAGCCCTGTTTGGGCTGAGTCCTTGGGAAGCTGGACTCTTTTTTTTGGGTACAGAGTCTTGCTCTGTCACCCAGGCTGGAGTGCAGTGGCCTGATCTCCATTCACTGCAACCTCCACCTCCTGGTTCAAGCGATTTTCCTGCCTCAGCCTCCCGAGTATCTGGGATTACACGTATGCACCCAGCTTTTTTTTTTTTTAAAGTAGAGACGGGGTTTCACCACGTTGGCCAGGCTGGTCTCGAGCTCCTGACCTTGGATGATCCATCTGCCTCGGCCTCCCAAAGTGCTGGGATTACAGGCGTGAGCCACCATGCCTGGCTACTCTCAATAGGTTTTGATAGATTTGGGAGTTCTTTTGGGCCATCATAATGATGGGGTGGTGGGCACTGCTGGCATAGAGTTAGGGAAGGCCGGGAATGCCAGCAACCCTGAAACAGGGCTGTTCTGCACGATGAATTTTCCTGCATCCCACAAGATCTTGGAACAGCTCATGGGAATCGTTTCATAATTATCTGAGGCCAGAGTTAAATGCTATGTTATGTGTAAAGGCGGCGTATCCTTTGGGAGGCTGAGGTGGGAGGATCGCTTGAAGTTCAAGACCAGCCTGGGCAATATGGTGAGACCCTGTCCCTACAGAAAATTAAAAAATTAACCAGGTATGGTGGCTCAGCCTGGGGTCCTAGCTACTCAGGAGGCTGAGGCGAGAGGATCACCTGAGCCGTGATCATGCCACTGCACTCCGGCCTGGGGACAGGGTGAGACCCCGTCTCTTGAAAAAAAAATAAAAAATAAAAAAGGCAACATATCTTTGGCATGGTTCTAGCTCTGAGCTTAGAAATTTATGTTATCTATGAATTTCACATAGGGCAGTAAAATGGGGTGTTATATAATATTTATTATAAAAAGAGGTCATTGGGTCTGGTAAGGTCAAGAATCTCCACCAGAGATGCAGCCTATTTTTTTTTTTTTTTTTTTTCTGAGACAGGGTCTCCCTCTGTCACTCAGGCTGGAGTGCAATGGCACAATCTCGGCTCACTACAACCTCTGCCTCCTGGGTTCAAGCGATTCTCCTCTCTCAGCCTCCCAAGTAGCTGGGATTACAAGCGTGTGCCACCATGCCCAGCTAATTTTTGTATTTTTAGTAGAGACAGGGTTTCACCGTGTTGGCCACACTGGTCTCAAACTCTTGACCTCAGGTAAACCACCTGCCTCGGCCTCCCAAAATGCTGGGATTACAGGCACGAGCCACTGCACCCAGCCCAGCCTAGAAAAGTTTTATACCCCCGATGGTGTGTGAGGGTACCCGTTCCCTGATATCCGGGCCAGCACTCGCTAAAATGTTTCATCTCATTAAAATAATTGCCAGCCTGCTGTAATCCCAGCACTTTGGGAGGCCGAGGCTGGTGGATCACTTGAGGTCAGGAGTTTGACACCAGCCTGGCCAACATGACGAAACCCCGTCTCTACCAAAAAGTACAAAAATTAGCCAGGTATAGTGGTGTGCACCTGTAGGTCCAGCTACTCCCAAGGCTGAGGTGGGAGGATCGCTTGAATCCAGGAGGCAGAGGTTGCAGTGAGCCGAGATTGCACCACTGCACTCCAGCCTCGGCGACAAAGTAAGACCCTGTCTCAAAAAAAAAAAAAAAAAAAAAGAGGCCGGGCACAGTGGCTCACGCCTGTAATGTCAGCACTTTGGGAGGCCAAGGCGGGTGGATCACTTGAGGTCAGGAGTTCGAGACCAGCCAGGCCAATGTGGTGAAACCTTGTTTCTACCAAAAAATGCAAAAAGTAGCAGTGCGTGGTGGCGGGCGCCTATAATCTCAGCTACTTGGGAGGCTGAGGCATGAGAATTGCTTGAACCCGGGAGGTGGAGGTTGCAGCGAGCCAAGATCACATCACTGCACTCCAGCCTGGGTGACAGAGTGAGACTCTGTTTCTATATATATATATACGTTATATTCTGTTTCTATATATGTATTGTGTGTGTGTGTGTGTGTGTGTGTGTGTGTGTGTGTGTGTATATCCTATATAATATATATATAATGAAATGTTAGCCAACCTGAATGGGGGAATGGTATCCTATTTTCATTCTCAACTCTTTGATCCAAGCGTTGTGTAGTTAAGATGTGCCATTTCTGCCCACAGGGAGGCTGTGCCTGTGAGTGCAGATAGGTTCTTTTGGGGACTGTGTTCCTGAAAGGCTACTAGACAGGAGTCTCTCTCTGTCCTGATACTGTCTGCCTCTCCAGAGGAAATAACAGGGCAGGAGGAGTCCACGCTGTCCCCAAAGCCCCTGACCTGGGCCTGATGTTCCTACCTTCTCCTTTGCCTTCCACAGGAAGCCTGGAAGCACGCAATCCAGAAGGCCAAGCACATGCCCGACCCCTGGGCTGAGTTCCACCTGGAAGATATTGCCACCGAACGTGCTACTCGACACAGGTCAGCAGCTTGTGTGGGGTCTCGAGGAGTCCTGGGGGCTATACGTCCAGCTTCTGTTCCCAATCAGTGAGGCCTAAGTACTCTTGGGGGTCAGGGGAAGGGAGTAATCATAACAGCAGCTAATATTGGCATGCTAATGCGTGCTTAAGGCCCGGTGCATTACCTCACTGAATCCTTCTCGTGGTTCTCACAAGGTACCTATTAGACAGGCTAGACTGAGCTAGTTTTTTTAAATTGTTGCAGATCTCTGGCCGGGTGAGGTGGCTCTCACCTGTAATCCCAGCACTTTGGGAGGCTGAGGTGGGCAGATCACTTGAGGTCAGGAGTTCAAGACCAGCCTGGCCGACATGGTGAAACCCCATCTCTACTAAAAATACAAAAATTAGCCATAGCCAAGCGTGGTGGCTGGCACCTGTAATCCCAGCTACTCAGGAGGCTGAGGCAGGAGAATCGCTTGAACTCAGGAAGTGGAGGTTGCAGTGAGCTGATATAGCACTGCTGCACTCCAACCTGGGCGTCAGAGTAACACTCCATGTCAAAAATAAAATAAAATAAAATTGTTGCAAATCTCTGAAACATTTTCCAATATATTGATTGAAGAAAGTCCATTTATAAGTAGACCCACGCACTTCAAACCCATGTCATTCAAGCATCAACTATACTTGCCCTGGGCCGGTGCAAACTGTGCAGCTCTGGAGAGCTTTCCTCCCTCTGAGCCTAGGGGAGGTTAACCTGCCAGGCCTCTGCTTGTTTTTCCCGGTGGAGGCATCAGGCTCTGGGAAACCTGTTCTCACCGAGGGTGGGGTGTTCTGGAGTCTGCCCCGGCTGAGAGGTGCGCTAAGGGAAACCTCCAACTAGAGTTAAGAACACCTCAGCCCGGAGGGAGGTTTCAAACTTTAGGGATCCATTGAGCTGAGGAGATTTCCACCAGGCAAACTTGTGTGAGGCCTGGCCAGGCCCAGGGGCTGATTTACTCTGGGAAAGGAGAGATGGAAATGTTCCCTGAACCCTCTCCAAGCTCTCTCTGCCTTAGGTATGCACCTATCTGTGACAAAAACAAACTTAATTTAACCTACTGTACCCTTACAACACAGAATGCTTCTGTGAGCTCAAAATGTGTGGCGGTTTCTCCCCACCCACAAGCAAGTAATCAGCTCTGCAGTGGACACCAGCAGATGTGCGTCTAATTCTGTTCCTCTAATTGAAGGAATTAGAGGAGTTTTGAGTTGGGTATCCTATGATTCAATTCAATTCTGACACCATCTACCTGGAGATAGCATCAGATCCCACAGGTTGGAGGCTCAGTCCTACAAGACCGTCCCCGACTTTCACTGCTGATCGCAAGCCCGAAGTGGTTTCACCTGTGCTTCTGACCAGCTATAAATCAGGGTTCCCATGAACCCCTCCTTGGGTTTGATTAACTTGCTGGAGCAGCTCACGGAACTCAGGGAAACACTTACTCATATTTACTGGTTTATTATAAAGGATGTTACAAAGGGTACAGAAGAAGACTGGGCATGGTGGCTCATGCCTGTAATCCCAGCACTTTGGGAGGCCGAGGTGAGTGGATCACTTGAGGTCAGGAGTTCGAGACCAGCCTGACCAACATGGTGAAACCCCATCTCTTCTAAAAATTTAGCCGGGTGTGGTGGTAGGCGCCTGTAATCCCAGCTACTCAGGAGGCTGAGGCAGGAGACTTGCTTGAACCCTGGGAGACAGAGGTTGCAGTGAGCTGAGATCGTGCCACTACACTCCAGCCTGGGTGACAGAGTGAGACTCAGTCTTAAAAAAAAAAAAAAAAAAAAAAAAAGACGTCACTTTGGAGATTCCAAGGACTTTCAGAGTTGCATGCCAGGAAATGGAATCTAAAACAAAATATATATTTACCATCACACAACCTGGTACTGGGGCTCAGAAAATGATACCCCAAAGTGAAGGCTTCAGAAATAGCCCCTCTCTGATCATCTCCTGCCCTCCTGTCTCTCACCCCTTGTTGTCTCCTTAAGCAAGCCATTGAAACTAGAATTGGCCGGGTGCGATGGCTCACGCCTGTAATCCCAACACTTTGGGAGGCTGAGGCAGGCGGATCATGAGATCAGGAGTTTGAGACCAGCCTGGCCAATGTGATGAAACCCCATCTCTACTAAAAATACAAAAATTAGTTGGGCACGGTGGCATGCGCCTGTAATCCCAGCTACTCAGGAGGCTAAGGCAGGAGAATCGCTTGAACCCAGGAGACAGAGGTTGCAGTGAGCTGAGTTCGCCCCACTGCACTCCAGCCTGGGTGACAGAGCGAGACTCCATCTCAAAAAAAAAAAAAAAAAAAAAAAAAAAAAAGAAACTAGAATTGCCCTTGCCCACTACCAGTCATAGAAACTAGAACCCCTTTTTCCCAAAGCCAGCCATAAAGCTTAAAAATATTACTCTAGGCCAGGCGCAGTGGCTAACGCCTGTAATCCCAGCACTTTGGGAGGCTGAAGCAGGTGGATCACTTGAGGCCAGGAGTTCAAGATCAGCCTGGCCAACATGGTGAAACTCCATCTCTACAAAAATACAAAAAAAAAAATTAGCTGGGTATGGTGGCAGGCACACCTGTAATCCCAGCTACTCGGAAGGCTGGAGCAGGAGAACTGCTTGAACCCAAGAAGCGGAGGTTGTAGTGAGCCAAGATTGCTCCACTGCACTCCAGCCTGGGTGATGGGGAGATTCTGTGTCAAAAAAAAAAAAAAATTCTCTAACCTTACATGAATTTTCTGTGCAATAGCTGGCCATAAATAAATTATGGAATGAGACCCTCATTCCAAAGGGGTCCTACTCCATACACAAGAGAAGGAAATGCTATAACAGAGTGGCCAAGAAGAATCGCAACAGGCCTTGCTGGCCAACTCAGTCTGTTACCATTAGCTCATCTCCTTTTTGCCCAATCACATTGCTTCACGCCATCCCTGCTTCACTGAACCTCAGCATAAAATCGGATTGGTTCTTCTGTATCTTTGAGTCTTCATTCTGAAGGCTTCCGTGTCACATAAAACTGGTTGTCCATGACCCTTATGATGGGGAGGAAAGAGATCACTCCTTTCTACCCGTACACCGGCAGCCCTTCTCCTGTCTAGACTCAGAGACGGGACCCTTACCCTCCACTGTGTGCGGCTGTTACTTCTCGGGAGATGTGCCCAGCTGCCTGGCAAGATCGAGGGCACCACCACCACCTCCCCTCCCTGGGCCATGCCGTTTGTTACGGAGACCAGTTATGATCAGCATATTATTTATTCAGTCATTCATCCACCTTGTATATTTATTTTATGTATGTATTTATTTTTATTTTTATTTTTATTTTTATTTTTTATCTTTTGAGACAGAGTCTCGCTCTGTCACCCAGGCTGGAGTGCAATGGTGCAATCTCGGCTCACTGTGACCTCCGCCTCCCGGGTTCAAGCGATTCTCCTGCCTCAGCCTCCTGAGTAGCTGGGATTACAGGCATGCACCACCATGCTCGGCTAATTTTTGTATTTTTAGTGCAGGCAGAGTTTCACCTTGTTGGTCAGGCTGATCTCGAACTCCTGACCTCATGATCCGCCTGCCCCAGCCTCCCAAAGTGCTGGGATTACGGGCGTGAACCACCAAGTCCGGCCATGTATATTTATTAAGCATCCACACACACTGGGTCCTGGTGACTAAGACAGACATGGGTCTGCTTTTGTGGGGTTACAGTCCAGTGGGAGCCCCAGATGCAGAACAAGCCAGTAAACAGCACAGCAGTGAGTGCTGGGGATATGGAAATGGGGGACATGGTAGAGAGGGAACAGTGGGTTTGAGGAAAGGATTGAGACCAGTGTGTTGGGACGTGGGAGGGAGGGACAGTGTCTCCAACCCAACCCAGGAGGTTGGCTGGGCTATGGGCCAAGGTGGAGAGTGGGTTGGTTCTGAGGTCAGTGGGGAGCCCAGAAGGGTCTTTGACCTTTAGCCAGTGAGAAACAGGACCACGTGATGGACGCTGTGCCCCATGGTGGATGGGTCTCTGCAGGTACAACGCCGTCACCGGGGAATGGCTGGATGATGAAGTTCTGATCAAGATGGCATCTCAGGTGAGCAGAGCGTTGAGCCCCGTGGGGACAGGGCTGAGCAAAGACTTTCTGCAGCTAACTTTGGTCTGTGCACCCTTCTCTCCCACTCCCACTTTATTTAATTTTTGTAACTTCGGGGGATTCTTTGTTATTGTTTATTTATTGGTTGTAGCCAGCATTTTTTTTTTTTTTTTTTTGAGACAGGGTCTCACTCTATTGCCCAGGAGCACAGTGGCACAGTCACAGCTCACTGCAGCCTTGACCTCCTGGTCTCAAGCCATCCTCTCACCTTAGCCTCCCAAGTAGCCAGGACCACAAGTACACACCACCACTCCTGGCTAATTTTTTTATTTTTTATAGAGACATGGGTTCCACTATGTTGCCCAGGCTGGTCTCAAACTCCTGGGCTCAAATGATCCTCCTGCCTTGGCCGCCCAGAGTGCTGGGATTATAGGCGTAAGCCACCACACCCGTCTCTACTAAAAATACAAAAAAGGCTTTTGAAGAAAAAAAAAAAAAGATAAAAGACTAGAAAATAGAGTATTCCCTGCATATTGAAGTTAGGATTGCTTTATGAAACTTTGTTTTAGTGTAATATACAATATACACAGAAAAGTGTACAGCTTGCTGAGTTGTCACAAAATGAGCACACTGCCTTAACATCGGCCCGTATCAACAAACAGAAGGCAACCAGCCTGGCCAAGCCCCTCTCAGTCACTCCTCCCATACCCACAGGGTAAGCACCCCTCTGAATTCTATCACCCTAGATTACTTTTGCCTATTTTTTTGCTTCATATAAGTGGGGGCATACAACAGGTATTCTTTTTTAGAGACAGGGTCTTGCTCTGCTGCCCAGGCTGGGGTGTAGGGGTACATGATCTTGCCTTACTGCAGCCCTGAACTCCTGGGCTCAAGCAATTATCCCACCTCAGCCTCCCGAGTAGCTCAGACTACAGGGGTGCACCGTCACACCCAGTCAATTTTTAAAAATTTTTTTTTTTTTGGAGATAGAGTTTTGCTCTTGTTGCCCAGGCTGGAGTGCAATGGTGCGATCTTGGCTCATCGCAACCTCTGCCTCCTGGGTTCAAGCAATTCTCCTGCCTCAGCCTCCCAAGTAGCTAGGATTACAGGCATGCACCATCACGCCCAGCCAATTTTTCTATTTTTAGTAGAGACAGGGTTTCTCCATATTTGTCAGGCTGGTCTCGAACTCCCGACCTCAGGTGATCCACCCACCTCAGCCTCCTAAAGTGCTGGGATTACAGGCATGAACCACTGTGCCCAGCCTTAAAATATTTGTAGAGGGAGGTCTTGCTATGTTGCCCAGGCTGGTCTTGAACTCCTGGCCTCAAGTGATCCTCTTGCCTCAGCCTCCCAAAATTCTGGGATTACAGACATAAGCCGCTGCTCCTGGTGCTGCAGGTGTTCTTTTGGTCAACATTTTGCATTGGTTTTCATCGCTGCATGGTATTTCATTGAAGGAATACACCTGGTTGATTTTTCCAGTATATTGTTGCTGGACACGTAGGTTATCTCCACTTTTTTTCTCTTACAGTCAGGGCTGGGAAAACGTCCTCTGAGATGCACTGTCCCTCCCCCATCATCCTGCCCCCGTGGATTCTTCCCCTCAGCTGGGGTGGAGGAATGGGGGTTCCTTGTCATCCTGGCAGCCTCTGGGTTGGAAGGCCTCTATGGCTTTGGTGCTGAGACATAGAAGGGAGATCCCCAGGGATTTCAGGATTGAGATGAGGCCCAGGGCACCCATTTGATAGGTGGCATGTAAGGGGAGCACCTCCTGTCTTAGGGTCCCTTTTGGGTGGGGCATGGGGACTGATAACACTCTGTGTGGTGTCTTTCAGCCCTTCGGCCGAGGAGCAATGAGGGAGTGCTTCCGGACGTAAGTGACTCAGCCTGGCTCTTGGGGCCCTGCCCAGAGTCCCCCCAGGCTCCTAAGAGCTGAGGCATTGGGACATTTTCAGCCAAGGAATGGAGCCAGGGGCCTCTGCCTTCTTGTAGCCCAGGTTCCTGTCCATCTAGTCTCCCTCGGGCCACACATTGGGCCTGGCTGTGACGATGGGCTCAGGAAGAACAGGGAACACCCCACTTACCTCTGCCCTGGTGTTGGGAGGTCAAGGGAAATGGGATAGGAGACCTTTAACAGTGACCTTTAATCCCCCTGTCCCAGCTCTTTGAAGGATGCAGAGGGGTGGGGACGTCCTTCTTACCTCCTGCATTTTGTTCCTGCTGCCAGCCACCCAGCCACATCAGACAGGGTCTTGCTGTCCTGAGGACCAGGGCTGTGTCCCTGGTGAACCCCAGAGTACCCAGGTAGGCCCCCTGTTGCCTCTTCCCACAGGAAGAAGCTCTCCAACTTCTTGCATGCCCAGCAGTGGAAGGGCGCCTCCAACTACGTGGCGAAGCGCTACATCGAGCCCGTAGACCGGGATGTGTACTTTGAGGACGTGCGTCTACAGATGGAGGCCAAGCTCTGGGGGGAGGAGTATAATCGGCACAAGCCCCCCAAGCAGGTGCGTGGCCCCACTACCTGCCCCCTTTCCATGCCAGGGCAGCTGGGCACAGTGTCTGGGAAAGAGGGCCATGGTGAATCCCTATTTCACCTTCTTTTTTTTTTTTTTTGAGATGAAGTCTTGCTCTGTCACCCACCACCAAGGCTGGAGTGCAGTGGCATGATCTTGGCTCACTGCAACCTCCATCTCCCAGGTTCAAGCGATTCTCCTGCCTCAGCCACCCCAGTAGCTGGGATTACATACAGGTGCCTGCCACCACATCTGGCTAATTTTTGTATTTTTAGTAGAGATGTGGTTTCACCATGTTGGCCAGGCTGGTCTCGAACTCCTGACCTCAAGTGATCTGCCTGCCTTGGCCTCCCAAAGTGCTGGGATTACAGGTGTGAGCCACCATACCTGGCCTCTTTCACCTTCTTAATAGTAGCTAATAACAACCACTGTTTACTGAGCATGATGAACCAAGTCATTTATTTTATTTTTATTTTTTTTGAGACAGGATCTTTCTTGGTTGCCCAGGCCAGAGTGCAGTGGCATAATTACAGCTCACTGCAGCCTCAACCTCCTGGGCTTGAACAATCCTCCCAGCTTGGCCTCCTGAGTAGCTGGGACTACAGGGGTATGCCACCATGCCTAGCTAATTTTTGTATTTTCTGTAGAGAAAGGGTTTTGCCATGTTGCCCAGGCTGGTTTCAAACTCCTGGCCTCAAGCAATCCATCCACCTCGGCCTCCCAAAGGGCTGGGATTACAGGCGTGAGCCATTGCACTTGTTCCAGAGTCATTTATTCCTAAAAACAGAGCTCTGAGGTCGGAATGTTTTTATCCTCAATTACAGATGGGATCTATTAGTCAGGATTTTTGTTTGCAAATGACAGAAACCCACTCAAACTGCTTAATCCGAAAAGGGAATTCATTGCCTTATGTAACTGAAAAATAATGCTGCCACAGGCACGGCTGGATGCAGGATTAAACTGAGGTTGTCAGAATCTTCCTCCATCTCTGGCCTGGGTGTTCTTCTGGGTTGGCGTCATTCTCAGGCAGCCTCTGCACTAGTGGTAGCACTCTGGCCCCCAGCAGGCCCAAGTTCTTGTTGGAATGACAAAACCTATTTCCCCAGAAGTTCCAATAAAAGTCCCAGAGCTGCGTTTCATTGGCTCTGATTAAGTCAGATCCCTATTGCCGAGCCAATCACAGTGGCCAAGGGGCAGGAATATGCAGATTGGGCACACCCTAGCCATGTGCCTGCCCTTAGAGCTAGGAATGTAGGTGTTCCACCCAGACCACAGGGACTGAGACTGGAAAAGGTGAGATTCCCAAGAAAAAGCGGAAGAAAGAGCTGGGAATGTATATTAGTCCGTTTTCACACTTCTGATAAAGACATACCCAAGACTGGGTAATTTATAAAAGAAAAAGAGGTTTAATGGACAGATAGTTCCATGTGGCTGGGGAGGCCTCACAATCATGGCAGAAGGCAAAAGGCACATCTTACCTGGTGGCAGACAAGAGAGATTGAGGACCAAGCAAAGGGGGTTTCCCCTTATAAAACCATCAGATCTCGTGAGACTTATTCACTATCATGAGAACAGTATGGGGGAAACCACCCCCATGATTCAATTATCTCCTACCAGGTCCCTCCCACAACACGTGGGAATTATGGGAGCTACAATTCAAGATGAGCTTTGAGTGGGGACACAGCCAAACCATATCATAGTGGATACTATGTCTGCTCTTTGGGAAACCCTGGGCTCAAAGAGGCTAAATGACTTCCCCAACCAGGCAGAGCTGTAGCCAGGTCTCAAATGCAGGCTTTTCAACCCCCTGCTAGGTTGGCACCTTCATTTGAGCCCCTAGGGTGATGAGTGACTGAGGCCAAGCAGAATTCCCTGTTGCCTTTCGGCATTTGAGGAAGGATCCATGCCTCTGCCCTGCATGAGCCCACAGCTGAGATCTTCCACAGCTTGAGCATCTACTACATACAACGCACAGTCTCCTGGGTGTGCAGAATTTATTGAGCACCTGCTGTTTGCAGAGCCCTTGATGAAGCATACTTGAGGCAGGCGCAAGAAGCCACAGTCCCCACCCTGGGGGGCTGTGGCTTCCTCTGCAATTTGCGGCCTTCCAGCCTGGCCTCCTTTCTCTTCCTCCACAAGCTTGTTCCTGCCCCAAAACCTTGGCCCTGGCTGTGGGCTTGGCGGGCATCTTGTGTCACCGTAATTCTTGCATGGCTAGCTACTTCTTATAGTTCAGGTCTCAGATCCTGTGTCACCTCCTCAGCCAGCCCATCTCAGACAACCCTAAGAAGTGGTCCCTCTGCCCCAGTCACCTCTGTCACATCATTCTAACTTTTTTTTTTTTTCCTGTTCTTTGGAGCAGTTAGTATGTCATTCATTTAGTTAATATTTTAGGTGCTTCTCTCCCCTAAAGGCAGAGATTTTATTTTATCATGTTCACTGCTGTCTCCTAGTGCCTAGGTGTCCAGTAAATAATACTGTGGTAGGCCTGGCACAGTGGCTCATGCCTGTAATCCCAGCACTTTGGGAGGCTGAAGTGGGCGGATCACCTGAGGTCAGGAGTTCGAGACCAGCCTGGCCAACATGGTGAAACCCCCGCCTCTACTAAAAATACAAAATTAGCTGGGCATGGTGGTGCACGCCTGTAATCCCAGCTACTTGGGAGGCTGAGGCAGGAGAATCACTTGAACACGAGAGGCGGAGGCTGCAGTGAGCCGAGATTGGGCTACTGCACTCCGGCCTGGGTGACAGAGCAAGACTCCATCCCCAAATAGTAGTAGTAGTAGTAGTAGTAACAATAATAATAATAATAATAATAATGTGGTTGACTTAAGGGAGGGAGAGAGACGTGGTTGTTTGAGAAGGTGCTGGTTGTCCACTGTGGCTGTACCACTGCCCCTCGCCCAGGGAGCCCTCTGGCCCAGCAGGTGGCCCTGCTGTAAGTTTCCTTGTAGGGATGGGACCAGCCTTTGGGCAGAACCCTCTGAGAACCGCCGCTCCCTGCCTTCCCCTCAGGCCGGTTCTCAGAACCCATTGAAGCCTTGTTTGGGGCAAGTTCTCACCTCTCAGATCAGGACCCCTTCGGCCTCTGCATCTGTTGTCTGCATGTCTGGTGACCCACTCTCCATGGATGGTCGTTTCCTTGGGAAACCTGGACCTAATCCTCCCAGGAGGTGGCATTGAGGAGGACATGGGAACCAAGGATGAGTCCTTGTGTAACAGGGCAAGAGGTGCAAGCTAGAGTCCCTAATCTCCCCTACTCCACTTTACAAACCATATGCACTATTTATACATTTTCTTCTGTGTACAAAATTAAACATAGACTTTATAAAAACAAAAAAAATTCGGCAAGGAATGTCAAAGTTCCCTATAATTTCCCATTGCAGGGAGAAAACTGCTGTTTAGAGGTTGGTTTATATTTCTCTAGAATTGTAGCTCCTGATAAAAATGAGTTGCCAGGCACAGTGGCTCATGCTTGTAATCTCAGCACTTTGGAAAGCCCGGGGTGGGGGGGCGGATCACTTGAGGTCAGGAGTTCAAGACCAGCCTGGCCAACATGGTAAAACCCATCTCTACTAAAAATACAAAAATTAGGCAGGCATGGAGGCGGGTGCCTGTAGTCCCAGCTACTCAAGAGGCTGAGGCAGAGGAATTGCTTGAACCTGGGAGGCAGAGGTTGCAGTGAGCCAAGATCGTGCCACTGCAGTCCAGCCTGGGCAACAGCCTGGGCAATAAAATATAAAATAAAATGAAAGCAAACATTGCCTGGCTCCTTTTTGCATCAATAAGTTTAATTCACAGACTGAGCCTGAGACCCTCTTTATGCAGGTAAAGAAACTGAGGCACAGAGAGGTGAAATTCAGAAATGTTCCCAAATTCACAGTTTTACTGTAAGGCATAGTCTAAGTTGCTTAGCAAACAGACCCACAAAATATGTGTGGACACGAAATGGTTTCTTTTTCACTTGTGTGGAGGTCTTGCATTGGTGGGTGGCTTGGGGTAGGCTTGTTTGTGCCTCATCTCCTTGAAGCCATCTAGAGAACTCGTTCCTTTGGTCTTTTTTCTCTGCCATCCCCTCAGGGGTTTGCCATGGACCACATAATCAATTCTGGCTCCCAAGCAGAGTCCACCTTACAGGGCAGGCTGGAGTTACATCATTGCAATGCTCACTTCCCATTGGCTGGGCACAGTCATGTGGCCACACTTAGCTGCAAGGGAAGCTTAGCAATGTCATCCCTAGTGGGTGGCTGTGTACCCTTTTAAAACTCAAAGGAAAACAGAGCTGAGCACAGTGGCTGCAGCTTGTCATCCTAATGCTCTGGGAGGATGCTGGAAGACAAGAGGATTGCTTGAGGCCAGTTCTTGAGGCCAGTTCAAGACCAGCCTAGGCAACATAGTGAGACCTCGTCTCTATAAAAAAATTTAGATATGAGCCATGTGTAGTGACACACGCCTGTAGTCCTAGCTTCTCGGGAGGCTGAGGTGGGAGGATCACTTGAGCCCAGAAGTATGAGGCTGTAATGAGCCATGATTATGACACTGCACTCCAGCCTGGGCGACAGAGTGAGACCCTGTCTCTAAAATAAATTTTTTTTTTTTTAAGACGGAGTCTCACTCTGTCATCCAGGCTGGAGTGCAGTGACATGATCTTGGCTCACTGCAACCTCTGCCTCCTGGGTTAAAGTGATACTCCTGCCTCGACACCCTGAGTAGCTGGGATTTTTGGTACGCACAAGCACGCCCAGCTAATTTTTGTATTTTTATTTTATTAATTTTTTTTTTGAGACGGAGTTTTGCTCTTGTTGCTCAGGGCTGGAGTGCAGTGGTGCAATCTTGGCTCACTGCAACCTCTGCCTCCCAGGTTCAAGTGATTCTCCTGCCTCAGCCTCCAGAGTAGCTGGGATTACAGGCATGTGCCACCATGCCTGGCTAATTTTGTATTTTTGGTAGAGACAGGGTTTCACCATGTTGGCCACGGTTGGTCTCCAACTCCTGGCCTCAGGTGATCCACACACCTTGGCCTCCCAAAGGGCTGGGATTACAGGTGTGAGCCACCATGCCCAGCCTTAATTTTTGTATTTTTAGTAGAGGCAGGATTTCACCATGTTGGCCAGGCTGGTCTCGAACTCCTAACCTCAACTGATTCACCTGCCTCAGCCTCCCAAAGTGCTGGGATTACAGATGTAAGCCACCGTGCCCAGCCTAAAAATATATTTTTTTTAATTTTAAAAAAATTAAAGGAAAAGAGGAGATTAGATTCTGGGCATCATCAGGAGCTCCTACAATAGAGAGCTAGTAAGTCATGGAGCCAGGGTCTGAGCCCAGGCAGGCGAGTTCCTCTGAGCCCTCCCCTTGCCGCTTCTCAGAGGAGGTGCGCCTGGGCCCTCCCGCCTGAGCCCACTCCCCATCCCACCAGGTGGACATCATGCAGATGTGCATCATCGAGCTGAAGGACAGACCGGGCAAGCCCCTCTTCCACCTGGAGCACTACATCGAGGGCAAGTACATCAAGTACAACTCCAACTCTGGCTTTGTCCGCGATGACAACATCCGCCTGACGCCGCAGGTGAGGCCGAGCTCACCTCCACCCTCTGCCCACCACAGCCCTTGGGGTGAGATCCTGGCCAGGCTCAGCCCCTAAAGAGGAAGGTCCCTGTGGGCTTGGAGTCTCACCCCCAGAGAAGCCTCTTGGAGCATTCAGAAGGAGACCCGTCACCCCATGACAGCTTCTGTCACCTAAGGTGGCCACAGGACCTGCAGCCCAAGGTCCCTGCCCAACTGAAGAGGCCTTTTTCCTTTGTCTTTTCCTCTATATAACTCCTTGAAGAGAAAGCCCCTCAGCATGGGCAGAGGCGTGGCCAGTGCCTGCACAGACCTCAGCCTGTCTCTTGACATCTCGTTTTCCTTCCTGTCCCCTGTAGGCCTTCAGCCACTTCACTTTTGAGCGTTCCGGCCATCAGCTGATAGTGGTGGACATCCAGGGAGTTGGGGATCTCTACACTGACCCACAGATCCACACGGAGACGGGCACTGACTTTGGAGACGGCAACCTAGGTACGTGGGGAAAGCCAGCCTGTTTCTGCAGAAACCACGCTCCCTGCTAAAACCTCTGAGTTCTTCGTACAGCCAAGGAAACAGGCTGAGACACTGTACGCGCTTTTTCAAGATCATGGAGATGGGAGCCTGGATGTCTGATGCCTCCCAGCTTGGCACGTTTTATACCTGCCCTGGCCATATGTATGAGGCCCACCACTGCCTGTCCCCCGTCACAGAGCAAAGCAACACTCCAGACACCCCCGCTCTGTCCACAGGTGTCCGCGGGATGGCGCTCTTCTTCTACTCTCATGCCTGCAACCGGATTTGCGAGAGCATGGGCCTTGCTCCCTTTGACCTCTCGCCCCGGGAGAGGGATGCAGTGAATCAGAACACCAAGCTGCTGGTGGGTGCCCAGTGTGACCCTGCTTGGCCTGGCAGGCCCTTCTGCTACTTGCAAAGCAAGCCCTGCTCCCCTGTGTGGTGACAGCCAGGTCAAGCAGTGCTTAACTGATGAATACCAGGGCTGGAAGCATCTGTCCCATCCATGCCCCAGCCCGTCCCCTCCAGCTCAGTGCACAAAGCCCTCCTGAGCGTCCTTCCAATCGAGCAGCTGGTATCTGCTTAGGTTGGGCCCATTTTTTACCAGAGTGAGGGGAACAGGCACGTGGAGATAGTGAGAAGGCATGTGGTGTGTGTGTGTGTTTGTGTGATGTATTGACAAATGACTGAACTAGTCTTAGACCTGGCTCTCCAGGCACCTCACCAACATACCTCCCATCCTCCCATTGCTACTTGGACCAGGGACAAGAGAATGTTGCAAAGACCAGCTTGGGATGCTGGACATAGAGTGGAATGCTTTCTCCAGCTCTGGGCTGTGGAATGTGGTCAGTGCTTTAGGGGATACTGGCAGGTCCTCTGAGCCTCTGTTCCAGATGCCCTTTCTTGGAGGCCTTAGGTTTAATCCCTGACTGATTTTTTATTTTTTAAGACAATATATCAGCTCCTAAACAGGCATGTTTAGGAGCTGTGGATGAAGGGGTTTCAGGGTTAGAGGGAACAACAGGAAGAGCCCTTTAATTCCCAGAGGGTGTGTGCGTGACATGAGTATCCCTATTAATGTCCCTAGCAATCAGCCAAGACCATCTTGAGAGGAACAGAGGAAAAATGTGGGAGCCCCCAAGTAAGGACCCTCTCTGGGAGCCGGCCACCCCTGCTCCGTCCCCTTTCAGAGAACTCTGGAGACGAGAACATGAGCGACGTGACCTTCGACTCTCTCCCTTCTTCCCCATCTTCGGCCACACCACACAGCCAGAAGCTAGACCACCTCCGTGAGTGACGGTTCGGTCCCTAGTCACTGTGATTGGAGGGGACAGGTGGAGCAGAGCTAAACCAGCTTTCATTTATGTTAGAAAAATCAGACATGCTAATCGAAAAGGTTCATGGCCCCAGTGGTTTTATAGGTGAGTTTCATTGAGTGAACTTTCAAAACAGATCATCCAAATGCTATAAAAACAACCCCTATTGTAGGAAACAAAGTAACTTTTATCAGTGTGTTTTATGAAACCAGCAAAACCTATATAATAAATTTGACAAACTAAAAAAGAAAATTATATCCCAACCTTATTTAAAATTTGTATTTGTGTATAGAGAACAAAAAAAAAATCTAAATAGATATTAACAAATAAAAATAGTACTATGTTAAAAGGTTCACCTGTCACAGTTAAATAGGGATTTCACAGGAATCTGAGGGTTGTTCAATGTTAGAAAAGCTATGAATGTGATATTAATGGGTCAAAGGAGAAAAACAGAATCATTATTTCTGACACTGAAAGAGTGGAGTTTGCTGATGATTCAGATGAGAGTCTGTAGGAAAGGATAGAGGCAAGACTGACCCCAGGGTATTGGCCTAAAGAGCTGGAGGTCATGTATTCAGGGAAAGTGTGAGCGGGAGCAGGCTCAGAGCAGGAGAGCAAGATTTTATTGTTTAGTTTTTTAATTTTTCTCATTTTGATACCTTTGAAAGAGAGAAAGATTTTAGTGTCAAACATTAAAGAAGCCCTTTAGATGTTTCCACTGGAAGGTCTTTGGAATAGTCTGGAACAGGAGTCAACAGACTTTTTTAAAAGGTCAGAGAGTAAATATTTTAAGCTTTGCAGGTCATTCAGTCTCTGCATTTGGAGCATGAAAGCTACCATAGAAAATATTAAGTGAGTGGATGTGGCTGTGTTCCAATAAAACTCTATGGATGGTGAAATTTAATTTTTGTCATCCATTTAAAAATGTAAACACTGTTCTTACAAACTATAAAAACAGACAGATAGATTTGGCTGTAGAGGGCAGGAGACAGAGATAGGGAACCACCAGGAGATGGTTGGTGTTTTTTTTTTGTTTGTTTTGTTTTGAGACGGAATCTCTCTCTCTGTCACCCCGGCTGGAATGCGGTGGCGTGATCTTGGCTCATTGCAATCTCTACCTCCTGGGTTCAAGCGATTCTCCTGCCTCAGCCTCCCAAGTAGCTGGGATTACAGGTGCATGCCACCATACCCAGCTAATTTTTGTATTTTTAATAGAGATGGGGTTTCACTATGTTGGCCAGATTGGTCTTGAACTCCTGACCTCAGGTGATCCACCTGCCTCGGCCTCCCATAGTTCTGGGATTACAGGCATAAGACACCGTGCCCAGCTGAAGATGGTTTTGAAGCTATCTGAGGCCCACTTCTTGAGCCCCAAATGTATAAACGTCTGTTCTTCCTTCACAACTGCATTTTATTGAGGACCAAGTGGTGGCCAGGCACATATGCTAATAAACACATTACAAGGATAATTGCATTGTGACAACCCTGAGGACACACATAGGTGACACCACTTGGCCAGAATCATGTAGCTGGCAAACAGCAGACTTAGAATAAGTTCTCAAGGAAGAACTTTAGCCTCCAGGTGCTGATAACATTCTTCTCCTTTTTTGTGCCTTTCTTTAAAGCTTAAAAAAAAAAAAAGGCTTGGTGGCAGGTATGGACCGCCCTAGGCCGTGGGTTGGTCTTATGCATGTTCCAGTAGTGGAACCAGGACATGATGTCTGTTTCTCCCTGCCCAGATTGGCCAGTGTTCAGTGACCTCGATAACATGGCATCCAGAGACCATGATCATCTAGACAACCACCGGGTGAGTGTGAAGGGAGGGAGGCTGCAGGCTTCAGACCCCAGCAGGGGTAGGAGTGGATTCACTCCCAGAGTGAATCTTCAGCTTCGGAGGTGGGCAGCCTAGCCCAGGCACTGCCAGGAGGGCACAGAATGGGGGAATTAGGGAGGATGCAGATGAATGTCAGCCTCCAGTCCAAGGCTGAGCTTTCCTCTGAGAAAAGGTGGGTCCCTTGCAGTTCCCAGAGATGGTTAGGGAAGAGGGACTCCCAGTCAGCAACAATGCGATCTTGTAGTAAATGCCAGTCTCAGCTCCAGGTTTGGTTTGACCCCACATGTGTTGGTTGTCCTATAGAGCCCTAATACTGGGTCTTAGATGTGTAACACATAGCACAGTAAGCCATGTGTTCTAGCTCTTCACACCTAGCTCTCCAGTTAGATAAACAGAACATTTCCTGAAGCTTTGGGTTGACTTGGTGGTAAGAAACTGAAGGCATCTTATCTGCATTCTCACAAATGTATATTATGGCAAATTATAATACTCTCTATGCTTGTGTGTGTGTTTGAAATATTTCTTAGTAAAATTGGCCAGGCATGGTAGCTCATGCCTATAATCCCAGCACTTTGGGAGACCAAGGTGGGCAGATCACTTGAGCCCAAGAATTTGAAACTAGCCTGGGCAATATGACAAGACCCCCATCTCTACAAAAAAATACAAAAGTTAGCCAGGCATGGTGGCACATACCTGTAGTCCCAGCTACTCAGGAGGCTGAGGTAGGAGGATCTCTTGAGCCTGGGAGGCAGAGGCTGCAGTAAGCCATCATCACACCACTGCACTCCAGCCTGGGTGACAGCGAGATCTTGTCTCAAAAAAAAAGAAAAAACAAATACCTTTTAGTAGAGGCTGGGCGCAGTGGCTCACGCCTGTAATCCCAGCACTTTGGCAGGCCAAGGGGGGCAGATCACTTGAGGTCAGGAATTTGAAGACCAGCCTGACCAACATGCCAAAACCCCATGTCTACTAAAAATACAAAAATTAGCCGAGTATGGTGGCAGTTTCCTGTAATCCCAGCTACTCAGGAGGCTGAGGCACGAGAATTTCTTGAACCCAGGAGGCGGAGGTTGCAGTGAGCAGAGGTCGCACCACTGCACTCCAACCTGGGCGACAGAGCGAGACTCAGTCTCAAAAAAAAAAAAAAAGAAATACTTCTTAGTAGAGGCGGGGTGTGGTGGCTCACACCTGTAATCCCAGCACTATGGGAGGCTGAGGCAGGCAGACCACTTGAGGCCAGGAGTTTAAGACCAGTCTGGCCAACATGATGAAACCTCATCCCTACAAAAAATATAAAAATTAGCCAGGCATGGTGGCATGTGCCTGTAATTCCAGCTACTTAGGAGGCTGAGGCAAGAGAATTGCTTGAACCTGGGAGGTGGAGGTTGCAGTGAGCTGAGATCACGCCACTGCACTACAGCCTGGGTGACAACGTGAGACCCTGCCACACACACACACACACACACACACACACACACACAGAAAAGATACTTCTTAGAAGAATAAAGAAGGAAATAAAACTATTCCGTTACTAATTGTGCAGGTGACATGCAGAGAGAGCTATAATTCAATGTTGGTAGGTACATGGCTGAAGTTTTAGAGATTCTAAATTATACCAGATTCGCTTTCAGAACAGAACTCAGACCTGGGAGAATAAAAAATATGCCCAACTAGGCCAGGCACGGTGGCTCACGCCTGTAATCCCAACACTTTGGGAGTCCAAGGCAGGCGGATCACAAGTTCAGGAGTTTGAGACCAGCCTGGCCAATATGGTGAAACCTCGTCTCTACTAAAAATACAAAAATTAGCCAGGCGTGGTGGCAGGCGCCTGTAGTCCCAGCTACTTGGGAGGTTAAGACAGGACAATCACTTCAGCTCAAGAGGTAGAGGTTGCAGTGAGCTGAGATCGTGCCACTGCACTCCAGCCAGTGTGACAGAGCGAGACTCCATCTCAAAAAAAAAATAAAAATGTGTGGTTTTGGTTGAGGGCTTATTTGTATTAAATATTGTTCCCAATGCTATATTTTTGTCCGTGGGTCATAGCCCTTAACCAGCCTTTGTTTTTCTGCCTGTGAAGTGGGTGAGTCACTCTCAGTAAAGCACTTCCTGTGATCCACACTCTCAGAATGTAACAGTGCATTTCACCCACACAGCCCTTCGATGTAGGGGCTATAATGAATCCCATAACTAAGGACACTGATGCTCAGAGAAGTTAAGCAACTGCCCAAGGTCTCAGCTGGCAAGAAATAAAGCCAGGATTTGAGCCCAGGTCATTTGGCTGTAGAGCCCAAGGTCCTTACTGTTACCTTATACTGCTCCCTCGTTGGCCAGGCAGGTCTTGAACTTGTGTCCTCAAGTGATCTGCCTGCCTCGGCCTCCCAAAGTGCTGGGATTACAGGCATGAGCCACCACACCCGGCAAGGGACAGCAGGAGCAGGGTGTTAGGTAATGGGACAGAGGGGAGAAAGCTAACAGTTGGGGTGTTGAGATGTCATAACCATTTCCAGGTGCTCAGGGGACCACCAGGACCCTAAGGCCGTCTTCTCTCCACAGGAGTCTGAGAATAGTGGGGACAGCGGATACCCCAGTGAGAAGCGGGGTGAGCTGGATGACCCTGAGCCCCGAGAACATGTAAGGAACCCCCAGGAAATGAGACCGGTGTCACCTGTTGCCTTGTTTATCCTCCAGGAAAATGAAAACTCCCCTTCCTGGAGGGGGAATATGAGTGGGTCCTGAGAAGATAACAAGTAAATTAATAAAGAGTATTTCAGGCCGGTCATGGTGGCTCACGCCTGTAATCCCAGCACTTTGGGAGGCCAAGGCGGGTGGATCACCTGACATCAGGAGTTCGAGACCAGCCTGGCCAACATGGTGAAACCCCGTCTCTACTAACAATACAAAAATTAGCCTGGCATGGTGGTGCATGCCTGTAATCCCAGCTACTGGGGAAGCTGAGGCAGGAGAATCACTTTAACCCAGAAGACAGAGGTTGCAGTGAGCCAAGATTGTGCCACTGCACTCCAGCCTGGGTGACACAGTGAACTTTGTCTCAAAATAAAATAAAATAAAGAGTATTTCAGATAAAGATAAATGCAAAGAAGATAAAACAGGATCATGTGGACCAGTAACGGGGCAAGTGTGGAGGCTTAGATATAAGGCTGATAATGGCTGACAAATCTTATGGTGAAGTGGGAGTCCTGGGCTGCTGAGCAGAGAGGATCCTGGGTAATAGCTGGACCCACTCATAGGCAGGATCCTGTGAGGCCCCAGGGAGGAGGGCCTTGGAGGTCAGTTTCCTTGGGTAGCCTCCCAGCAGCATCCTGGTGAGGGCAACCTCAGACAGTATCTGCCATTTAGAGGTCTTACCCTGTGCTGAAATGGAGCCTGCACATCAAGGCCAGTCTTGCCAGGACACCTCTGATCTCAGCTTTATGATTGTGAATAAAGAACATGCTGGCCGGGCGTGGTGGCTTATGCCTGTAATCCCAGCACTTTGGGAGGCCGGGGCAGGCAGATCACTTGAGGCCAGAAGTTCAAGACCAGCCTGGCCAACGTGGTGACCCCATCTCAACTCAAAATACAAAAATTAGCCGGGTGCAGTGGTGCACTCCTCTAGTCCCAGCTACTCAGGAAGCCGAGGCATGAGAATCACTTGAGCCTGGGAGGTGGAGGTTGCAGTGAGCCAAGGTCATGCCGCTGCACTCCAGCCTGGACCACAGAGTGAGACTGTCTCAAAAAAAAAAAAAAAAAAAAAAAAAAAAGTAAAACAGCTGGGCCTGGTGGCTCACCTGCAATTCCAGCACTTTAGGAGGGCAATGTGAGAGGATTGCTTGAACCTGGGGAGTTGGAGGCAGCAGTGAGCTTTGATCACACTGCTGCACTCCAGCCTGGGCAACAGAGCAAGACCCATGTCTAAATTAAAATATAAACTAAACATGCAGTAGGAGCTCTGCCCGTTACCCCAGTGGCTTTGTGTTGGGATCCTGCACCATCAAGTCAGTTCCACCTGCTCACACACGGAGGGGGACAGCAAGGCTGTGACTGCACCAGCGTTGTCATCCCTGCCTGTGACCCAGCATCCCTTCTGCTTGGCAGAGAAGGGTTCCAGTGTCACCTGGGAACATAGGGCCAATTTTCTGAGATAAGGGTCACCTAGGAGGGCCAGGCTGGTTCCAGGGAGGAGGGCTGGACCAGCTCTCAGGAGAGGTTCCTGGGAAGAAGCTTGTCGCTTTGGATCAGTGTAATTTCTTCCTCCGTTCAGGGCCACTCATACAGTAATCGGAAGTACGAGTCTGACGAAGACAGCCTGGGCAGCTCTGGACGGGTAATGCGCCCTGAGGCACCCTTGTCTCTGCCTCTTCCCTGTCTCCTCCAGGCTCTGTTGCTGTTTCTCCTGTCTCATATCTCTGCTGCCTGCCCATCTGTCTTGCACATGTGCTAAAGGAAGATTTTGCAAAGCAGCAAATCTGGGCAAATGCTCTTTGAACCTCTGCAGGGCAGGATGCTGGGGGATTTGTGGGGAGGATTAGAGAAGAGCAGCTCAGCCCCATCCTGGAGGGGAAATCACCACAGGGACAGCTCCTGTCTTAAGTGCCTGCCATGAAGGCACTTCGCAGTAATCAGTTTCCTTCTTGCAACCACCCAGAGAGACAGGCTAATGTGACTCTCATCCCCATTTTATGTATGAGAAAACTGGGCTCTTAAGCAACTTTCCCCAGGTTACCCTCGCTTGTATGTCTAACAAGCATCAGCAAGTCTGGGAAAGACCAGCTCTGTGCCCCACCCACCCCTCTAAGTGATTCCCTCACACGCTTTGAACTGCCCATCTTTGGAGCCTTTACTAAGGCAAGTCTCTTTCCTACCTGCAAAGTCCTTTCTCTCCCTCTGTCATCTCTCTTCAAATCCTACCTGCTCTCCAAGCCTGGATCCCAGGGCCCCTCGTCCAGGAGCCTTCCCTGGCCTCCACCACAGGCATGACTCTGGCATCTCCCAGAACACTGATTATTTACCCTGTGGTATTTTGTAGCCAGATTAGGATCTTCTCAGTTAGGTATGGAACAGGGTTGCTCAAGCAAGGCACTACTGGCATTCTGGGCTGAATCGTTCCTTGTTGAGGGGGCTACCCTGTGCATTGCAAGATGTTTAGCATGCAAACGTGCACACGCACAGCTGCCTGGCTGTATCCTGCAAGAGCCTTTGGAGGGGGCATCTTTGGCCAGGAGAAATGATGTGTTTTTTAAACCCATTTCCTACAGCAACCTGCTGATGTTGCTCATGTCGTTGTGGTGCCTTGCAGAGGAAAGCAAGGGGATTTGCTGGAAGGTCTGAAGTGGGAGTCTTCTGGTGCCTTATATGGGGAGCTGGCGAAGGGGTTGGTTTAGAGTGAGACCCCCACCCCCAACCAAATCCAGATTGGTAAATGATGGGGAAGCGCTTCCTTGAGCTGCTGAAATCTGTTCCACTGGCTCTTGAATGCATGAGTTGATGGAATTTGAATGATTAAAATTGGAGCTGTATTAGCCGGGCATGGTGGTATGCACCTGTCGTCCCAGCTACTCGGGAAGCTGAGGCAGAAGAATCGCTTGAACCTGGGAGGTGGAGGTTGCAGTGAGCCGAGATTGTGCCATTGCACTCCAACCTGGGCAATAGAGTGAGACTCTGTCTCAAAAAAAAAAAAAAATTGGAGCCATGTTTTGCCAATAAACTTTGACATCGTGAGGGTTCACTCCCCATCTCCCTCCAGCCAGGCTCCTGTGTAGTAGGGGCTGCTGACAGCTGTGATGCTGCGTCCACCCCCAGCCCCTCGCTTCCCTGGCCGGTTCTTTCCCTTCAGGTATGTGTAGAGAAGTGGAATCTCCTCAACTCCTCCCGCCTCCACCTGCCGAGGGCTTCGGCCGTGGCCCTGGAAGTGCAAAGGCTTAATGCTCTGGACCTCGAAAAGAAAATCGGGAAGTCCATTTTGGGGAAGGTATCGGCGATGCCCATTTTGGAGCCCTGTCTGCACTAACCTGGAGCCCCCCAGCTCCAGCCTCTCCTCCGCTAATCACTTCCTCCCGCAGGCTGGCTGGGCGGTCTTGGGTGCGGCTTTGGCCCGCCAGACAGCCAGGCCGACACCGTAGTCTGTGTGGCAGGTCCATCTGGCCATGGTGCGCTACCACGAGGGTGGGCGCTTCTGCGAGAAGGGCGAGGAGTGGGACCAGGAGTCGGCTGTCTTCCACCTGGAGCACGCAGCCAACCTGGGCGAGCTGGAGGCCATCGTGGGCCTGGGACTCATGTACTCGCAGTTGCCTCATCACATCCTAGCCGATGTCTCTCTGAAGGTGAGCAGGTGGCGGGGACCCAGCTGCAGGTGGGGGTGGGACTTGGTCACCCTGTGGTTCACCTGCCTCCCATCCTGGAAGTCATGCATTCACCTGCCTTCTATCCTGAGGTTTATGCATGCCACAAAAATGTCCCAGGCACTGGTTTGGGGGCAGGCCCCTCCAAGTTAGTTGAAACTGGCAGAATCGATCTCTGTCTTTGGAGAGGGAGGGGAAGGTAAGTCACGTTTCCAGGTAATAACGACATGGTGTGATGGGGGAAGCAGAAGACACCAGTGGAAACATGTGAGGAAGGGCTGTAACTGGGGCCTGGAGGGGTTGGTTCAGGCTTCCTGCTCATCAGTTCTGTGTGTATCCCTAGTGGCTGGGGCCTGGCACTGAGTAGATGCTTGGTAGAGATTCGTAGAATGAACAGATGAAGGGATACCTACCTCAGGCCAGAGTGGTGGCTTAAACCTGTAATCTCAGCACTTTGGGAGGTTGAGGCGGGTGGATCACATGAGGCCAGGAGATCGAGACCAGCCTGGCCGACATGGTGAAACCCCGCCTCTACCAGAAAAATACAAAAGTTAGCCGGACGTGGTGGCACACACCTGTAATCCCACCTACTCGGGAGGCTGAGGTGGGAGAATCTCTTGAACCTGGGAGACAGAGGTTATAGTGAGCTGAGATCACACTACTGCACTCTAGCCTGGGCGACAGAGTGAGATCCTGTCTCCAAAAAAAAAAAAAATTGGGGGGGATATCTGCTTTCGACCTGAAGGCCCAAAGGGAGTGAGCCAGGCCAAGTGGGGGAGGTGAGCAGCTCAGGTAGAAGGAACAGCATGTGCTTAGGCCCAGAGGTGAGAGACAAGGTGCACCCGTGTAGCTAGAGGTGCAGGAGCTGAGGCAGAGCTGGAGCTGAAGCAGCAGGGTGTGGACCTGCAGGGAAATTGCGTAGGAGCCTGCTGCTGCTTCTGTCCCTGGTCCGTGAGCAGAGGGAGGAAAGGATTGAATGGGATCTGGCAAGGCCCAGGCAAAGTGATCTTTTCCCAGGAGAAGTTGAGAAGCCCTTGGCGGGCACATCCTCCCATCTGTTCCCATCCTCCCCATCACGTGGGCCAACGTTGCGCATGGACAGGTGGCCTAGGCTCATTGTGGGTGCAGGACATCAGCTCTCCTTGACGGGTTGGTTTGGCTGTGGCCCAGTGGGTGAATGGATCTCAGACTCGAGGGTGGGAAGATACTCCAAAGTCCTTTATTTATTTAGCTTTTTGAATTGGTAATTACATTCATGTGATTAAAAACTTATTTATTTATTGTTTTGTTTTTGTTTTTTTTGAGACAGAGTCTCGCTTTGTTGCCCAGGCTGGAGTGTAGTGGTGCGATCTCGGCTCAATGCAACCTCCACTTCCCAGGTTCAAGCAATTCTCCTGCCTCAGACTCCCGAGTAGCTGGGATTACAGGTGCCTGCCACCGCACCCAGCTAATTTTTAGTAGAGACAGAGCTTCACCATGTTGGCCAGACTGGTCTGGAACTCCTGACCTCAGGTGATCTGCCCACCTCAGCCTCCCAAAGTGCTGGGATTACAGGTGTGAGCCACCATGCCGGACTATTTATTTATTTTAGAGACAGGTTCTCACTCTGTCACCCAAGTTGGAGTGCAGTGGCATGACTGTAGCTCACTGTAGCCTTGACCTCCTGGGTTCAAGCGATCCTCCTGCCTCAGCCTCCTGAGTAGCTCGGACTATAGGCCTGAGCCACCATGCCCGACCAAAGAAGTTTTTTTTTTTAATTTTTAAATATAAAAAGCTTAACGATGGGTGCAGTGGCTCACACCTGTAATCCCAGCACTTTGGGAGATGGAGGCGGGTGGATCACCTCAGGTTAGGAGTTCACAACTAGCCTGCCCAACATAGCAAAACCCTATCTCTACCAAAAATATAACAAATTAGCCAGGTGTGGTGGCATGCGCCTGTAATCCCAGCTACTTGGGAGGCTGAGGCAGGAGAATCACTTGAACCTGGGAGACGGAGGTTGCAGTGAGCAGAGATCACGCCACTGCACTCCAGCCTGGGCAACAGAGCAAGACTCCATCTCAAAAAAAAAAAGCTTTACAGTGAAAAATCTGCCTTCCACCTTCCCCACATCCTCTCATTCTTTGAATAATAGGTAGCCATCATTATTAGTTACTTATATGTAATTCCAGAGTGTATTCACTTCCTAGGACTTCCTTAAGAAATTCCACAAACCAGTTGGCTTATAACAACAGAAATTTGTTCTCTCACAGTTTTGGAAGCTAGAAGTCCAGAAATCAAGGTGTCAGTAGAGCCATGCCTTCCTCTGAAGGCTTGAGGGGAGAATCCTTCCTTGTTTCTTCGGGCTTCTGGGGGTTGCTGGCAATCTTCAGCGTTCTTGGCTTGGCTCACTGAAATCTCTGTCTCCATCTTTCCCTCGTGTCCCTATCTCCCTGTTTCTTCTGCTCTTGTAAAGACAGCAGTCATATAGGATTTAGGGCCCACCTAACATCCAGTGTGACCTCATCTTAATATAACTATTTTTTTTTTTTCAGTCTTGCTCTGTCATCCAGGCTGGAGTGCACTGGCAGGATCTCAGCTCACTGCAACCTCCACCTCCCAGGTTCAAGCAATTCTCCTGCCTCAGTCTCCTGAGTAGCTGGGAATACAGGTGCCTGCCACCACACCTGGCTAATTTTTGTATTTTTAGTGGAGATGGGGTTTCACCATGTTGGCCAGGCTGGTCTTGAACTCTTGGCCTCAGGTGATTCACCCACCTCGGCCTCTCAAAATGCTGGGATTACAGGCATAAGCCACAGTGCCCAGCCAGTATAACTAATTATATCTTCAAGGACCCTATTTCCAAATCAGATCACATTCTGCATGGACGTGAATATTGGGAGGATATTGTTCGGCCCAGTACACGGTTTCCATATACAAATATGAAATAGGCTCCTATTTTCACCCTGCTTTTTCCTCCAAAGTTAGCATCCTACACACACACTCCTGAACCTAGTGTTTTTCACTTGACAGTGTCCTGTGGACATTTTACCTCAGTGGTATAGAGATAGCTTCCTGATTCTTTTTTTTTTTTTTTAATTTGAGACAGAATCTCGCTCTGTCACCCAGGCTGGAGTGCAATGGTACAATCTCAGCTCACTGCAACCTCCACCACCCGGTTCAAGCAATTCTCCTGCCTAAGCCTCCTGAGTAGCTGGGATTACAGGTGCCTGCCACCAAACCCGGCTACTTTTTTTTTTTTGAGATGAAGTCTTGCTCTTGTCCTCCAGGCTGGAGTGTGATGGCATGGTCTCACCTCACTGCAACCTCTGCTTCCTTGGTTCAAGCAATTCTCCTGCCTTGGCTCCCCGAGTAGCTGGTTTTACAGGCACCTGCCACCACGCCTGGCTAATTTTTGTATTTTTTTTTTTAGTTGAGACAGGGTTTTACCATGTTGGCCAGGCTGGTCTCGAACTCCTGACCTCATGTGATCCACCCACCTCAGCCTCCCAAAATGCTAGGATTACAGGTATGAGCCACCATGCCCAGCCTAATTTTTGTATGTTTAGTGCAGATGGGGTTTCGTCATGTTGTTCTCAAATTTTTGACCTCAAGTGATCTGCCTTCCTCAGCCTCCCAAAGTGCTGGATTACAGGTATAAGCCACCATGCCCAGCCAGCTCCCCGATTCTTTTTGACAGCTGCATAATGTTCTGTTATATGTGTGGGGCATACCTGTGAGCTATTGATGGACACTTGGGTTGGCTGTATTCTTTTGATATCACAAAAATTGCTGTAGTGACTGGCCTCCTGCATAATGGGTGGAACCTCATGAAACTGCTATTTTGGAAGGTCATAAATGGTAGAATATTGGCAGTTTCTTATGGTTCAGTCAGATTACATCATTTGACATGTGGGCAGGGCGTCGCCCACCAGTTTTTGTTTCATGATGGTGAGACAAAAACTTAGATGGTGAGGAGGAGGTTTGGTTGGAAGAGAGGATTTTTCACTTTTTTGTCTCTCTCTATAATCTCTCTCTCTATATATATGTGTGTATATATGTGTGTGTGTGTATATATATATACATATTTTGTTTTTCTTTTTTTTTTTTTTTTGAGACAGGCTCTCGCTCTGCTGCCCAGGCTGGAGTGCAGTGGCATGATCTTGGCTCACTGCAACCTCCGCCTCCCAGGTTCAAACGATTCTCCTGCCTCAGCCACCCAAGTAGCTGGGATTACAGATGTGCACCACCACGCCTGGCTAATTTTTGTATTTTTAGTAGAGAAGGGATTTCACCATGTGGGCCAGGCTGGTCTCGAACTACTGACCTCAGGTGATCTGCCCACCTCGGCCTCCCAAAGTGCTGGGATTACAGAGGTGAGCCACCACACCCGGCCTTTCTCTGGAATCTCTATGCTCATTCAGCCAGTGGTGTGCTGGGGAACATTTGACAATTGACTCTTGGAGGTGGGAAGGAAATGTGTGCCCACATATATGTAAATATATTAAATTTTGCTAATTTAAAGAATAAGTAGGCTGGGCATGGTGGCTCACACCTGTAACCCCAGCACTTTTGGAGGCCAAGGCAGGAGGATTGCTTGAGTCCAGGAGTTTCAGACCAGCCTGGGCAACATAGCAAAACTCCATCTCTACAAACCCCCCACCCCCAAAAAAACAAATTAGCCTGGTGTGGTGCACCTGCCTGTAGTCCCAGCTACTTGGGAGAGTGAGGCGGGAGGATAAAAACCATACACTACAGGAGTTTGAGGCTTCCGTGAGCTATGATGGAGCCACTGCACTCCAGCCTGGGCAAAAGATCAAGACCCTGTCTCAAAAAAAAAAACAAGAAAAAATAATATGTGGTATATGGTTTACAAATAACAATGAAAAGTAAATTTCATATCATCAACTCTCACACAATACTTGCACTGATTTTTGCAAACTCTTACACCCATAGCCAACCTATGGTTGCAATTGATGGAGAAGTGTAGTTCTGACATAAGTGAGATGAAAGTGAAATTAACAAAGACCTATGTTAGAACTGGAACTTCATTTGCCTCTGATGTGAGCGACCTCCTTCCTGAATCAGATGGTAGTTTTAAATACTGGAAGGATATTTCTTCAATTTGCTGTACTCGTCACAATAGAATAGCTACAGGCATGACCCGCTTGTTAGTTTCATCTGCAGTGTTCATGTTTTCCACGCCTTTCTTACAATAGAAAAAACAGTACATCAAACCCTGATTTGCAGCATTGTCTGCTTTCTACCAGGTAAGTTATATGTGACCCAGCAGTTTCACTCATAGCCATAAACCCAAAAGAATAAAAACACACTTTCACACAAAAACTTGTACACAAATCTTCATAGCAGCATTATTCATAATAGCCAAAAAATGGAAAACAACCCAAATGTCTGTCAGTGGATGAATGGATAAACGAAATGTGATACAGCCATACAATGGACTATTATTTGATCATAAAAAGGAATGAAATATTGATATGCGCTACAACACAGATGGACCGTGAAAGCACTGTGCTAAGTGAAAAGAGTCGCAAAGGACCACATATTGTATGACTATATTATTATGAAATGTCCAGATCCAGAATAGGCAATCCATAGAGACAGAAAGTAGACTAATGGAAGCCTAGTGCTGAGCAGGATGAGGAGAGTAGGGGTAGAGGGAGATTGACAGTTAAGCGGTATGAGATTTCTTTCTGGATTGGTGAAAGTATTCTGAAATTGACTGGTGATGGCCATACTGTTCTGTGAATATACTAAAAACTACGGATGTGTACTTTTTTTTTTTTTTTGAGACGGTGTCTCTGTCACCCAGGTTGCAGTGCAGTGGCTTGATCTCGGTTCACTGCAACCTCCGCTTCCTAGATTCAAGCAATTCTTGTGCCTCAGCCTCCTGAGTAGCTGAAATTACAGGTATGCATCACCACGCCTGGTTAATTTTTGTATTTTTAGTAGAGACGGGGTTTCACCATGTTGGCCAGGCTGGTCTCGAACTGCTGACCTCGAACTGCTGACCTCAGATGATCCACCCGCCTTGACCTCCCAGAGTGCTGGGATTACAGGCATGAGCCACCCAGCCCAGCTGTGATGTGTACTTATGATGTGTACTTCTGATGCAGGGCAGGCAGGCCCCACATTGGAGCTTAGCCCAGGAGGGTTTTTTGCTTCACCCAGAAAAGAATTCAAGGGTGAGCCAAATGTAGAAGAAAACAGCTTTATTGAAGTGTCAGTGTTATAGCTTAGGCAGTGGTACAGCTCCATGACTGCTTCTACGGAATAGGGCTGCCCCACAGGCAGTGTGCTGAGATTAGCAGCTTAGGGCAGTTCTGCAGTCAGATTTATACCTACTTTTAATTGCATGCATATTAAGAGGCGGTTTATGAAGACATGTCTAGGGAAAGGGTAGTAACTTCTAGGTTGTGGGGCCATAGCCATAGAAACAGGCAGTAACTCTCAAGTGTTGCCCTGACAATGGTAAACTGACATGTTGCACAGGTGGGCGTGTCTTATGAAAAGCTGTTTTCCCACCCCATCCCTGTTTTAGCTTGTCCTTGATTTGTTCCAGTGTCTGAGCCAAGCCTCTGGAGTCAAGTGCCCCCTCCTATCTCACTTCTATAGCCTCCCAACCCGGAGCTCTCAAAAAACAGGGTGAAGATTGAGTAGTGAGATCTTGGCAGCCCTCGAGTGTAAGCCTCATTCACTCTTCTTTCTCCCTCTTTGGTTTGTATCAACAGGAGACAGAAGAGAACAAAACCAAAGGATTTGATTACTTACTAAAGGCCGCTGAAGCTGGCGACAGGCAGTCCATGATCCTAGTGGCGCGAGCTTTTGACTCTGGCCAGAACCTCAGCCCGGACAGGTACTGCAGCTGTCACCCAGGAGGAGCTGGTAGGAACCTGGGCTGCAGGTGGGCGCTTGTCCTCGGTATCAGCACAGGCCTGGGTTCCAGTCTTGGCTGCCCCATGACCAGTCCAGCAACCATGGGCAACTTATTTTACCTCCCTGGCCTCAGTTTCTTCATATTGTAAACTGGGAGTAATTATAGCACCTGTATCCTGGGGTTGTCCCATGAAGGGTAAACGAGATGCTGACTGTAACCCTTGCGGTGCCTGGCACATAAAGCATGTGGTATGGCTGGGCGCGGTGGCTCATGCCTGTAATCCCAGTACTTTGGGAGGCCAAGGCGGGCAGATCACTTCAGGTCAGGGGTTCAAGACCAGGCTTGCCAACATGGTGAAACTCTGTCTCTACTGAAAATACAAAAATTAGGGCCGGGCATGGTGGCTCACGCATGTAATCTTAGCACTTTGGGAGGCCAAGGAGGGCAGATCATGAGGTCAGGAGTTCAAGACCAGCCTGACCAACATGGTGAAACCCCATCTCTACTAAAAATACAAAAAAAGAAAAGCTGGCCTGGTGGCACACACCTGTAATCCCAGCTACTCAGGAGGCTGAGGCAGGAGAATCGCTTGAACCCGGGAGGCGGAGATTGCCGTGAGCCAAGATCGAGTCACTGCACTCCAGCCTGGGGTACAGAGCAAGATTCCCTCTCAAAAAAAAAAAAAAAAAAGATAAAAGTCATGTGATACGAGGCAGCCATTCTAACCAGTATAGGTAATGATTTGCCTGAGAAAAAAATCTGAAAGACTATGCAGCATCCAGGTGAGAGTGGGTATCCCTAGATAGGATTATGGGTGATTTTAATTGACTTTTCCTACTTATTATTATATTTTAGAAACAGGGTCTCACTCTGTCACCCAGGCTGGAGGACAGTGGTGCCATCATAGCTCACTGCAGCCTCTACCTCCTGGGCTCAAGCAGTCCTCCCGCCTCAGCCTCCTGAGTAGGTGGGACTACAGGCATGTACCACCACACCCAGCTAAATTTTTAAATTTGTTGGAGAGATGGGGTCTCACTATGTTGTTCAGACTGGTCTCGAACTCCTGGGCTCAAGCAACCTTCCCTCCTCAGCCTCCCAATGGGATTACAGGTGTGAGCCACCACGCCTGACTAGGGCAGGTATTTTGGCTCTATTTTTTGGGTGACTAAACTAGTTCTGAGATGTAAAGGGGCTTGCCCATGGTCAAATATTTAGCAAGTGGCAGAGCCAACTTACATCTTCTCACCCCTCCTCTGATGTACTGTCTACTGGCATGGAGGAGAGGTAAACAAAAAAGACTGACATGATTGTATTAGGTCAAATGTCAGTGTATACATATGGTGCCCATTGAGTGCACTGGGGAAGCACATCATGCATGGGGCGGGGCCTGGAGCTGGGCACTGAGTATTTGCATCTGTGCTTTCTCTTCCTGGCCTTTGTCTACCTTTTATTTCCATTTGAGGTGATAAGTTTTTATTGACTTGTAAAAGTTCTTTATATATTAAAGCTATTAACCCTTTGGTATACTTTTCTCTTTATTTTTTATTTTTATTTTTTAATTATTATTATTTATTTATTTATTTATTTTTGAGATGGACTCTCACTCTGTCAAACAGGCTTGAATGCACTGGTGCAACCTCAGCTCACTGCAACCTCCACCTCCTGGGTTCAAGTGATTCTCCTGCCTCAGCCTCCCAAGTAGCTGGTATTACAGGTGCCTGCCACTGTACCCGGCTAATTTTTATATTTTAAATACAGACAAGATTTCACCATGTTGGCCAGGCTTGTCTCGAACTCCTAACCTCAGGCAGTCTACCTGCCTCTGCCTCCCAAAGTGCTGGAATTACAGACCTGAGCCACCACTCTCAGCCTTTTTATTTTATTTTTGAGACAGAGTCTTTCTCTGTATCCCAGGCTGGAGTGCAATGGCGCGATCTCGGCTCACTGCAATCTCCACCTCCCAGGTTCAAGTGATTCTCCTGCCTCAGCCTCCCCAGTAGCTGGAACTACAGATGTGCATCATGATACCCAGCTAAATTTTGTATTTTTAATAGAGACAGGGTTTCACCATGTTGGCCAGGCTTGACTTGAACTCCTGACCTCGGGTAATCCTGCCTGCCTCAGCCTCCCAAAGTGCTGGGATTACAGATGTGAGCCACCATGCCTGGCCTATTTTTTATCTATTTATTTATTTTTGAGACAGGGTCTCTCTGTCACCCAGGCTGGAGTGCAGTGGTGTGATCATAGCTAACTGCAGCTTTGACCTGGGCTCAAGTGATCCTCCTGCTTAAGCCTCCTGCGTAGCTGGGACCATAGGCATGTGCCACCCTACCTGGCTAATTTTTATAATTTTTTGTAGAGACAAGGGCTTGCTATGATGCCCAGGCTGGTCTCAAACTCCTGGCCTCAAGCAATCCTCCTACCTCAGCCTCCCAAAGTGCTGGTATTACAAGTGTGAGCCGCTGTACCTGGCCACATTTCATTTTAAAAGACATTTTTTTTTTCAGATATGTCTACCATAGATAGAGGGAGGGCACAGATGCCACATAATGACCATTGTTTACTGGGTTTGGGGACACACTGGTTTTTAATATTTATTTAGTTAAAATCTATCAAAAGTATTTCTTTATTGCTTCTGCTCTAGTCATTTCCTTATTCTTCTTCCTTATTCAAAGCAGTTCCAACCCCACCCATGCAAAGAACATTAATTAAGGGCCAGCTATGGGTAAGGCAGGGCTCTGTGCAGGCCCAAATTTGCGTTTAAGGGATTCAGGCCCCAGAAGTTACTATCCAATAGGCGAAGGAGAAGGTGCTAGAAACGCCAAGGAAGGATGGACGCCCTCGCCAATGGGATAGCATCGGGTTGGGGTGGACAGGGGTCAGCGATTAGGCCTTTCCCATATGTTTTCAGGCCAATTTTGCTTTGCCCTTTAAGACCAGGGAAGGTCAGAGCAGAAAGGAGATAAACAATCTAGTCTAGTGTCTCCTAGTCAGTGTTAAAACCGAGCCCAGCATGGTGGCTCATGCCTGTAATCCTAACACTTTGGGAGGCTGAGGCGGGTGGATCACGAGGTCAGGAGATTGAGACCAGACTGAACAACACTCTGAAACCCCATCTCTACTAAAAATACAAAATTAGCTGAGTGTGATGGCAGATGCTTGTAATCCCAGCTACTTCAGCTACTTGGGAGGTTGAGGGAGAAGAATCACTTAAACCCGGGAGGCAGAGGTTACAGTGAGCCAAGATCACATCATTCCACTCCAGCCTGGGCAACAAGCATGAAATGCCGTCTTAAAACAAAAACAAAAGTTTGTTGAGCATGTCACCAATAATTTTCAAATGGTCCATTTTTTAAATTTAACTTTTATTTATTTATTTATTTGAGACACAATCTTGCTCTGTCACCCAGGCTAGAGTGCGATGGTGTAATCATAGCTCACTGTAGTCTCAACCTCTCAGGCTCAGGCTATCCTCCCGCCTCAGCCTCTCGAGTAGCTGGGACCATAGCCATGCACCACCATACCCAACTAACTTGTATTTTTTGTAGAGCTGGGGTTTTGCCATGTTGCCCAGGCTGGCCTCAAACTCCTGGGCTCAAGAGATCCTCCAACCTAGGCCTCCCAAAGTGCTGGGATCACAGGCATGAGCCATATCTGGCCATTTTTTAATAAGATAAAATAAAGTCAAGATTATTTCCTGAGCACCATCCCAGCCAGCCACTTGCTTGCTTTTTTTCATTTACCAGACATTTATTGACACTATGCTGTTTGCCAGACCCTGGGAATGCAGTAGACAAATACAGCAAAATAGACAAGGGTCTCCTGCCTTCATGGGGCTTACCTTCTAGTCAAGGGACACCATGATAAACAAGTGAATAAGGAGAATTAAAGATTTTGGTAGTTGTAAGAAACAGTGTTTGGGGGCAGAATCTCTAAAGAGGTGATATGTGAGCTGAGATTGGAGGGATGATGAGTGTCTTAGCCTGTTCTGTGCTGGTAACAGAATATCTGAGGCTGAGGAATTTCTCATGAACAGAAATTTGCTGGCTCTTAGTTCTGGAGGCTGGGAAGTCTAATATCAGTATGCCAGCGTCTTGCATGGGCCTTCTTGCTGTGTCATCACCTGGCAGAAGAGAAGGAGAGGGAGAGCAGGTCAAGCACGGTGGCTTATGCCTGTAATCCCAGCACTTTGGGAGGCTGAGGCAGGAAAATCACTTGAGTCCAGGAGTTCAAGACCAGCTTGGGCAACCTGGTAAGAGTGTGTCTCTATAAAAAAATTTTAAAAATTAGCCAGGCGTGGTGACATGCCCCTGTCATCCCAGCTACTCAGGAGGTTAAAATGGGAGGATTGCTGGATCCCAGGACTTTGAGGCTGCAGTGAGCTATGATTGTGCCACTGCACTCCTGCCTGGGCAACAGAGTGAAACGCTATCTCAAGAAAAGAAAAAAGAGAGAGCAAAAGGGGGCTGAACTCGCCCTTTTATAACAAATCCACTTTCCTCATACTGGCAGAAATCCATTCATGAGGGCAGAACCATCAAAGCCCAATCACCTCTCAAAGATCCCAACTCCTAATACCTCACAATGGCAAGCAAATCTCAACATGGGTTTTGGAGGGGACACACGTTCCAACCAGAGCAAGGAGCCAGGTGCAGAAAGAGTTGGAGGAAGAATCTTCCAAGGTGAGGGAACAGCGGGTGCAAGGGCCACAGAGCAGGCAGGAGCAGGCATCGTTGGGGAATGGATGGCAGCCGGTGAGCCTGGTGCAAAGGTAGACAAACAGGAGACCGTCCTGGAGGGCAGCGCCTGTCAGACAGGGCCGCAGAGGGCACTGTGGCAGCAAGGCAGGGACAGCAAGTCATCAGACCTATTGCTTCTGGAATGTTTCACGAGACCCACAGGCCTTCTTACCTGTGTCGCTGTATTTGCTCTTTCCTGATATACTATAAATAGTTACTCACACGGATTACACCCAAAGAAAAAGAGCCCTCCGCCCTGTTTGCTGTGTATTCTGTGGTGCGTGGGTTTGGCTGGAAACTTTGTGTGCCCTGGCTGGTTTGGCCATACATGGGCTGCAGTAGGAGGAGTTGAGGGTCGACGGGCAGAGCTGGAAGTGGAGACTCAACTATTCTGGGGTGAGTTCTGCATTGTGCTGGAGGCAATTTTACATAACAAAATTCACAGCTGTCCCGCACAGCAGAGCATACGGTGATTGCCATTAGTGCAGATGGCTCTAGAGGCCTCTGCAGAGGACCCCGCCCCCAATCCACTTCTCTACAAGTCAGAGGGCAGCTTAGCTAGGACACTCAGGCATTGCTAATGCTAGCTCATGGCTGCCTCTGTGTAGACTGTAAAAATGGGCCCCTTCCTCAAGGGGGTGTCCTAGCTAAGCTGCCCTTTACTTTCATCTATGGGAAAATTGTTGTAATATACTGATTTTATTAAGGAAAGCAACTTGACTCCTCTTTTTTTTTTTTTTTTTTTAACACAGGGTTATACTCTATTGCCCAGGCTGGAGTGCAGTGGCATGATCATAGCTCACTGCAGCCTCTAACTCCTGGGCTCAAGCTATCCTCCCACCTCAGCCTCCGGAGTAGCTGGGACTACAGGTGTCCATCACCACACCCAGCTTTTTGTGTGTTTATTGTATTTTTTAATTTTTGTGGGTACATAGTAAGTGTGTATATGGGTTACATGAGCTATTTTGATATGGGCATGGAATGTGTAATAATCACATCAGGATAAATGGGATATCCATCATCTCAAGCATTTATTCATTGTGGTATAAACAATTTCTTTATACTCTTTTAGTTATTTTAAAATATACAATTACATTATTTTTGACTATAGTCACTGTTTTTTTGTTGTGTTTTTGTTTTTTTGTAGAGACACGGTCTCTCTACGTTGCCTGGGCTGGTCAACTGCTCTCTTAATAAATATTGGCCGAGCACAGTGGCTCATGCCTGTAATCTCAGCACTTTGGGAGGCCTAGGCATGTGGATCACTCGAGGTTAGGGGTTCGAGACCAGCCTGGCCAACGTGGTGAAATGCCGTCTTTACTAAAAATACAAAAAATTAGCTGGGTGTGGTGGCGTGCACCTGTAATCCTAGCTACTCAGGAGGCTGAGACAGGAGAATTGCTTGAACTTGAGAGGCGGAGGCTGCAGTGGGCCGAGATTGCACCACTGCACTCCAGCCTGGGCAACAGAGCAAGACTCTGTCTCAAAAATGAATGAATGAATGAGTGAATGAATATCACAGTATGAAGGTGCCTCATAGATGTATTGGCCTTGGACAAGATAGGTCGTGAACCATAGGTGGTGGCCCTGCTGGGATCCCTGACTTGCCCCTCCTGCTGGAAGGCCCTCCTCCTGCCACCCTGTTGCCATGGTAACCTCCACCTTTCCCTCTGTATCTCCTGGCAAGGTGCCAAGACTGGCTAGAGGCCCTGCACTGGTACAACACTGCCCTGGAGATGACGGACTGTGATGAGGGCGGTGAGTACGACGGAATGCAGGACGAGCCCCGGTACATGATGCTGGCCAGGGAGGCCGAGATGCTGTTCACAGGAGGCTACGGGCTGGAGAAGGACCCGCAGAGATCAGGTAGGGCCTGGCAGACCTGCCCCTGGGCTGCAACAGGGCTGGGCAGGGAGGAACCTAATTTCCATTCCACTGGGAGTTATTTATGACAAGATGACAGGCTGAATCTTCTTCCAGGGAGGGGAATTTATGGAGCTAGTATGAAGATGAACATTGTTATTTTAATGGTTATATATTACGGCTTTGTAGGGGGTTTTTGCAATTTTAAAAACTGAATTGAGATTTTCATAACAAAATTCACCATCTTAAAGTATATAGTTTAGTAGGGGGGTTTTCCTTTCCTTTCTTTCTTTTTTTTTTTTTTTTTTTGAGACGGAGTCTCGCTCTATAGCCCAGACTGGAGTGCAACGGCATAATCTTGGCTCACTGCAGCCTCCACCTCCCGAGTTCCAGCGATTCTCCTGCCTCAGCCTCCTGAGTAGCTGGGATTACAGGTGTGCCACCATGCACAGCTGATTTTTGTATTTTTAGTAGAGACAGGGTTTTGCCATGTTGGCCAGGCTGGTCTCGAACTCCTGACCTCAAGTGATCGGCCCACCTCGGCCTCCCAAAGTGCTGGATTACAGGCGTGAGCCACCACACCTGGCCCAGAGTTTCACTCTTGTAGCCCAGGCTGGAGTGGGCCATCTCTGCTCCCTGCAACCTTCACCTCCCAGGTTCAGGTGATTCTTGTGCCTCAGCCTCCTGCATAGCTGGGACTACAGGCACACACCCAGCTAATTTTTCTGTTTTTAGTAGAGATGGGGTTTCACCATGTTGGCCAGACTGGTCTTGAACTCCTGACCTCAGGTGATCTGCCCGCCTCAGCCTCCCAAAGTGCTGGGATTATACGTGTGAGCCACCATGCCTGGCCTCCTTTCCTTTTCTTTCTTTCTTTTTTCTTTGAAATAGAATCTCACTGTGTCACTCAGGCTGGAGTGCAGTGGCACAATCATAGCTCACTCCAGCCTGGAACTCCTATGCTCAAGCAATTCTCCTGCCTCAGCCTCCCAAGCAGCTGGGACTACAGGCACTTGCTTCCACACCCAGCCAATTTTTAAAAGTTCTTTGTAGTGACAGAGTCTTGCTATGTTGCCCAGGCTGGTCTTGAACTCCTAGCCTCAAGCAATCTGCTGCCTTGGCTTCCCAAAGTCTTTGGATTACAGATGTGAGCCACTGCACCTGGTCCTAGTGGGTTTTAGTATAGTCATAATGTTGTACAATCATCACTGCTATGTAATTCCAGAACATTTCCATCACCCCAAAAAGAAATCCCGTACCAGTTAGCAGTCCTCCCCGAACCTAGCAGCCACTATACTTTTTGTCCCTATAGATTTGCCTATTCTGGAGATTTTATATAACTGGGAGTATACAATTTGTGGCTTTTTGTATCTGCTTCTTTCATTTAGCATAACTTTTTCAAGATTCATCTGTGTTGAAGTGTGTTATCAGTACTTCATTCCTTCTTATTACTACATAATATTCCATTGTGTGGATATACAGCCTTTATCCATTCATCAGTTGATAGACAAGTTATATATATATTTTTTCTGTTACATAATGTATTAGTCTTCTTGGGCTGCCAAAACAAAATACTATAGAGTGGGTGGTTTAAACTAAAAAAATTGCTGGGCACAGTGGCTCATGCCTGTAATCCCAGCACTTTGGGAGGCCAAGATGGGAGGATCACTTGAGTCTAGGAGTTCAAGACCAGCCTGGGCAACATAGGTAAACCTCACCTCTACAAAAGAAATTGTTTTAATTAACTGAGTGTGGTGGCACACTCAGTGAGCTATGATCATACCACCGCACTTCAGCCTGGGCAACAGAGTGAGACCCTGTCTCAAAAAACAACAAAAAAAATTATTTCTCCCAGTTCTGGAGGCTGGGAATTCCAAGATCAAGGTGCTGGCCAGTTTGGTTTCTGGCTTGTAGAAAACAGCTTTCTCACTGTGTCCTCACATGACCTTTCTCCTGGATGCAAGTGGGGAGACAGCAAGAGAGCTCTGCTGTCTCTTTTGCTTCCTAAACGGGAATGAGCTCTGTGTGATTAGGGCCCTACCCTTATGACCTCATTTAAGCTTTATCACCTCCTCACAGGCTGCTAGAATATGAACGTCCCCTCCAAGTCTCATGTTGAACTGTAATCACCACTGTGAAGGTGTCAAGAGGTGGGACTGTTAAGAGGTGATTAATGTTGTTATCATGCAGATTGGTCAGTCATCACAAAAGTAGCTTTGTTATAAAAGCAAATTTGGCCCCCTCTTGCTCGCTTGCTTTCTACGTCTCTTGCTCTTTGCCTTCTGGCATGGGATGATACAGCACCAAGGCCTGTGCCAGATGCTGGTGCTATGCTCTTGGACTTGCCGGGCTCTAGAACTGTGAGCCAAATAAATTTCTTTTCATTATAAATTATCTAGTCTGTGGAATTCTGTCATAGCAACATAAAATGGACTAAGACACAGACTGTGTGTCTCCAAATACAGTGCAGTTACATCATGAATGAAGAGTTCAACATATGAATTTGTGGATGGGGAGCCCAGTGGGGACACAGCATTCAGTCCCTAACATATAATAAACATACTAAGTTCCTAATTTCACAGGTATAGGATGAGGCTAAGTTTTAAAAGTTTTTAAGTTATATTTTAAAAATTAACAAAGAATAATGCAAATCTAGGCTGGGCAGTGGCTCGCGCCTGTAATCCCAGCACTTTGGGAGGCCAAGGCAGGCAGATCACCTGCGGTCAGGAGATCGAGACCAGGCTGGGCAACATGATGAAACCCCATCCCTACTAAAAATACAAAAATTAGCTGGGCGTGGTGGCAGGTGCCTGTAATCCCAGCTACTCAGGAGGCTGAGGCAGGAGAATCGCTTGAACCCCAGAGGCAGTGGTGACAGTGAGCTAAGATTCCGCCACTGGACTCCAGCCTGGGTGACAGAGTGAGACTCCATCTCAAAAAAAAAAAAAAAAAAAAAAGAAGAAGAATGATGCAAATCTATAATCTTTTATTTGAAAATTTTAAATCCAAAAAGCTCCAAAAACCTGAAGTATATTTGTATGTTTTACACAAATTCACTTGGTAAAACCTGACCTAGCTGACATGAAGCTGTTTGTAAGTCGTTATTTCTTCCACTTTTGCACATCCCCACTTAGTTCTGCAAAAGTTCTCACCCTGATTCTCATTGGCTCAAATTAGTTCTCAGCCTGATTCTCATTGGCTCAAACTCAATCATCTACATACCCCAAACCAACAGTAGTTGTTTAGATGGCTTACTCTGATTGGCCATGACTAAATCTGGACCAATCGCTGTAGCTTGGTGGGGGATAGGAGGAGTGCTATTATTGGCTAGATTTTATCACAGGCCCACCTTTAGAGCCCCGCCCGGAACACCTGGAGGGAGAGGGCACACGGAGTAGTTTGAGTTCTTAAGGAAACGTCAGGGTGTTCTTCTGGGAGGGGTGATGGGGGACACTGGGCTGGCAAAAACAACAGGTGGTTCACCTCTTTTTGCCCCCCTTTGCTGTCTTTCAGGGGACTTGTATACCCAGGCAGCAGAGGCAGCGATGGAAGCCATGAAGGGCCGACTGGCCAACCAGTACTACCAAAAGGCTGAAGAGGCCTGGGCCCAGATGGAGGAGTAACCAGGAAAATCACTGCCGGCTAGTCCCAAGCAAACGGGCTAGGAGGAAAGATTAAAAAAACAACAACAACAACTTATTTAGTTTGGGGAGGGGAAGCATTTTTAAGTGTGTTGTAAAATCAAATTTTATATTTCATTTTTTGACTCTTGAAAAATGTCTTTGCTCCTTGGCAGCTACCAGCAGAGACTCTATAGCTGTCTCTTAGGGCAGTATTTTGGGGAAGTGGGGCTTGAAGAAGCAGCCTAATGAACCAACATACCGTTTTGTGTGTGGTTTTTTTTGTTTGTTTGTTTGTTTGTTTTGAGACAGAGTCTTGCTCTGTCACCCAGGCTGGAGTGCAGTGACATGATCTTAGCTCACTGCAACCTCCGCCTCCTGGGTTCAAGTGATTCTCCTGCCTCAGCCTCCCAAGTAGCTGGGATTACTGGTGCACACCACCACACTCAGCTAATTTTTGCATTTTTAGTAGAGATGGGGTTTCACCATGTTGGCCAGGCTGGTCTCGAACTCCTAACCTCAGGTGATCCACCTGCCTCAGCCTCCCAAAGTGCTGGGATTACAGGTGTGAGCCACCATGCCTGCCCATTTTGTGGTTCTATTTTCATTTTTATTTCTTTTTTTTTTTTTGTCACGAGATATAAGAAAGTGCTTTTTGCCTTGAATGGACAATTTTAGGGCTGTGCTCACTAGTCTTTTCAGGCTGGACTGAAATGTCGGGCCCATGGAGCCCTGTGTTTTGTGCATCGGGATGAGAAATGAAGCACTTCACGCTGGCTTTCCTAAGTCACGGGGCGTGTATTGCCGTGGCTTAGTGCAAAGCATTCTTTCTCAGAGCATTTAGAGGCATGCGTGGCATTTTTTCAGTGGGTGTGAGATTGCACAATACCCAGGCTCCCTTCTACTGTGGGGAAGGGCCTGCATGTTGGCTGTTTTTTAAACTTCTAGTTCAATTTCCTTCCATAATGCTACTGATTTTCTGGCATACAGCCGAATTCCATCTTTTAAGCATGCTTTCTACGGTGGGCTTTTCAAAACAGGTTTGAGTTTTGTATGCACACGTTTACTACCTCTAACTCCTACATCAGCTAGTGTGGAAGAGGGTGCACCTCAAAGCTTTTACACGTAAGGACAGCGGCTTGGAATGTGAGAGCCTTTTCTCCAAGCAGACCCACACTCTGCATCTCAGTGGCAGCTCCCACAACGTGACTGCAATGTCTCTTATACAGTATTCCTTGGTGTTTTCTTAGTGTCTGGATGTTCTTACGTGAAATCTGCTCCCCAGCCCTGGTCCTTGGCATTTTCTGCTTGAAGCTGGGCTGATTTTCTTGTAATTTACAGCAGGACGCTTTCAGCAGCAGTCTCTTGGGATTTTATCTAAGATGTTTGAGGATGAGAGGGCAAGAACTATAAACACTCATTAATTCTAGTAGTCTCCCCATGGCCAGACAATGGCGATTGTTATTTAATGAGCTTTTCCTTTCAATGGAATTCAGCTCTCACATTAGTATGATTTCATTTGATGTTTCAAATAGCAAAGATGCTAGGTGCGGTGGCTCCCGCCTGTAATCTCAGCACTTTGAGGAGGGCCAAGGTGGGAGGATTGCTTGAGCTCAGGACTTCAAGACCAGCCTGGGTAAACATGGCGAGACCCTGTCTCTACCAAAACAACAAAAAAAAGACAGACTGCTTTGATCAACCCTAAATGCAAAAGCAGCCTATTTTTCTTTGTTTAAAAGTCAAAACATAAAAAAGCAGAGTATAACATACAAACCATTCTTAACTATTCATTAAAATGGGTCCTTCAACACCTTAGTGGGGTTTGTTGTTGTTGCTTATGCAGAGAGATTATTTTCTTTTTATTATTTTATAATTTTTGAAATAGAGATGGGGTCTCACTGTGTTGCCCAGGCTGGTCTCGAACTCCTGGACTTAAGTGAGCCTCCCGCCTCAGTCTCCCAAAGCGCTGGGATTACAGGCAGGAGCCACTGAGCCCAGCCAAGACTTCAGTGTTGACTGCTTTGGAGGCACAAACCCATGCAAGCGTTAGTTCCAAAGTTCAGTGTGTACCCTTAAATGAACAATGAAGCAGGTAAAATTACCCTTGAAAAAAATCCCTTGGACCACCCATAAATGACAGTGACTTTTTCAATATGGACTCATCATAGCCAGTTTTCCTTTTGAAGTTGGAACTGATCACCCTTTTGTCATCTGTACCAGATCAGTAGTTGGCTTGTGTTACATTTTGTGTGTGTGTGTGCGTGTTTTAAACCAGTGCATATAAATTGTATGTTAAATGTAAGTAACTTTAAGTTGACTTATCTCTTCACAGTAATCAAGCCTCACGTAATTCATGCTTTTTAAATTCAGCCAGCCCCCCCTCTCTGAAATTTTATTATGTAAATAATTTGTGTTCCCTGATCACTCGTTTAAGTTCTTAGTTGTATGTCATCTCTTCTCTAGCAGGAATTGGCAAACTTTTTTGTAAAGGGGTAGAAAGTGAAGATTTTAGGCTTTGCAGGCCATATAGCCTCTGCTGCAAATGCTCAGCCCTGCTGTTGTAATGTAAAAGCTGCCACAGACACTACATGAACACGAATGAGTGTGGCTGGTGTTCCAATAAAACTTTATTTACACAAACGGGTGGCCCTTTTGGGCTGTAGTTTGTCAACCCTTGCTCTAACCCTTGACTGAGAGCTACTTTATTAAGCCCTGAGGGCAGGAGCTATCCCAATTTTGTGTTCCCCAGGGCACCAAAACACAGTGCTTTGGCATAGAGTAGGCACTCAACAAGTGTGTGAACAGATGGAGAGCCAGCCCTAGTCAGTGCACTCACCCTTTGAGGCTCTGGTTCCTCCAAACAATGATTCGTTGTCTGGATTGGCTGGAACTGTCACCCCCGCAATTCTACTCCCCACCCACCCATGTGACCTTAATGTCAGTTGCTGGTCTGTTGCTCTTCGGGGAGGGAGAGATGGCCTGGATACAGAGCTAAGCAAATGCTTCTTTAAGGGCCCTTAAAAGTGAAAAGTAACTTGCAAGAGGTTGAGATCCTTCTGAGCTAGGAGAACTTATTCCACCTTCAAAACCTAGTTTGGGCTGGGTGCAGTGGCTCACGCCACTTTGGGAGGCTGAGGTGGGCGGATCACCTGAAGTCAGCTACTCGGGAGGCTGAGGCAGGAGAATCGCTTGAACCCAGGAGGCAGAGGTTGCAGTGAGCCGAGATTGCGTCACTGCACTCCAGCCTGGGCGACAGAGTGAGACTCCGTCTCGAAACCAAAAACAAGAAAAACCCCTAGTTTTGTGCCTTCTGAAGATAGTTAGGACATCTTCTTTTTCCGCAAATGCTGGACATGCCAAAAACCTAACGCAAAACCCAGGACATTCCAGCCCAACTGGGACGATATCAGAGACCATCTTCAAGTGCAAGAAGCAGGTGAAAGCCCAGGAAATTGGCAGAGCCAGGATTATCATCCAGTACTTTCATTTCACAAATGGAGAAACCGAGGTTCTGCCAGCTAGATTTTTTTTCACAGTGTCACTGCTAGCAAGCCACTAAGCTGGAGCTGGGATTTGAGAGCTGCTGCTATTTAGAGGATCTTGGGAATAAAATTTAAACTGGAGTTTAATGGCCCTTTCAGTTTTGCTATAGGCAAGAGAATAAAATGAATGAATGGATAGGTGGCTTTATGGGTGTAAGAAAGAAGCGAAAAAAACTCCCAAACCCCAGTGTTCCTGAATATCTGTTCTCCCCCTGACCACTCTGGGAATTTATCAAATGCAGCTTTGACCTCCAAGCCAAGTAAACTGCTCTTGTTGCTATTTTAGTGGTTTTTGTTTTTTTAAGACACAAGGTCTCACTTTGTTACTCAGGCTGGAGTGCAGTGGCATGATCATAACTCATTGTAGGCTCAACCTCCTGGGCCCCAGTGATCCTCCTGCCTCAGCCTCTCAAGTAGCTAAAACTACAGATGTGCACCATCACATCTGGCTAATTTTTTTTTTTTTTTTTTTGAGGTGGAGTCTCGCTCTGTTGCCCAGATTCAAGTGCAATGGCACGTTTTGGCTCACTGCAACCTCTGCCTCCCAGGTTCAAGCGATTCTCCCTGTCTCGGCCTCCCGAGTAGCTGGGACTACAGGCACCTGCCACCACGCGCAGCTAATGTTTGTATTTTTAGTAGAGACGGGGGTTTCACCATGTTGGCCAGGCTGGTTTCAAACTCCTGACATTAGGTGATCCACCTGCCTCGGCCTCCCAAAGTGCTGGGATTACAGGCATGAGCCACCGTGCCAAGCCACGCCTGGCTAATTTTTTAAAATTATTTTTTGCAGAGACAGAGTTTCACTATGTTGCCCAGGCTGGTCTTGAACTCCTTGGCCTCAAGTGATCCTCCCACCTCAGCCTCCCAAAGCATTGGGGTTACAGGCGTGAGCCACTGCACCTGGCCCTGTTTTCATGGCTTTTATTTCCTTTCATCCCACACATTTGTCTGCAGTACTAGACATGTTTTACAAATCAACAAGTTTACACAAGTATATGCAGCTTGTTTTGGGGGGAAAGGAGACAAAATATGCATATTTTCTGTGTGGATTTGTGCCTCTTAATTGTGTTTCTAGTCTCTAAGGTGACCCTTTAACCTACTCAAGATGGGGCCCAGAGAAGTGGCCTGCGTTACAGATTTATTTTGGCATATGTACTAAGTTCCATTTTCTCTTTACAAATAAAGTGTTTTCTTTCTTTTCTGTCTCAGACTCAAATGTCTCCTGGTTTGGAAAAAAAAAAAAAATGGCCAGGCGTGGTGCCTCACGCCTGTAATCCCAGCACTTTGGGAGGCCGAGGCGGGCGGGATCACCTGAGGTCAAGAGTTCCAGACCAGCCTGGCCAACATGATGAAACCCTGTCTGTACTAAAAATACAAAAATTGGCCGGGCATGGTGGCGCACACCTGTAGTCCCATCTGCTCAGGAGGCTGAGACAGGAGAATTGCTTAAAGCCGGAAGATGGAGGTTGCAGTGAGCCCAGATCCTGTCATTGCACCCCAGCCTGGGCAACAAGAGCGAAACTCCATCTCAAAAAAAAAAGGTGGGGGATCGGGTGCGGTGGCTCACGCCTGTAATCCCAGCACTTTGGGAGGCTGAGGCAGGCGGATCACAAGGTCAGTAGATCGAGACCATCCTGACTGACATGGTGAAACCCCGTCTCTACTAAAAATACATTAAAAAAAAAAAAAAAAAAAAGCTGGGCGTGGTGGCAGGCGCCTGTAGTCCCAGCTACTCGAGAGGCTGAGGCAGGAGAAAGGCGTGAACCCGGGAGGTGGAGCTTGCAGTGAGCTGAGATCACGCCGCTGCACTCCAGCCTCGGCGACAGAGCAAGACTGTCTCAAATAAATAAATAAATAAATAAATAAATAAATAAAGCTGCTGCAGGCAGGGGTCAACGAGAAGGCTCATACCCCATCTGAAAGGGGCAGCCATGATTCAACTTCAAATGATTGCCACCATGGGAAGCGCGGGCTCAATGTTACCCTATTTTCCAATTTTTCAAGAGCTGCTGAAAACTTTTTTTTTTTTAATGCAAGGCCTTCTGTTCTTTAACATTTGTAATAAATTCTAATAACTTTTCAAAGCCTTCCAGATTTGGCTCGTCTGCTGTCAGTTTGCTTTAGAGAAAGTATTAGAACCTCTCGTTTCTTCATTTGCTCATCTATAAAACATAGAGTTTTTCTGTTTGTTTTTCAGACAGTCTCACTCTGTTGCCCAGGCTAGAGTGCAGTGGCAAGATCTTGGCTCACTGCAGCCTCTGCCTCCGAGGTTCAAGTTATCCTCCCACCTCAGCCTCCTCACGAGTAGCTGGGACTACAGGTGAGCACCACCGCGCCCGGCTAATTTTGAAGGGGGGCAGGTTGTGTTTCATCTTGTTTTTTCCTTTCTTCCAGTGGAGACAGGGTTTTGCCATCATGCCCAGGCTGGTCTCGAACTCCTGGGCTCAAGCAATGCACCGGCCTTGGCCTCCCAAACTGCTGGAATTGCAGGCGTGAGCCACCGTGCCCGGCCTGAAGAATAATTTTTACCATTACAGAGTTGTAAGCTTCAGAGAAGATAATACATGGTAAAGTGTTTTTTTTTATTTTTATTTATTTATTTTAAGATGGGGTCTCATTCTGTCACCCGGGCTGGAGTGCAGTGGTGCGATCTCAACTCACTGCAACCTCCGCCTCCCGGGTTCAAGCGATTCTCCCGCCTCGACCTCCCTAGTAGCTGGCATGGCAGTACAGGCGCACACCACCATGCCTGGCTAATTTCTGTATTTTTAGTAGAGGCAGGGTTTCACCATGTTGGCCAGGCTGGTATCAAACTCCTGGCTTCAGGTGATCTACTCACCTTGGCCTCCCAAAGTGCTGGGATTACAGGTGTGAGCCACCACGCCCAGCCTAAAGTGCTTTTTTAATTCCAAGCTTAAGAAAATCTTGGTTACCAGTTGATCTTTTGGTTTTAAGCTAATTTTTTTTAATTTTAAGAAATTTGAACATTAGTATAACTATGCATGGTAGGTTGAACATACATATTTAGGTCCACTTGTTCCTAAATCCCCACTGCAATGACAGGAAGTGGATTCTTTTGTTTGTTTTTTTGTTTGTTTGTTTGTTTTTAAATAGCATAAGCCGGTGAGGATGAAGAGAAAGAGGATTGAACAGCAAGTTTTGGGTGCTGGAAAGTAGGTAGACTGTAATTGAATTAACAGACCCAAGAAGTCTGGATCCTAGATCAGCAGTAGAGAAATCTGAGAAAAACCCAATTTTCATTGCTGAACAAGTCCTGCAAGGCTGAGAAATTGGCACGAGGAGGCCTGGCACCGTGGCTCACACCTGTAATCCCAGCACTTTGGGAGGCTGTGGTGGGCAGATCACTTGAGGTCAGGAGTTAGAGCCCAGCCTGGCCAACATGGTGAAACACCATCTCTACTAAAAATATAAAAATTAGCCAGGCTGAGGCGGGAGAATCACTTGAGCCCAGGAGGCAGAGGTTGCAGTCAGCCGAGATCACACCACTGTACTCCAGCCTGGGTGACAGAATGAGACTCCATTTCAAAAAAAAAAAAAAAGATTAGAGAGAAGTTAATAAAGAAAACTTTTCTGTTGGTTTTGTTACAGCATACGTCAAAATTTTATTACAGTCTTGACCGGGCGTGGTGGCTCACACCTGTAACCCTGGCACTTTGGGAGGCCAAGATGGGAGGATTGCTTGAGGCCAGGAGTTCAAGACCATCCTGGTCAACACAGTGAAAGCCCATATCTTAAAAAAAAAAAATCACAGTCTTGCTGCAAGTGTAAACCCACTGGGAATTCAAAGATTTATACTTGGTAGGGACATTTTCTAAAAATTTATTTTTTATTACAGTCTGCCTATGTAGATTAAACTGCACGCTCTTAAGTATACAGGTTGATGAATTTTTACATTTGTACACATCTGTGTCTTAACAACCCAATTCAAGATATTAGAACATTTGCAGGCCTACAGAAGCCCCCCTGGACCCCTTCCCAGGCAATACACCCTCTCTCCACCCCGAAAAATGTTGGCCACTCTTCTGACCTCTATCTTGATAGAGACATTTTCTAGGAGAAGAAAATGATTAGATAATCACTGTTAGACAAAATAGAAAAGAAAAGAATGTTCCGTTAAAGGTCACTGCACTCTTGACTGACAAATGACCATCAACTGAGTGAGTAGAAAGCTAGTTTCCCAGTGTAAATCTCAATGCTCTTAAATTTCAAAAGAAAAATGCTCAATGCTCGAGCATTTATCAGAAATGCTAGTTTCTTTCCAGAAGGAGGTTCTTACAGAAAGATATGGTCTCAGGCCAGGTTTGAGAGCATTTTCCTTTTATGGGAGCAAGGGAGGAAAGAATGGAGGGGATCCAGGACTGAGACCCCACACCCATTTCCACTATCCACAGCCTAGTGTTTATGATATAGGGACAGGCACACAAAGAATAGTCGGAGTTTCAGCCCATCCCTCCCTTGTCAGGCATCCCGCTGCTGAGACCTTGTAGGTCCAGGGGTTCTGATGCAACATTCTGCATCTCTTGCTCATTGATTTCATGTCTGATTGTCATGAGAAAACTGTGTAAGGGGCTGCTGGACTGTAAGAAACTCTCAAAAGGGTGCTGTGCCTTCCAGGATCAGCTGTTTCCCTGCAGGCTTCCTCTTAATTAAGCATCCTGCTCAGTATGTGTTTGTAGAAAGAGACAAGTTGCTCCAGAATGTTCTAGCAGAAATATCTCAGCCTTAGGAGTTCAAGACCGGTCCTGGCAACATAGCGAGACCCCTGTCTCTGTGAAAAAAAAAAAAATTTTAAGTAGCCAGGCATGGTGTCATGCTCCTGCAGTCCCAGCAACTAAGGAGACTAAGATGGGAGGATCATTTTAGCACAGAAGGTCAAGGCTGCAGTGAGCAATGATTGTGCCACTGCACTCCAGCCTGGGAAACAGAGCAAGAACTTGTCTCAAAAAAAAAAAAAAAAATTCTACACACACACACACACACACACACACACAAAGACACACACACAGCTTCATTTGAGCCTTTGCCTTGCAAGGGGGAGGGGGTTATTGTTTACAGTTGACAACTACCAAGTAGCACTGGGCTTTAGCAGAGAAAGGGAATTTATTACAGTGATAAAGGGATGCCTCCAAGAGTGGACAACCCACTGGGCCTTGGAAAGGGTCTGGAGCTGGAAGCCAGAAAACCATCAGGATTTCCCTGACTCTGCTCTTCTCACTCTCTCATTCCCTCTTTTTCTATACACTGGCTTTTGTCTACCTCTCCAACTCACCTCACAGAATATAGCCATGCGAAATCCCCCTTTCTTCCTAGTTTTAGCCAGCCTCAGAGACTAATTCCAACGCAACACGGTCAAATTAACAAATCGGGCCGGGTGCGGGGGCTCACGCCTGTAATCCTAACACTTTGGGAAGCTGAGGTGGGCAGATCACTTGAGGTCAGGAGTTCGAAACCAGCCTAGCCAACATGGTGAAGCCCCATCTCTAATAAAAACACAAAAAAATTAGCCCGGCATGGTGGCGTGCATCTGTAATCCCAACTACCTGGGAGGCTGAGGCAGGATAATTGTTTGAACTTGGGAGGCAGAGGTTGCAGTGAGCCGAGATCACGCCAGTGCACTCCAGCCTAGGCAATGGATCGAGACTCTGTCTCAAAACAAACAAACAAACAAAAAAAAAACAAAATCAGTAACTCACGGAGTCTCAGTTCACATTCTCAAGAGAGAATTTGATTGGTCCAACCTGAATCCTACGTCCACTGAAGAACGGTAGAACCCACTAGCCATGGCTGTGGGGGTGGGGCGTGCAGCACAAAGGTGGCTGCCAGGGACCCACTCTCTGGCTGGTCAGGCAGTTCCTAGAAAAATCAGACTGGGCAAAGATGCCAGCAATTATCCTTGACTGTGAGGATATTTCCTTTTGGAAAATCCAGTACCCAACTCACAAACAAAGTCCTTCCTGGTACTAAAATACCATGACAAACACTCCTATTGACTTAAAGGGGTTATTCCTCATTCAGCTTTGAACTCCCCACAATGCCTACCCTTTGTCTTCAATCCATGGCTGCTTCTGTATTTTTTTTTAATGTCTTGAAGAGCAACAAACTTTTCTAGCACAAGAAAATCTTTGCATATCATTACATATGTTAAAGGTAGATGGATGGCCAGGTGTGGTGGCTCACTCCTGTAATTCTAGCACTTTGGGAGGCTGAGGTGGGAGGATAGCTTGAGATCAGCCTAAGCAGCAAAGCAAGACCCCGTCTCTACAAAAATACAAAAGTTAGCCCAGTGTGGTGGCGCGTGGCTCTAGTCCCAGCTACTTGGGAGGCTGAGATGGGAGGATCATTTGAGCCCAGGATGTCAAGGCTGCAGTGAGCTGTGATCATACCACTGTACTCCAGCCTGGGCAACAAAGCAAGACCCCGTCTCTCTAAAAAAAAAAAAAAAAAAGGTGGTGGATGGAGGGGGAGAAAAGCCAGGCTAAGGAGGGATTGAAGAGGAAAGACATAAAATGCCCAAATGTTAGGGGTGTGTACCAACTGGATATTAGCCAGAAACTTGAATCATGGCCCTGAAAAGTCTAATACCAGTCAATGCAAAATGAGAATTCTACTTATAAAAGTGTGATTTATATAGTTTTTGATGTGTCTAAAGCATCACCAGCGTTCGTAGAGTTCCTGCCTAATTCCCCCATTCAGTCACCTTAAGCATTGACTCCACTCCCTGTGTTGAACAGAACTAATGGAGAAAGTAATCCACGTAAATGACAGAGGGAAAGAGAAACGATAGAGAATGATAGAGGACAAAACCTTAGATATGAGGGATATTTGAGATTTCTTACGCCAATAAATGTGAAAAATCAAGTAATGGGGCTTTGTTTTCCCAGAAAACGACAACTTGCCAAAGTTGACTCAGGAAGAAATAGAAAAAAAAAAAAAGTCATCAAAAGTCATATAATTTGGCAAAATGGAAAAATATATGCATATCTATATCTATATAGAGAGGGTCTCACTCTCTCACCCAGGCTGGAGTGCAGCACCTGAATCTCGGCTCACTGCAGACTTGACCTCCCTGGCTCAAAGGATCTTCCCACCTCGGCCTCCCAAGTAGCTGAGACTACAGGCACATGCCACCATGCCCGGCTAATTTCTTTTCTTTTGTTTTTTGGTAGAGACAAGGTTTCTCGATGTTGCTTAGGCTGGTCTTGAACTCCTGGCGTCAAGCAATCCTGCCACCTCAGTCTCCCAAAGTGCTAGGATTATAGGAGTGAGCCACTGAGACCAGCCTATTATTAATATTATTATTATATAATACTAGGGAAAGTATAAATATAGACCAGCAATTTCATTTCTAGTGTATACCCTAGAGAAATGTCCATACGTAAGACAAGGAGCCATGTGCAAGGATACTTCCTGCCATATTGTGTGTAATGACAAAAATTTAGTAACAACTTAAAAGTTGTACATGGCATGGAATGAATGAATTAGATCTATAGGCATCATAACAGACCTCAAAAACATAATGTTGGGCCTGGCACAGTCTCTCATGCCTGTAATCTTGGCTACTTGGGAAGCTGAGGTGGGAGGATGGCTTGAGCCCGGGAGGTCTAGGCTACAGTAAGCTATGATTGCACCACTGTACTCTAGCCTGGGTGACAGAGCAACACTCTCTTAAAATAATAATAATAATAATACTGTTGAAATGAGAAAAGCAAGTTTTAGGATATCAGTACAATGTGCTAACATTTATATAAGTGAAAAACATACAGATAACCATTTTAGATATTATTCATAAATTTTATAGTAAAAATGTAAGAAATTATTGGAAAGATACACATCAAATTCATGACAGTTATAGACAGGGGAGAATGGGAGGGGGACTTATTTCTATTTGCAATGGTCTAATAATTTCTATTTGTAATAGTGTGATCTATTTTTTATTTATTTATTTATTTATTTATTTATTTATTTATTTATTTATTTGAGACCGAGTTTCTCACTGTCGCCCAGGCTAGAGTGCAGTGGTGGGATCTCGGCTCGCTGCAACCTCCGCCTCCCGGGTTCAAGCAACTCTCCCGCCTCAGCCTCCCGAGTAGCTGGGATTACAGGCATGTGCCACCACGCCAGGCTAATTTTTGTATTTTTAGTAGAGACGCTTGAACCCAGGAGGCAGAGATTGCAGTGAGCGGAGATCGCACCACTGCACTCCAGCCTAGACAGCAAGAGCGAGACTCCACATCAAAAAAAAAAAAAAAAAAAAAAAAAAAAAAGAAAAGAAAAAAGAAAAGGAAAAAAATGCCACAATACTAAGTCATTAATTTAATGCCAGGTGGTGGCACTATGGATGATAATTTTTTTCTTTGTAATTTTTGTGCATTTTTGTTTTTAATATCTTTGCATATCCACACGGATAGGTATTTTAAAATACAGTCTGGTGAAAAATAACAGCCAATTGCAGATCTATATGAATAATGTGACAATATTTGTGTTCAAATCCATACACAATAAAAACAAAGCTATCTTCTATGGCTATATCTATATATATCCATATAGATATAAACATATAAATTCACAGCAAAAGATCTAGAAAGATATATAGTGTTTTAGTCCATTTTCTGTTGCTTATAACAGAATACCTGAAACTGGGTAATTTGTAAAGAAAAGGAAGTTATTTCTTACAGTTATGGAGTCTGAGAAGTCCAAGGTCAAGAGTGTGCATCTGGTGAGGGCCTTCTTGCTGGTGGGGGACACCTGCAGAGTTCCCAGGCAGTACAAGCCATCATATGGAGGGGGTGCTGAGCTGCTCCCTTGCTAGCTAAGGTCTCTCTCCCTCTTCTTATAAAGCCATCAGTCCCCCTCCCAAGATAACCCATTAATCCATTAACCCATTAATCCATGAATCCATGAAGAGATTAATCCATTCATAAGGGCTCCACCCTCATGATCTAATCACCTCTTAAAGGGCCCACCACACAATACTGCCACATTGGGGATTAAATTTCCAACACATGAAATTTGGGGGACACATTCAAACCATAGTTCATATTAAACAGATAATAATGGTTAGTTACCTCGGCGGAGGGGCCTAGGATGCGAGTCAAGGTCAAAGAGCATTTGTACCTTATCTGCAAAGTTTAAATATTTTGCAATAATTCGCGTGTTATTTGTGTAAGTAAAAATTTAAACATAATTTTTCAGAGACAACTGCCCAGACCAGCTCCAGGGTTTGGCCGTCAGATCCCCTGGTGCATGTTTCTGATCAGATCAATTTCTTCTCCCGGAGACACCCAATCCGGGTCGTATGGATTACCTGTGGGTTAACCAGGGGTCTCCGGGTTAACCATCCAACTCAGAGTAAAGTTTCTAAAAATGCGTTTTGCTCTAATACCTATTCGGAACCAACCTGGGTCTAAAGACTGGAGCAAGTGTTTATTTTCCAAAACACGGCTTTTTAAAATAATTCTATAGGGATCACCTTGAACACACGTTAAGCAAAAAAAAAACCTCAGCGAAAACGCCTCGCAATGTCCAGATTAAATGCAAAAGCAAAAGCATTAAGTAGCTTTCTGGCATAAACATATTGCAGCTGGGTAGCGTGGCCGAGCGGTCTAAGGCGCTGGATTAAGGCTCCAGTCTCTTCGGGGGCGTGGGTTCGAATCCCACCGCTGCCAGGGTTGCTGTCTTTTTGTCCCCGCTGCATACACTCCTGGCTCAGTTTTGCGCGTGCCATCAGCGCCCCCTGCTGCAGGGCGGGGCTCACGGCCTGCATGAATGGCGCGGCGGAGGGGGCGGAGCCGCGTGCACCGGGGCGGGGCATTGTGGGTAAGAGGAAACGCTGGGGCCGGCCCGCTCCCCCCCACGTGTCCGCCGGAGTTTCTCCACCAGCAACATGGCCGCCGCCTGAGAGGAGAGCCGGGCCGCCGCCGTCTCTGCAGCCCGCGGGTAACTGGGCCGTTGCCGCCGTCCGCGCTCGGCCCCCGCGGAGAGGTGAGTCCCGTCTTGGCAGTGCCCGAGCTGGGGCTTGAGCCGGACCGCACTCACGACGTGGGCCTGGGCTAGATTCCCGAGTAGGCCAAGGAGGCCCGCGCCGCGCTGTGCCTAGCAGCTGGAGGCCTCTCGGGACTCGGGCGGGGAGGAGGGGCAGCCGGCTCCAGGCCGACCCCGGACTCTGACTTCCTTGACCTGACACCTGGGAGTTGGGGAGGCCGCGGCCGACGCTGGCGGCGGTGACTCAGGGTCCAGCCGACCTGCCCTATCCGGGCCTGGGAGGCCTCCTACGGAAGAAACACCTGTCCGCGCGTCGGGTGTAGTGGCGGCTCGCGGCAGGGACTGCGTGGTGGGCGTGAGAAGGGGGGCCTGACCACCCGCGAGGGAGCAGAAACCCATTGGACAGCGAGGCTCGGGATCGGCGGCCCGCCCCGATGGGCAGGGAGGGCACCTGCGCCTGCCGGAGCCCCCACTTCGCAGCTGAACCGGATTAGCCTCTGCCCGGCGAGGCCAGGGATTCCTCATTCATTTATTCAGGCAACCATTCAGTGTTTACCGAGCCAACTCTGTGTTCCGGATACAGCCCTGACCATTCGGTCCGAGGAGGTGTCAGTAAACAAACAAGGTCGTTCCTTTGGGTTAGCTTTAGAATTCCTTGGGCTTGGAGGCGGAAAGAAGAGATCTTAGCGATCTCCACAGTTTCCTCATCTGTGAAATAGAGATAATAGAAATTCCTACCTCATAGGGTTGTGGTGACGGCTCAGTAGAAACCGGGTGACGCTCCTGCTTGCAGCGTTTGACTTGTGGCTTAGCGTCATTACCCGCTTACGTTGGCAGAAAACATGTTGTCAAGTAATAACAAACCTTCCCAGAGGTTACGTTTATTAGCGTCCTGTCCTTACTCCTTCCCCGCAGGGGTCTGGAGGTCGGTACTTAGTTTCCCTACTTTAGGGATGAAAATAGGGAGGAATACCAAACCCAGACAACTCAGGTGGGTCACAGATGCCAAGCAGCTGTGGTGGGATTTGAACCTGCACAGTTTTGTTCTCGGGTCCAAGCTCTTACCCACTTAACCATACTGCCGTTTATCAGAAAACCGTGCAGTATAGTGGTTAAGAATAAGAATAAGGATCTTTGACATAGCGAGACCCAAGTTTCTGTCCTCATTCCACCTTGGATGAGTTGCTTATATCTGAACCTCAGTCTCGTCATTTCCAAATTGAAGATGATAAATCTCTATTGATAGGGCTAATGAGAAGATTAAATATAAAGTATTCTTTGTACTATATTGAGTGTCAACTTCGTGCCAGGCACTGTTCTAGGTATTGAGAGAACCAGCACTGGATTTTTTTTTTAAAGTAATGCTCCCCATAACAGCTTTGATGAAGTAAAGTATGATTGTCTGCATTTCATAGTTGAGGAAACTGAAGCACTGAGAAGCCTTCATGGAGCTTACGTTCTATTGCAGAAGACAAACAACACCTGAGCAAATAGACCAGGTAGTTCCAGATTAAGATGAGACCCACCAAGGAAAGAAAACAGAGATGTGGTAGGGCCTGGGAGGAGGCTGGGGGAGGCTTTTAAAATAGGGTGGTCAGGGAACCTATCCTCTCCTGCAGGCGGTGATGATATTTAATAAAAAGGAGCAACCTTGGAAATCCCTGTGGGAGAATAGATGATGTGCAAAGGACCTGGGGTGGACTGGGGCTTGCCTTGTTGGAGGCCCAGCAAGTGGCTACCAGCCTGGATGGTGAGGGGAAGACAGAGACAAGATTATGTAGGGCCTTAGGTGGCTCATGGAAAGGAGTTTGGGTTTTATTTTATGTGACAGTGGCAGTTGACAGGTCTTAGGCAGGGAAATAATATGATTTACTTTTTTTTTTTTTTTTTTTTTGAGATGGAGTCTTGTTCCGTTGCCCAGACTAGAGTGCAGTGGCAAGATCTCGGCTCACTGCAACCTCTGCCTTCTGGGTTCAAGTGATTCTTCTGCCTCAGCCTCCCGAGTAGCTGGGATTACAGGCGTGCATCACCACGCCTGGCTAATTTTTGTATTTTAAGTAGAGACGGGGTTTCACCTTATTGGCCAGGCTTTTCTGGAACTCCTGACCTCAGGTGATCCGCCTGCCTCGGCCTCCCAAAGTGCTGGGATTACAGGTGTGAGCCACCGTGCCTGGCTTTGTTTTCCCCCCAGTAGAGATCGAGTCTCACACTGTGACCCAGGATGGAGCGCAGTGGTGTGATCATAGCTCACTGCAGCCTCAAACTCCTGGGTTCAACCAATCCTGCTGCCTCAGCTTCCCAAGTAGTTGGGACTGCAGGCCATGCCAGGCTAAAATTTTTTTTTAAAGAGAGACCGGGGGGCGGGGGGCGCCTCACTATGTTGCTCAGGCTGGTCTCGAACTCCTGGTCTCAAGCAGTCCTTCCACCTAAGCCTCCCAAAGTGTTGGGATTACCGGCATGAGCCACCATGCCAGCCTGATTTACTTCTTTCCAAAGACTCACTGTTGCTGGGAGACTTGGAGGTAGGTATAAGGAGCCGTAGGGAGACTTGGATGAGTGCTTTTCACATTGCAGGTTAAAATTTATTAGTGGGAAGTAAAATCAATTTAAGGGAATTGAAGCTAGCATTTTTTGTTTTGAATGAAGTAGAAAACATCACGGCCTGACATATAGTAGGGACAGTTATAGTTACGTGAAACCTTGTTTCAGTTATGCAACTGTATGTATGTTCTGGGTTATTTATATGAGATGGATTTCTTACTGTGGTGGATCTTAGGCTGAAAACTTTGAAAGCCACTGAGTTGGATCACCTCGGCCTGGAGGATGAAGGGAGGTGACACTCTTTGTATCAACCCAGATGTACTATCCAGAGGAAGGAGCTCCAGCTCTCTAGCTGACAGGGCACCTCAGCCTCCCTGATCCCTGGCAGGGCAGAGGCCAACAGGGCATAGCAATAGCCAAGAAAGAACAATTGCGTCTTGGGAACCTCCCAGGCCCCAGCCTCTCAGTTGTCCACTGCCCAGCTGCAGAGAAGGCAGGAGCTTGACATATCTGTGGCACTTGGCAGCCGGTGCAGATGGGGTGAGGCCTTGGGCTCTCCGCTCTACACTGCCCTCTGTCTGCACAGCAGACAGTCGAGATGCACTGAAACTGTCCAGATGCGACTCCTGATTTTCATTCCATCCTCCATCTCTGGGACTGTTACGATAGCTGTTTCCCTGAAGTTTCTCTTTCTACCCGCTCCATGTCTTCCTCTGCCCGAAATCCTTCTGTAGCTTCCTATTAAATAGCATTCCCATGGTTCATTTATTTAGACAACAAACATGTATTGAGTGCCTGCTGTGTACTAGGCACTTGGGGTACCACAAGGGACAAAATAGACCAAAATCTCTGCCTTCACATAGCTTACAGCTTAGTGGCAATAGAGATGGGCACAGATGCAGAGCTGTAAACTGTCACATGGTGATAGACACCTGCTATGGAGAAAACCAGAGCAGAGAAGGGAATTGAGGGGTGGGGGAGGCAGTTTGCAATGTGATTTGGAGAGGGAAGGTCTTAGCCACAAGGTGACATTTGAGCAAAAACCGGAAAGAGGTGAAGGGGGGACCATGAGGTTATCGGGGGGGTAGAGCAGCTACAAAGCCCCAGAAGTGGGTTTGGAGCAGAGAGGAGGGTAGGAGGCTTGTGGGAGATGAGGTCTGGCAGGTCAAGGGGCAGGAGATTGTTTAGGGTTTACATGGGATGATAAAGACTTTGGCTTTTGTCTAGGTGTGGTGGCTCATGCCTGTAATCCCAGCACTTTGGGAGGCCAACACAGGTGAATCACTTGAGGCCAGGAGTTCGAGACCAGCCTGGCCAATATGGCAAAGCCCCGTCTCTACTGAAAATACAAAAATTAGCTGAGCGGATGGTGCATGCCAATTATTGCAGCTACTTGGGAGGCTGAGGCAGGAGAATCACTTGAACCTAAGAAGCAGAGGTTGCAGTGAGTCAAAATCACGGCAGAGCACTTCAACCTGGGTGACAGAGCAAGACATGTCTTAAAAATAAATAAATATTAGATAGTTCAAATGTTAAGTAGATCAGACAAAAATCATGCTGGTCTCAGCCGGGCGCAGTGGCTCACGCCTGTAATCCCAGCACTTTGGGAAACCAAGGCGGGCAGATCACCTGAGGTCAGGAATTCAAGACTAACCTGGCCAACATGGCAAGTCCCTGTCTCTACTAAAAATAGAAAAATTAGCCGGGCCTGGTGGTGCATGCCTGTAATCCCAGCTACTTGGGAGGCTAAGGCAAGAATCGCTTGAACCCGGGAGGCAGAGGTTGCAGTGAGCCGATCGTACCACCGCACTCCAGCCTGGGTGACAGAGCAAGACTCCGTCTCAAGAAAAAAAAAAAAAAAAATTCATGCTAGTCTCACCCAAGAGCAGAGGTTTGGGAACTGCTGAGGCCTGGGGGTGCCTGAGTACCATCCTACCTATGACCACCCCTCTTCTCTTTGGGTATGTGAAGGGGCAGACCAGCTGAAATACTCAACCTGCCCCGTGGAGACCTACAGCCTTCCCTCTTCCTGGAATTTCTCCTCCCCTCTGTTGTCATGACTTGCCCAAAGCTCTCTCTTCTTCCAGGCGCACCTAACGTGCCTCCTCCCCAGCAGAAAGGCCTTTCCCGCCTCTCAACTCCCCTACCTGTACCTGTCACCTGAGGTCAGACAGCCTGGATTTGAAGTCCAGTTCATCATCCTGCTTGCTATGTGACTTTGGGTCAAAATGCACACAGTATCTCTGAGTTCCAGTCTGTTCATTATAAAACAGTGACAATCACCACACCTCATAGGGTCATTGTGTTGAATACAGGACAGAAGAGTGTGTGAAGAGGTCATTTTTAGACCAAAAACACAGAAGAGTCATCTCACTCAGGATTCGAGTTAAAGTCAGCTTGAAAATCAAATATCAGAGAGCTTTGGACTGTCTGTCTTCCTGTTCAACTTCTGGCTCCTCTTTAAAGCGTCCCCAGGGCCCTCAGTTCTCCAGTGTTTTAATCATGGCTGGGACCAGCCAACCTCTATCCTTCTGTCTGGCAGTGAATTCTCTGTGAGCAGAGAAGAAACCATTAAAGCCAGTCATTTGCCTTTCCCCGCAGGTGCAGCCCACACTTGTTGGCTTGGTCTACCCGCTTGCACCCGCTGCTTGAGTGTTTCTTTTTTTCTTTATTTCTTCTGGCTGATGGGGTATAGGGTTGGTCATCCATTGTTGACTTCAATGTAGATGTAGAAAGAAGGTCAGTTGGTTGGTTGTGGGCTCCCCCTCCCAGTGCAGGGCCTGTTGCAGAATAGGCACAAGGAAATGTTGGTTGAACGACTGATGGTCCCAGTCTCTCGCCCTCCTTTGCAGATCGAGCTGAAGGACTGCGCGGCTGGCTCTCCTCTAGTATGGCCAATGAAGAGGATGACCCAGTTGTACAGGAGGTAACTGCTGCTCTCTGTCCCCTGCCGCCGGGGCTACAGGCAGTGGAATTGGGTCCTTTCCATGTGTCCTCAGGCCAGTCTGGGACCTGTTGATGTTCTGGGACCCCTAACCCTTGCTGTTCCCTCTGCCTGGTCCCCTCTGCTGTCCCCCAGACCCCTGCGTGGCTGACCTCTCCCTTCCTTCAGGTCTCTGATCTGGCATCACCTCATCAGGGAGGCCTTCCCTGACTGCCCTTCCACACCCAGCTCCCCTCCTGCACCCTCCCGTGCCTCTCTCTGCCCTTACCTTGGCGGTAACTCATACTTGGCCTAGCCCCCGTCATCCCCTAGATATCAGTTGATTGCTTTCTTTCCCGTCCACTGCTGTGCCGCAAAGCCGAGTATAGTGCCTGGCACCCAGGTACCCGGCGACTATTTGGTGAATGAATGAATGAATAAATGGGCTCAGCAGTCCCTCCTTCCCAGGCTTACGCAGATGTAGTCATTCAGCAGCTGTTCACTGGACCACTGTGTGCTGGGGGCTGTGACACATCAGTGAGCAGGGCAGGGTCCCCTTCCCTGGGAAGCTAATGGGCTGTGGGCAAGACTGATGAGGCAGGAGTCTCCGGGTACAGGCAGTGGGAGGCAGATTTCCCTTTTTTTTTTTTTTTTTTGGAGACAGAGTCTTGCTCTGTTGCCCAGGCTGGAGTTCAGTGGTGCCATCTCGGCTCACTGCAACCTTCACCTCCCAGGTTCAAGCGATTCTCCTGCCTCAGCCTCCTGAGTAGCTGGGATCACAGGTGCCCATCACCACGCCCGACTAATTTTTTTTTTTTTTTTTTTTTTGAGGCGGAGTCTCACTCTGTCTCCCAGGCTGGAGTGCAGTAGTGTTATCTTGGCTCACCGCAGTCTCTGCCTCTGGGTTCAAACGATTCTTGTGCCTCAGCCTCCTGAGTAGCTGGGATTACGGGCGCCCGCCACTACACCTGGCTAATTTTTGTATTTTTAGTAGAGATGGGATTTCACCATGATAGCCAGGCTGGTCTCGATCTCCTGACCTCAAGTGATCACCCACCTTGGGCCTCCCAAAGTGCAGAGATTACAGGCATGAGCCACCATGGCCGGCACAGGTTTCCCTTCTTAGAGAAAGCTGTTGATAGTCAAACTCACCTTTCAGAATCCTTTTAACCCAGGACTTAGACCTTTGGAAGGCAAAAGGCAAAAAGTAACTGCATCTGCCTTCAGCCTCCTTATATGCGGAGCCTGACCTCCAGTGGGAAGGGCAGGGGCAAGGAGAAGGTCCTCGGAGATGAATAGAGGTGGTTTTTCCTTGCTTGGGGGATGTTGCTAAGTTATTAGATGTGAGTTATTTAGATGCATTTAAGCTGCATCTACACTGCAGTAGCAGGAGTTACAACAGGGGGGTTGGTGATGGGATAGAAGAGTCCAAGGGACTCCGAGGACAGAGGCAGTGCCCTCTGCAGCCAGGGGGCCTGGAATGCTTCCTGCCCAAGTTGTGCCTCAGCCAAGTCCTTGGAGGAGCGAGCAGTCAAGGCTCAGGGGAGGCATGTGTGAAGGGCTCTGTAGGTATAGGGAAAAGCATGTGCAAAGGCCCAGGGGTAGGAGAGCATGTGGTTTATAGGAGGAGTTAGGAAGCAGGAAGGTAAACTGCTGCGTGGCGGGGTGGGGGTGGTTAGTGTTGGGAAGAAAGGAAGTGGAGCCATCAGTCACAAAGGGCCTTGCAGACCCCTTAAGAAGGGGTGACAGGCTGGTCCAGGAGGGGCAGGTGGAGGGCCCAGCCAGGAGGCACAGGCCTAGGTGAGCCCTCGCCTGCCTGCCTCTCAGAAGAGCATTTGCCCAGGCTGTAGGACGTTTCCCGATCAGTGCAGCCCCAGGGAAGATGTGTGCTTACTGGGGGATTGTGAACTTGGGTGGGGGTACCAGGTGAACTCTTGCCCTGGTTCCCCTGGGAGCTTTCAGGAGGGATTCCTGAATATACCCAGTGTGCAGCCTTGGATCCGCTTGCTTTTAGCATGAGCTGAGCTATTTCCTCCTTCCCCAAACTGCTTCCCTGAGCCACTGCCCTTAACTGAAGCTGGAAGCGCTGGCATAGCCCGGGGAGGTCAGCACTGTGTCCAGTCTCCCGGTTAAGTCGTCTTCCCTTCTTCCCAGATCGATGTGTACTTGGCCAAGAGTCTGGCGGAAAAGCTGTATCTATTTCAGGTAATTATGGGACTTGAAGGTAAAGAGGGGAGAAGCAGGTGTGGGTGGGTGGTGTGGACTCAGGAACACGGGCAGGAAACGATGGGAAACCTCAGCTAGGGTTCTCGGTGTGGAGAGTGTCATGGGGTCTCTTTGCTTTCGTGGGTGGGTTAATATTGGTCTCATTTCAAAGATGGGAAAACTGAAGGAACACAGGAGAGGCAGAAGTGTGCAGCAGTTAAAGCTGGGGCTCTGGGGTCAGACCGGATTGAGATCCAACTCCATCACACCATAGCTGCGAGACCGTGGGCAAGTTTCTTAATCCTTCTGTGCCTCACTTTCCTCACTTGCAAAGTGGTGATGGTGATAATGCCTGCCTCATAGGTCCCCAGGAGGACAGGCTGAGTCCACAGTGAAGTGTTTAGGATGCCGCCTGGCAGAGAGTTGGTGCCAGTGATGATGGCCGCTGTTGTCATGGAGGCTCCAAGGGGCAGCTCCATGGCAGCGTCTGTGAGCCCTCAGTCCTGCCAGCTGCGAGGGCCCCGGGTTGCTACCTCTGCCCCCTCCCCTTGCTGCTGGGCCAGCAGCTTGTCATTGTGGCCAACATGTATTGAGCATTGACCGTATGCAGACTGTTGAAAGCATTTACCTCAGTTACCTCTTTAACCCCACAATAACCCTATGGTGGTGATTATTACATTTTATAACCGATATATTGAGATAGAATTTACACACCACACAGTTTCCCCATTTCAGTGTGTAATGCAATGGATTTTAGTCTACTCATGGGGCTGTGCAACCAGCGCCACAGTCTGTTTTGGGACAGTTTTGTCCCCCTTTAAAGGAACCCCTTGCCTATTAGCGATCAGTCTGTGCCCCCCATTCCCACCTCCAACCCCAGGCAACCATTCCCCTTATTTTCTGTTTATGGTTTTGCCTATTCCGGACTTTTCACATAGCTGGAATCATGCAGTATGTGGCCTGCTGTGATTGGCTGCTCTCACTTTGCATGATGTTTTCAGGGCTCATCCACATGGTAGCTATAGCCTGCATCAATATTTGAGCTTTTCTTTTTTTTGTTTGTTTGTTTTGAGACACAGTCTTGCTCTGTTGCCCAGGCTGGAGTGCAGTGGCTTGATTGCGGCTCACCACAACCTCTGCCTCCCAGGCTCAAGTGATTCTGCCTCAGCATCCTGAGTAGTTGGGACTACAGGCACGCGCCACAAGCCCGGCTAATTTTTGTATTTTTAGTAGAGATGGGGTTTCACTATGTTGGCCAGCCTGGTCTCGAACTCCTGACCTTGTGATCTGCCTGCCTCGGCCTCCCATAGTGCTGGGATTACAGGTGTGAGCCACCGCTCCCAGCCAATATTTGATCTTTTACTGATGAATAATGTTCCATTGTATGGGAGACCACAGTTTGTTTATCCATTCATCAGCTGATGGGTATTTGGGTTATTTCTACTTTTTGGCTATTATAAATAATGCCACTGTGGACATTCACATAGAAGTTTTTATGATGAACGTGAATTCTCATTTCTTCTAGGTATATGCCTGGTAGCAGAATTGCTGGGTCTGCGTTTAGCTTTTTGAGGCACTGCTGGGCTGCTCTGCCCCATGTTGCCTTCCCACAGTTAGAGTCAGTGTTCATATCCCATGATGCACATGAGAACGTGAGGCACAGGGAGGCCTTCACGGGCACGGAGGCCTGGGGCATGCCACAGCAGCAATGTTGTAAGCCTGTGCTGGGAGGGCCTGGCCTCCACTCCCTGGGGTTCACCCTTATGGGCCGTGGGAATGGGGCCTGTCCTGTGTGCCTGCTCACCCTGTTTCCTTGACTGGCTGCAAAGTGATGGTGGAGGTGCCAGTGACCCCCGTGTGTCCAGAGTTCCAAACCCTGAGCCACCATCGGCTCTGTTTGCCTCCTCCGTGCTCACAGCGGCCTTGGGAGGTGAGGATGCTTAGCCTCAGGGAGGCGAGGTGCCTGCCTGAGTCCACAGTTAGCAAGGGGAAGGATGAGGACTGGAAGCCAGGCCTGTGATTTCAGAACCTGCGCCCTTCAGCCTTCCCACCCCCAGTCAGGTGATCTCAGAACTGCCCCCAGCCCCAGCCCAGGAAGCAGGGAGGAGTCACGGCTTTGCTGTGTGAGTGAGCTTTTAGGAAATGACCGTCTCCTTGCGCTAGAATGTAGCTGATCTGAAAGGGCCTATTTTCCGCACTGCCATACCTCCACCAGGCTCATTCTACAGGCTGTCATGAGACCAGGCAGAGCTTTTGAGGAGGGGTCCAGACTTTGACTCCTTCACCTGAGAGAGAGAGGGACAGTGTACTGTGAGGACAGATGTGGACAGGAGCCCCTGCGTGTTGAGCGCATTGCTGTGTGAGCCATTCACATAAAGATAAGAGCGGGCCATGGCTGCCTGGCTCCCTTTTCCAGCATCTTGTGAGGAAGCTCACACAACCAGATAAGGAGAGCGAATGGATTCACGAATTCCCACCTGCCCGTCGTCTGGCCTCAGCAGTGAGCAGCACGTGCCGGTGTTGCTTTCACTCTTTGCTTCCTCATGGACTCCTTTTGGTCGTCCTTCTCTCCCCGGATGGCCTGTCCACTGGTAGTTAGGCCCTGGACCCCCATCCTCACCTCCCATGGCCGTGCTCTGTGGGTTCCTGGAGCAGCAGCGTGCCGGTTTGGGTTCCTGTGTGTAGACACGTCCCTCGGAAGTCAGAGACATCCTGCAGTGGCCCTTTGGAAGGAGGCCGTGGGGAGCTGATGAGAATAGGGCTGCGGGTGGAGACTGGCAGGGGTGCCTCATGGTAGGGCTGGGCAGCTTGTACCCTTGTGGTAGGGTAAGGCCAGTCTCTGCTTGGGGTGGGCTTGGAGATAGCTGTTGATTCTTGGCCAGGGCCCAGCTCTGGGCATGGCTGGGCAGAGTGGACTTAATGGCTCCCTTCCCCTCCCCAGTACCCTGTGCGTCCAGCCTCGATGACCTACGATGACATTCCGCACCTCTCAGCCAAGATCAAGCCCAAGCAGCAGAAGGTGGGGCTGCCCCCTGAGGGCAGTTGGGGCCGAAAGAGAGGGTGATGAGGGTGGGAGCTGGTGGAGGCGAGAAGCTCAGAGAAGGAGTCATTGGAGAAGTAGGAGAACCAGCAACTCCCAGGCCCTTGAAAGCTGAAGAAGGAAAGTGTCCAGAAAGACAGGGATGGGCAGCTCCAGAGAGGCCAGGGACGCATGAGGCTGATGAATGAGAGAATGGGGCCAGATGTGAGCTTAGGTTCCCAGGATAAGACGAGGGCGGGCGGGTGAACATGGAGTAGGTTTGATGGGAAGAGAATCTAGCGCCTATCCATGGAGGGTCTGCAGCTCTAGCCCCTCCAGCCACATGGAAGTGCCATCCCAGTATTGCCAGTTCTGCTGGCTTTTCAAGAGAAGTGGGAAATAAGGATTTTTATGAGAAATCTCTTGATTTTTAAATGTTGGCACCTAATTTAGGTCTTTGGGAGTGAAGTAGAGGACAAACAAGATTACAGGACTCTCCACTTCCTTCTGACATTTTTGTTGGAATTTGGGTTTGTGACCCTTGGTGTGGACTGAAGTCCAGGGGCCCTTGGGGACATGTGTCAGTCTCGCTTCCGGGCAGGGTCCTGGTTAGGAGGTGGCCATGGTGGGGTTGGGGTGTCCCTTGAGGAGCCATGCCTTGGGGTCCTCATAGCTGGTGGGGGTGCTTGGTGCCTCCAGGTAGAGCTTGAGATGGCCATCGACACCCTGAACCCCAACTATTGCCGCAGCAAAGGGGAGCAGATTGCGCTGAACGTGGACGGGGCCTGCGCCGACGAGACCAGCACGTATTCCTCGTGAGTTTCCGGCCCCAAGCCTGTCCGGTTTCCCTGCGTTCACACAGGAGCCTCCAAAAGACCTTAAAGACATTGACCCCCTTTGCCCCGTCACTGGGCTCCCCACCAGTGTCCCAGCCTTTGGAGGGCTGGGCCTGTCTCAGACTCTGCCCTCCTGAACTAGCTGGTCCCAGAGCTCCTACCCACTCCTCGTCTCTTGGTCTACAAACAAGGCCATGGGTTTTCTCATCCCCAGGCTGCCCTCCTGAGACCCGCGTAGGCTGCCCTGCGGCCTTGGTCCCTGGCTGTGGCACTTCAGAAAGTGTCTAGGGGGTGGGGTGCGCTGTGGCCACAGGCCCTGGCTCGGAGCTGCCTTCCCCTGTGACGTTGCTTCTCCCTGTGCTCCAGGAAGCTGATGGACAAGCAGACCTTCTGCTCTTCCCAGACCACCAGTAACACATCCCGTTATGCCGCTGCACTCTACAGGCAAGGTACCCGGGGCTGGGTGTCCCGCGGTGGGGACATGGCATTGGGGGGGGCTGGGCAGGGAGAGTACCTCCCCAGCCTGGTGTCCATCTCCCACCTGCCCTGAAAGCTAGACACCTGTGGGGGCCGGGCAGGTGTGGAAATAACAGAAATGACACATTGTCAGGGGACTGGAAGTGGCCACCTTTGTGGACTGCTGGCTGGACACTGCCTGACCAGATGGGGTGGGGCTCCAAGTTCATTTGTCCTCCCGGGACACAGATACATACAAGTAGCTAACATAAGTTTAGGGACAGAATTTTGTCTTTAAATATGAAGCTTATGACAGAGCAATTCCATTCCTAGGCAGCATCTATCCAAAAGAAATGAAAACATGTGTCCACACAAAACCATACACAGTTGTTCACAGTAGCATCTTCATGATAGCCAAAAAGTGGAAACAACCCAGATGCCCATCCGCTGGATTCATGGAGAAACAGAATGTGGTCCATTCACGCAATGGGATGTTATTTGACCATGGAAAAGAATGAAGCAGTGATGCTACCACGCAGATGAGCCTTGAGAACATTGTGCTAAGTGAAAGAAGCCACATGCTTCTTCACTCGCAGCTACGCGCTGTGTGATTACGTCTCAGTCAGCGACCGACCACATACTCAACGGTGGTCCCATAACATTATAATGGAGCTGAAGAATTGGCTTACCTAGTGATGTCTTAATGAGCCTGACCCTGTGTAAGCCTAGGCTAACTCGTATGTTTGTGTCTTAGGTTTTTGCTTGTTCGTTTGTTTTGTTTTGTTTTGAGACAGAGTCTCGCTCTGTTGCCTAGGCTGGAGTGCAGTGGCACAGTCTCGGCTCACTGCAACCTCTGCCTCCTGGGTTCAAGCGATTCTCCTGCCTCAGCCTCCCGAGTAGCTGGGATTACAGACATGCACCACCACACCTGGCTAATTTTTGTATCTTTAGTAGAGATGGGATTCTGCCACGTTGGCCAGGCTGATATCAAACTCCTGACCTCAGGTGACCTGCCCACCTCGGCCTCCCAAAGTGCTGGGATTACAGGTGTGAGCCACCATGCCCGGCCTGTGTCTTAGTTTTTAGTAGAAAGTTTAAAAAGTTTAAAAAAAAAAAAAAAAAGGTAAAAAGCATATAGCCGGGTGTGTTGCCTCCTACCTGTAATCCCAGTGCTTTGGGAGGCCGAGGCAGGCCCAGGAGTTCCAGACCAGCCTGGGCAACATAGTGAAATCCCTTCCCTACAAAAAATACAAACATTAGCTGGGCATGGTGGCACATCCCTTAGTCCCAGCTACTGAGGAAGCTGAGGTGGGAGGATTGCTTGAGCCTGGGAGGCGGAGGTTGCAGTAAGCTGAGATTCCGCCATTGCACTCCAGCCTGGGCAATAGAGCAAGACTCTGTCTTGAAAAAAAGCATATACAATAAAGATATATTTTTCATAAATTTATTTATTGATTTATTTTTTGGAGAGGGAGTCTCACTCTGTTGCCCAAGTTGGAGTGCAGTGGCTCAATCTTGGCTCACTGAAACCTCTGCCTTCCGGTTTCAAGCAGTTCTCCTGTCTCAGACTCCCGAGTAGCTGGGACTACAGGTGCACACACCACCATGCCCAGCTAATTTTTGTATTTTTAGTAGAGACAGGGTTTTTGCCATGTTGGCCAGGCTGGTCTCGAACTCCTGACCTCAGGTGATCCACCAGCCTTGGCCTCCCAGAGTGCTGGGATTATAGGCATGAGCCACTGTGCCCAGCCTTTTTTTTTTTTTTTTTTTTTTAATAAATTTAGTGTAGCCTAAGTGTGCAGTCTGTATGAAGTCTACAGTAGCGTGTAGTAATGTCATAGGCCTTCACATTCACTCACCACTCACTCATCCAGAGCAGCTTGTCCTATAAGCTGGTTTTAGTCTTTTATACTATACTTTTACTGTACCTTTTTTATGTTTAGGGTTTTTTGGGTGTGTTTTTTTGTTGTTGTTTGTTTTGGGGTTTTTTTTTTGGAGACCGGGTCTCACTCTGTCACCCAGGCTGGAGTACAGTGGTGATCATAGCTCACTGCAGCCTCTATCTCCTGAGCTCAAGCAATTGCCTTCCCTCAGTCTCCTGAGTAGCTAGGACTACAGGCCATGCCACCACATCTGGCTAATTTTTTAAAAAATTTTTTGTTGAGGTGGGGTCTTGCTATGTTGCCCAGGCTGGTCTCGAACTCCTGGGCTCAAGCGATCCTCTTGTCTCTGCCTCCCAGAGTTCTGGGATTACAGATATGAGCCACTGCACCCAGCCTAGGTATATTTAGATACACAAATACCATTCTGTTACAACTGCCTACAGTATTCAGGGGAGTAACATGCTGTACAGTGTGTAGCCTGGGAGCAATAGGCCATACCATAGAGCCGAGGCGTGTAGTAGGCTCTGCTATCTGGGTTTCTGTGAGTGCACTCTGCGATGTTTGCACAACGATGAAATCACCTAAGGATGAATTTCTCAGAACGTATCCCTATTGTTAAGTGATGTGTGGCTGTATGTGAAATGTCCAGAATAGGCAAATGTACAGAGGCAGAAAGTAGATTAGTGGCTACCAGGGACTAGTGGGAGAGTGGAGTGGGGACTGCCTGGTTCTTTTTGTGGTGATGAGAATGTTCTAAAATTGGTTGTGCTGGCTGCACAGCTTTGTGAATACGTTAAAATACATTGAATTATGGCCGGGAGTGGTGGCTCATGCCTGTAATCCCAGCACTTTTGGAGGCCGAAGTGGGCAGATCACCTGAGGTCAGGAGTTCGAGACCAGCCTGGCCAACATGATAAAATCTCATCTCTTCCAAAAAGTAGAAAAAATTAGCCAGGCGTGGTGGTGAGTGCCTGTAATCCCAGTTATGCAGGAGGCTGAGGCAGGAGAATCGCTTGAACTCAGGAGGCGGAGGTTGCAGTAAGCCGAGATCGCACCACTGAATATCCTGGGCAACAGAGTGAGACTCCATCTCAAAACAAAAATACATTGATTAGTATGCCTTAAATGAGTGGACTATATGGTACGTGAGTCTTGTCCCAAAGCTGGTAAAAAGTACAAGGCGCGGCCGGGCGCAGTGGCTCATACCTGTAATCCCAGGACTTTGGGAGGCCAAGACGGGCAGATCACAAGGTCAGGAGATCAAGACTATCCTGGCCAACATGGTGAAACACCATCTCTACTGAAATACAAAAAAATTTAGCTGGGCTTGGTGGCACACACCTGTAGTCCCAGCTACTTGGGAGGCTGAGGCAGGGGAATCACTTGAACCGGGGAGGTGGAGGTTGCACTGAGCCGAGATCATGGCACTGCACTCTGCACTCTGGCCTGGGTGACAGAGCGACACTCCATCTCAAAAAAAAAAAAAAAAAAAAAAAACAGTAAAGTGCTTAAGTATTTAGTCTCAAAAGCAATGAACGAAACTAATCTGAACACTTAGGAAACAAAATGGGATAGGATCAAAAGTAGTGTCATATAACTCGCGCGTTCTGTTTAGAACCCATGTCTCAAGCATGTAATTCTTGAAAGCCACATCCCTTGCAGCGGGAGGGAAAGTCATGATCTTTATCAGAGGCCATGTGGACACTCCACCCAGTTCTAGCAGGGCCTCTTCTCCAGCCACAGTGGCACTAGTGGACTTCCTAGTGGAACGGGTGGGATTTTGGCGGGAAAAGATGGAGGATAAGAAGGAGAGGAAATCCAGGTGTGTGGGGCGGGACAGTAAGGCTGAGCTGGCCGAGGCCTGGAGGGTAAACAGCAGGGCGAATTTGATGAGGATTAGCTGCCTAGTGTTGCAAAGCGAGCAGCTGGGGAGAGGGGCGTGGAACCAGACTGGGAGGTGGGACTGAAGGAAGTGGCTTCGAACAGAAGAGTCCAGGTTCCTGTCCTAGTCTGGGCTGTGTGCTTGCTGTGTCCAGCAGGCCAGGTGGAGGTGGGGATGGTCCCTGGCCTGGTGGTCCCAAGACTCTAGGATTGGGGGCTGCAGCGGGAATGGGAGGCGGTTTGATGGTGGGCCTAGGCCTTCACGGGACTTGGTGACTCTCTTGAGCCAAACTGGGTGGGTTTCTAGAGTTGAGTCCAAGCCCTTCTTCCTCCGCCAGGTGAGCTCCACCTGACACCTTTACATGGCATCCTGCAGCTGCGGCCCAGCTTCTCCTACCTGGATAAGGCTGACGCCAAGCACCGGGAGAGGGAGGCGGCCAACGAGGGTGAGCCCGGGATCCCCAGCCCTGCTGCCTGCCTGCCTTCATCCTGGTGGGATGGCTTGGTCCTGGGAAGAGGGATGGGATGATAGGATGTTTAGCAGGATCCCTGGCCTCTACCTACTAGATGCCAGAAGCACCCACCCCACAGTCGTGACAATCAAAAAGGTCACATTGCCCAGTATCCCCAGGGTAAAGGGGCAAAACTGTCCCCGATTGAGAACCACTGGCTTAGGCAGCTCCCTCTGCGAGGAGAACTCCCAGCACCCCGGCCTGAGGCTTCCCTGGCGGGTGGGGTTGAGAGAAGGGAGGTGGAGGCTCCCCAGGACTGCAGTCAGTGGCTTGTCTCTCTTGCAGCAGGGGACTCTTCACAGGATGAGGCGGAAGACGATGTTAAGCAGATCACGGTGAGCCCTGGCCCCTGGAGGAGGAGGGTGCTGCCTGGGCGGCAGCAGGACCAGAGACCAAGGGGTAGCGGGTCTTCACAGAATGCAGGTGGAGCAGACAGGGCCCATGCTTTTGAGCCTTCTTGCTGGGCTACCTGGAGGGAACAACCTGAGTTGTTCCAGCTATACACAAGATGGAAGCCCTGGCTGGATCCAGGAGATGTGTGCCTGGGGCTTGGCTAGAGTCACCTGGGAGCAGGAAGCTGGGGCCAGGAGCCCTGAGGACCCGCAGACCAGCTCTGCCATGAACCTGTATCTTAACAGAGCCAAAGTCAATTAACTGTGATTCTATCCTCTTTATGGGGCACGGATGAATAGTTTTCGTTTTAATAGTTATTCCTGAATTTTAAAGATTTTTCAAAGAATCTTAACCTTCCATTTATGGTTTGTAAAGTTTTCCCTATTTAAGCATATTTAGATTAAAATGAGTAGTACCAAAAGAAAAATGCTACACGTAGAATGATGATACACAAGTATGGCTAGAGAGTGGTGAGTGTTTGGAAGCCCTTGAGGACCGGGGAACACGGGCGTAATGGACATGGAGGTGGCGCAGGGAGCTCATCCTGTTCTCTCCGTAGCTTATTAGGACCTTAGAAACTCCCTTCCGCTCTGGGGAACTTAGAAAAGGCATCCTGGGCCTGTCTGCTTTAAGGACTCTGCTGGCTCTGGCGCCTGGGACTCTAATCCCCCTCAAGCCTCTGGGCTGGGCAGGCACGAGCAAGTATAAGCCGTTCCCTGGCGTGTGCAGGCAGCTCTGGGAGGGACACGGTTGGAACGGAATTTAAACGACCTGTGCTAGGAAAGGAAGGGAGAGTGGAAAACCCCTATACGGAGTTCTCTGGTCTTCTGGCAGGGGCTGAGACGGCAGTCCAGCAAGGGTCACAGGCCTGACGGTATGACCTCTTCCCCTTCCCACCGCAGGTGCGGTTCTCCCGGCCGGAGTCAGAGCAGGCCCGCCAGCGCCGTGTGCAGTCCTATGAGTTCCTGCAGAAGAAGCACGCAGAGGAGCCCTGGGTCCACCTGCATTACTATGGCCTGAGGGTGAGCGGGGCTTCGTGGGGTCCTGGGGGAAACACCTCGGTGCCCGGAAGGGTCATGGTGTGGCCTCCGTGTCTCACCTTGAACTTAAGTCAAATTCATGAGTCATAGCCACAGATAGAGGATCGAGTCCTGTGGGCAGTTTACACTTCACTCCAGCCGAGCCACTTAGCGTGGGCCCCAGGAGAGCAAGAGGAAAAGATGCGAGTCCTTGGTTCCCTGGGTGGGGTTTGGCCCCTGGGCATGGGCATCTTGCTGGGCTTGCAGTGGGGCTAGTGCCTGGTAACATATTTTCGCTGCAGCCCAGGCCCTAAACGCAGGCCAGATGCATTCTCCGGTTCTGTCCTAGAGGGTCGGTCATGTGTTGCCACCCCAGAGTTCCCAGCACCACCTGCCCAGGGGATTTTCTTACTGTGCTTGGTTTTCATCTGGTACGCTGACTTTATTTACTTTTATTTTTATTTATTTATTATTTATTTATTTATTGAGACAGTCTCATTCTGTCACCCAGGCTGGAGTGCAGTGGCTCGATCTCAGCTCACTGCAACCTCCGCCTCCCGGGTTCAAGTGATTCTTCTGCCTCAACCTCCCAGGTAGCTGGGACTACAGGCACCTGCTAATTTTTTTGTTTTTGTTTTTTTAGTAGAGATGGGGTTTTGCCATGTTGGCCAGGCTGGTCTCGAACTCCTGATTTCCAAGTGATCTGCCCACCTCAGGCTCCCTAAGTGCTGGGATTACAGGCGTGAGCCACGACCACCTGGCCCTGGTGCATTGATTTTAGAACCTAACCCTTGAAACTGTGTACTGAGTGAGGGATGCTTCCAAAGACACCATGGGCCAGGGCTCCCAATATTTTCTGGGGTGGGGAACAACTCCTGATTTCTCTGGAACCTTCTTGGAAGAGATTTGTGTTAACAGACCCTTAGACTCGGGGTCAAACTTCTAGACACTGCTGTTTCCTGCTGTGTGACCTTGGGCATGTTAGCTAACCTCTCTGAGCCTCAGTTTTCTTAATTATAAAATGAGAGTAGTAATAATAGTACCTACCTTGCCAAGTTATTTTGAGGGTGAGATGGGTTAGTATATTTACAGTCAGTGGAACAGAGTCCACCACATCCTAGATGCCCAGTGAATGTTAGCCATCATTTTGTCATTGCTGGTGGTGTACCTGTGTTACAGACAAGGCATCGAGGCTTGGGGGCTGGGGCTGGGCAGGTCATAAGGCCAGGAAGATGAGTGGCTGAGGCCACGTCAGAGGCCTTGGGTGCCGTGCTCAGGAGGTTGGATGTGGTCCTGTGGCTGGCCATGGAGTGGAAGACGGGAGGCCTTGGGGGAGGGGGCCCAGGCCAGGGCCATCAGCTGAGGCTCCTCTCACACCCTGCCCTCCTCCAACAGGACAGTCGCTCTGAGCATGAGCGTCAGTACCTGCTGTGCCCCGGCTCAAGCGGGGTGGAGAACACGGAGCTCGTCAAGTCACCCAGGTGGGATGGGCTGGGCCAGCATGCAAACTGGATGCCTGCCCAGGGTCCCCAGGGGTCCTTGGTGTGGATCCTCCCAGAGGACTGTGGCCCCTCCTGTAGCATGAGGGTGGAGCCCATTGTCCCCTGGAGAAGGCCAGGAGGGTGGGCCTGGAAAGAGATGGTCCACTTTTCTGCAGGGGCTCAGGGCTGCTGGGGGAGGGCGGGGGTGGGCTGTCTGCACCCTCTCCCCAGACCCTCACTTGGGTGGCTGGTGAGGAGGGTCCAGCCTGGATCAGCCCTGAGCCTCTGCCCCTGCCATGTCCCTGCAGTGAGTACCTGATGATGCTGATGCCACCCAGCCAGGAGGAGGAGAAGTGAGTAGAGGCGGCAGGACACCCTCTCCCTTTCCGGGCTGGCTGCCTCTAACCCGTCCCCTCTGCTTTTCCCAGAGACAAGCCTGTGGCCCCCAGCAACGTCCTGTCGATGGCCCAGCTGCGCACGCTGCCCCTGGCCGATCAGATCAAGATCCTGATGAAGAATGGTGGGTGCCTACCCCCTGCCCACCCGGGGGCCCCAGTCCCAGTGGCTCCTGAGGAATGGACTCTGTGGGACAGTGAGGACCAGGGGACAAGGCCAGAGGCCCCTGCTGCCCACAGCCTGCCCAGCTTTGCAGCTGCATCCTTGTCTGGAAAGATAACGCAGGACGGCAGTGCGGCCAGCTCCCGCAGGCAGCCCGGGTTCCCGTGAATGTAGGACAGTAGTGTGTCTGGCCCCCACAGGCGGGCTCGGGTTCCTGTGCCATGCTCACCACTTGTCTGCCATGCTCTTGGGCAGGTCATGAACCTTTCTGAGGCTTTGTTTGTTTTTCTGTGAAAAGAGACTAATGATAGTTCCTGGGGGCCAATGTGAGGAATCAGAGAGAGGAGGCTTCTAAAGTACAGGGCCTTGCAGGCGAACACGGACTAGGGGCTTTTTGTTGTTGTTGTTGTTGTTGTTGTTGTTTTTTTTTTTAAGGTTTTTTTAAAGGTTTTAAAGGTTTTTTTTAAAGGTTTTGCTGTGTAACTCCTGGGCCCAAGTGATCCTCCTGCCTCAGCCTTCCGAGTGGCTGGGCCTACAAGCAGACGCCATTCACTGCACCGGCTCAACTAGGGTCATTTTCATGACAATGTCTTCACTGGCATTGCTTCTGGGTACTCTTGCCAGACCTGGCACCATAAGGACTGGTCTCCTTTTCTCAGAGGACTCTGAGTGCCAGAACCTTTAGGGTACCCGTGGCTGGTGAACAACAGACCTGATCCTTGAGTTCAGAATGGAGCCGCAGAACCTGGGCTCGTCCTTTGAGATGCCACCATGAGCTCTTAGGAGTCTAAGGAGAGAGGGGAGCTCCATGATATGCTCGGGATTTTAGGCTTCCTTCCTGCAGAGGACTTCGAACTTTTTTTTTTTTTGAGACAGTCTTGCTCTGTCACCCAGGCTGGAGTGCAGTGGCACAATCTCGGCTCACTGCAACCTCCGCCTCCCGGGTTCAAGCAATTCTCATGCCTCAGCCTCTGGAGTAGCTGGGACTACAGGTGCCCGCCATCACGCCCAGCTAATTTTTGTATTTTTAGTAGAGATGGGGTTTCGCCTTGTTGGCCAGGCTAGTCTCAAATTCCTGGCCTCAAGTGATCTGCCTCCCTCGGCCTCCCAAAGTGCTGTGATTACAGGTGTGAGCCAAAGCGCCCAGCCAAATTTTGGACTTTCCCTGGGCCCTGCCCAGGGCTCACTTGGGCGGGAGCAGAGCACAGTGATTGAGGGTACCAAGTGGAGCCAAGTGGCTTGGGTTCACTTCCTGGCTCTGCTACTTCCTAGCCAAGAGATCATGGGTGAGCTTTGAAGCCTTTCCAGGTCTGAGTAGTAATAGACCCTTCCTCCTGAGGCACCCCTCAAGTCTTCCTTAAGGGGCACTTCATATAATCCTCAGATTTCATGAGGTGCCCAGTGCCTGGCATGTAGTGAGCAGCCTGAGAGTGTCAGCTGTTGGCTATGATGGGTGTCATTACTGTTAGTTATCACATTCTGGGGTTATTACATGAACTTGAAGCTATGCGGACTCTCGGTGGAGGGGAGGGAAGGGCCCGGCCCCTCTTCCTTGTCTGATGTCTCCTGCGTCCTCCTCAGTGAAGGTCATGCCTTTTGCCAACTTGATGAGCCTCCTGGGCCCCTCCATCGATTCCGTGGCTGTTCTGCGGGGCATCCAGAAGGTGGCGATGTTGGTCCAAGGGAACTGGGTGGTGAAGAGGTAAGTTGCTTTTTTTATTTTTTATTTTTATTTATTTTTTTCCTTGAGGCAGAGCTTCACTCTTGTTGCCCAGGCTGGTGTGTAGTGGCGCAATCTCGGCTCACTGTAACTTCTCCCTCCCAGGTCCAAGCAACTCTCCTGCCTCAGCCTCCTGAGTAGCTGGGATTATAGGTGCCCGCCACCATGCCCAGCTAATCTTTGTGTTTTTAGTAGACACGGGTTTCACCATGTTGGCCAGGCTGGTCTCGAATCCTGACCTCAAGTGATCCACCCACCTCGACCTCCCAATGTGTTAGGATTATAGGCGTGAGCCACCGGGCCCGGCCTACGCTGTATTCTCTTAATGGGAGCATTTGGTCCTTTTAAATTTAATGCAGTTACTAGTGCTTTGGGTTTAAATCTACAGTGCTTTCTATTTGTCCTGCCTACATTGCATTTAAACTGTTTTTTGTTTTTTTGTTTTTTTTTTTGAGACAGAGTCTCGCTCTGTCCCACAGGCTGGAGTGCAGTGGTGCGATCTCGGCTCACTGCAAGCTCTGCCTGCCGGGTTCACGCCATTCTCCTGCCTCAGCCTCCCGAGTAGCTGGGACTACAAGGCACCCGCCACCACGCCCAGCTAATTTTTTGTATTTTTAGTAGAGATGGGGTTTCACTGTGTTAGCCAAGATGGTCTCCATCTCCTGACCTCGTGATCTGCCCGCCTCGGCTTCCCAAAGTGCTGGGATTACAGGTGTGAGCCACTGTGCCTGGCCGCATTTAAACATTTTTTAAATTGACACATAATGTACATATTTATGGGGGCAGTGTGAAATCTAAATACATGTATACAATGTAATGATCAAATCAGGGCAATTAACATATCTATCCCCTCAAACATTTCTCATTTTTGTGTTGGGCACATTCAAACTTCACTTTTCTAGCTATTTAAAATTATACAATAAATTGTTCTTAATTATAGTCACCCTGTAGTACCCTTTGTCCTGCCTACATTGGATTTTTATATCATTCTTACCATCTGCTGGATTCATTTCTGTTTCTATTTTTTCCTGCTAACTTGGAAGTTACACTGTTTGGGCTCATATATTGATTACCCTACAGTTTTCAGCTTACATTCATGACTTAACACATTTTAATGTTAATTGCTGCTTTTTACCCCATTCCAATCTATTCAGAGATCTTAGAATATTTTATATCTATCCTCATACTTACACACTGCTAGATTGGTATATATATATTTTTTTACCTTTTTAATTTGCCAATCTTCTCTAGTGTTCCAATTTTAGTATATGTACTGCCGAAGAGAGCACAGGATTGGTGTATTTTTATTTTTTTTTTGAGATAGTCTCTCTCTCTTGCCCAGGCTGGGGTGCAGTGGCACAGTCTCAGCTCACTGCAACCTCTGTCTCCCGGGTTTAAGCGATTCTCCTGCCTCAGCCTCCCAAGTAACTGGGATTATAGGCGCTTGCCACCACGCCCGGCTAATTTTTGTATTTTTAGAAGAGGCAGGGTTTTGCTGTGTTGGCCAGCTGGTCTTGAACTCCTGACCTCAGGTGATGCACCCATCTCGGCCTCCCAAAGTGCTGGGATTACAGGCGTGAGCTACCGTGCCCGGCCTGGTGTATTTTAATTCTCTGTATGTTTTCAGCCCCATAAGACATTACTGTATCCAGTCAATCAATATTCTTTACTCGCATGTTTATAATTTAGTCATCATTTCTTTCTGCATCTCTAAGTTTCTATCTGGGATCATTTCGTTCTGCCTAAAGAATGCTATAGTATTTCCTTTAATGTGGGTCTGTTGGTGATGCATTTCCTTGGTTTTTGTGTGTCTGGAAATGTCTATTTCACCTTTGTTCTAGAATTCTAGATTGGTGGTTATTTTCCTTTCCACGCGTTGATATGATTTTGTTGTGTTCCGACTTCATTGTTTCTGTTGGCAGTTTTGTTCTTATTCCTTTGAAGGCAGCCTGCCTTTGTTTTCCTCTGGCTGCTTTTAGGAGTTTCTCTGTTTTTGGTTTTCTACGGGTTCGTTTAGATGTGTCTTTAAGTGTGAATTTTTTACATACTCTGCTGGGGATCACAGGTCTTGAGCGTGGGGCTTGATGCCTTTCAGTGGTTTCTCTTCGGCGAATCCTCCCCTAGACCATGTGCTGCCTCCACGAGACCATCAGTTTCAAGGGATTAGGGATGTCTGTTTTGACTCCTGCTTTATGTTCCCAGTACCCGGAATAATGCCTGGATATTACCAGTGCAGACCCTTGGTAAATAATGTGGCTACGTTTTACTTGAATTATATTGATTCTGAATGATGTAGCATTAATTGCATTAATAACTCACTTTTTAAGTAATGTAGTTTAAGGTGAGCAATGTGACAAAATGTGAAATGTTGAACATTTTAAGAAAATACAATGCCTTGAAAGCTCCTCATAGTTGTAGAGTATATTCGTGTTACTGCCACCTGGTGGCGCCCTTGCACTGCTCCACAGGTGCCCAGCGCAGTTTGTCAGCACCTTGCGGCTGTTGTCCTTTGTTACACGTTTTCATCATGGAAGGCTTTTGCAATGGCGCATCGCGTATTACATAGGACCACGTGTGTATATTTACACCATAAGTGAATGAAAGCCAAGAGGGGTCCTCCCGTCACACACCTGAGGACACTGGCCCAGAGAGGCATGGGACTTGCCAAAAGTCTTGCAGCAAGGCAGCCGCAGAGCCCTGTTAAAACCTAAGCCTCATGGCTCAGCCCTGGGCTCTGCACCCAGCACTGCATGTGTCCCCTGGAGGTGCTGCCCCTTTTAGTTTCGCCCTGTCCTGGGGACTGGAAGGTAGGGACTTGGGGACTGTGGGCATTTCACCTGCCCCGGCACTTCTGTAAGCCCTACTCTGCTGCTGCCCATGCTGCCATGTCAGGGGCCCCTGGGTGAGGGTCCTGTGTGTGCCTGTGAGGAGACAATGCAAAATCCATGCCTCCATTCAGTCACTATGGCTAGACTGCTCGTTCTGTGCCATGGACCGGGCTCTCATTCAGACACTGCCCCTGGGGATGGCGGCTGTTACATTTGAGCTCCCTGAATGCAGAGATCATGGCATGGACCAGGTTTGTTTGGTCAGCACACACTTAATAGGTACCTTCGCTGTGGTGGCAGCGATGAGCCACATCGGCAGAGTCCGTGTCCCCACAGAGCGTGGCCTTGCAGGATGAGTGACAGTTGGTTGCCAGGTGGACCTGAGCAGGGGGAGGAGGAGGGCTTGGCAGCAGAGGGAGGGACAGTCAGAGCACAGGTGCCGCAGCAGGGGCTGAGCCGGGGTTGCAGGGCCTGTGGCTGGAGCTGGGTCAGGGCTACACTCTGGAGATTCTCGTGCCCTGCTGTCCAAGGCCCCGGCCTTTCCTCTGAAGTTCCCTGAACCTTGAGTGCTGAGCCTGTTCTCTCCGAGGGCTAACATGCCTCCCCTGCCTCTGACCTCGGTTCATGCCCACCTGCCCCTTTCAGCAGGTGGCCAAGGGCTTGCAGATGGCTTCATCCCTGGTTCTCTTGGTGTCACGTGCAGGGACCAGTTGTCTTCCAGAGTCCTGGGCTCCTTGAGGTCCCGGGCTGTTCCTCACCTTGTCTGTCTCTGAGCCCGTGACCTCTCCCTGAATGTGCAGGGGTCTTAGGATGAGGCTGGTGTGCATGGCGGGTTGAGGGGTAATAAGAGGAAGAACTGGGGGGATGTGTGGGGTAGAGGGGTGCTTCTTTCCCATGTCTGTGTTCACAGATGTGGCTCCTAAGGGGAGGTCTTGGGGCTCAGGCCTGTACCCAGCCCACGGTGGAAAGAAGCATGGACTGGGGCTTGGCCGGGAGGGGTAGCGGTAGAGGGGGCTCAGGGCAGGGACTGACCTGCCATCCTCACCTGCATTGGCAGTGACATCCTATACCCCAAGGACTCGTCCAGCCCTCACAGCGGCGTGCCTGCTGAGGTGCTCTGCAGGGGCCGAGACTTCGTTGTAAGTACCTTGGGTTCTCTGGACTCACGGTGGGGGCGTGGGAAGAGGGGGGCAGCGGTGCAGGGCTTCTGAAGACCGGGGCCCGGCAGAGGCTCCAGGTGGAGGCGGGTGTGTGAGGAGGCCCTGGCCTCTGCCTTTCTCCTCCTTCCTCTCAGAAGCCTGGAGTCTCGGGCTGGAAAGAACCTTCCAGTTCCTCTAGCGCAGTCGGGGGGTGGGTCAAGAAGCACGTTTCATTCGGCCTGAGTGGTGGTTTAGAAATATTGCCTTGGTTGTCAGATTTTATAAATTGAAATTTTGATGTAAAAAAAATCTTGATGCTAGACAGATGTCTAGCTGTCAAGGGTAATTGGACTCCCTGACACCCCTGGGGCCACTTCCCCACAAGGCGCTGGCGGTCTCCAGTTCACCACAGTCCCAGGTGCCTTTGCCTCCCTTGTGCCTGTCCCTGGAGTTTGGGACTCCTGAGCTGGTGTCTCCCTTCTTCCCATCACCCCACCCATGGCCTCCCTCCCAAGGCCTGGAACTCCATGCAGCTGGGAGCCACAGTCTTCCTAGGCTTGGTGCTGGCTGAAACGTGCTGCCCAGGAGCTGTCCCACACCCCTTGGCACGCTGGTGTGCCGTCCCAGTCACAAGGCAGCCCTTAAGCTGAAGGAAGCATCTGCCTCTTCTCTTCCTGAAGGAGCCTCCCCAACTCCTCTGGGCAGTCGGTGTCCAGGTGCCCGAGCAGCATCTTTGCTCCTAGGGGTCAGCATGTAACAATCACCACTCCCAGGCTTGCCTCCCCAGATACAGTGCCGTTTGCCCCCAGCTGCCCCTGCCCGCCCCGCTCCAGTGTGTAGACACTGTCAGAACTGGCGGCTTGGTGGGGGTGTGGTCCAGTCTATGTTAGCGTAGGTGATAGTCATCCATTCCCTGTGTCTCTCAGCCAGCCACCCTTCTCTCTCCCAGTCACCCCACAAATCTAATCAGAGTGCAGGGGAGCTGTTGAGGCAGAGTGGGGGCTGCAGGGGGCTGAGAGCTTCTGGAAGGATGGGCGGCCTCCAACCAGCCATTAGCAGCCACCACTGTGAAGTGCCGCCTATGCAGACAGCGTGTGTCTGTGGGAGCCCCTCCCAGCCCGAGTCCTCATCGTATCCTCGGAGCTGGGCAGGGCATCCCCAGGGAGCGCTGTGGTCTAGGTGGGGTGGGATGGTCCCATGGTCCCCTTGGAAGAGATGGGCCTGGAGCTCCTTTATGGAGGAGAAAAGGAGGGAGGTGCAGAGCTGAAGGGACTGCCTGAGGCCACACTGTTGGGAAGAATCAAGGCCAGGAGCCTAGGACTGTCCCAGGCTCCAGCTCCCAGGCCTGCCAGGTGAGTTCCCGGGACAGTCCTGGGAGCAGTCCGTGGCCGCCCCTGGAATGTGCTGCTTCTTCTCCCTCAGATGTGGAAGTTCACGCAGAGCCGCTGGGTGGTTAGGAAAGAGGTGGCAACCGTGACCAAAGTAAGTGGCGTTTTTGTGGTCTGAGGCCCAGGCTGCTGCTGGAGGGGAGGGGGCTGGCTGTGCCTCACGCTGGGCCCCCTCCCCTCCAGCTCTGCGCCGAGGATGTGAAGGACTTCCTGGAGCACATGGCCGTGGTGAGGATCAACAAAGGCTGGGAGTTCATTCTGCCTTATGATGGGGAGTTCATCAAGAAGCACCCGGATGTGGTCCAGCGGCAGCACATGCTGTGGACGGGTATCCAGGCCAAGTAAGCACCCTGGGCCAGGGAGGGGCAGCCCGGTGATCCCAGCAACCCTGCATCCTGGGGAGCACTGTCAGGGTGGATCCGAGCAATCTCTAGAAACCCCACATCTGGGGAGAGCGCAGTTGGGCTGGATCTGGGTGTGAAGGGCAGGTGGGGGTCCGCAGGCCCCACGCTCCTCACCCACACTGATAGGCATTGCTGGCTGATCCCACCATCCTTTCAGCACAGGACACACAGCCAGTACCTGCTCATCAGGGTGGCCGTGCTCTGAGGGCTCAGGGAAGAGGGATGTGATGGAGAGAGGGAGCACTCAGGAGCAAGAGCTGGGGCCTGGGGACCAGAGGGGTGTTGGCAGAAGACTGATGGGGTCTGGGTGGTCCTGGGGCTGTGCACTCTGCCAGAAGAGGGACTCAGTAGGGCTGGCTGAGCTCCAAGCCTGCGCTGTCAGTAACCAGCGTGTCCTGGGGCCTAAGGGGTGGTTGTTTCTCTTGTGAAGCAGATGGTAGGGGACGTGGTTTAAAGTTAATGGGGTTACTCTTCTTTTCAGACTGGAAAAAGTCTATAATCTTGTAAAGGAAACCATGCCAAAGAAGCCGGATGCACAATCAGGTGTGTGAGGGGCTTTGGGCTGGGAGGCCCCGGCTCCTACACTGTGGCTCCGGAAGGGCTGCTGTGCTAGAGCTTGTCAGGCCCGGACCTGGAGAGGGTGGAGGGCTCTCACCGTTCACCCTTCACCCTCCTTCCTTTCCTGCCACCCACAGACCGCAGCTGGTCGCTTGCCCAGCAGCAGAGCCTCAGGGACGGAGGCTTGCGGATTCCAGGGCTGAGTCTGGGTTCCAGGTCTCTGAGGCTCACTCACCCTCTTGGGTCAACAAGCGGGCCCGGAAGAGCTGCTGGGGGGAGGAACTCAGCAGCACCCTTCCCCGCATGACTCTCGGCACGCTGGGACGGTTCTCTCTTCCACTGATGGGGTGGCTGATTTTCGAGAAAGGTTGGGGATGAGACCAGGACGGGACCACTTGCTGCAGCCCCGCGGTCCCCTGCTGGGCTTTTGGCTTCAGATCCCTGTGCCCTCCTGAGCAGTGCTGCCTCCCTCCCCGCAGGGCCTGCCGGGCTGGTCTGTGGGGACCAGCGGATCCAAGTAGCCAAAACCAAGGCCCAGCAGAACCACGCGTTGCTGGAGCGGGAGCTGCAGCGGCGGAAGGAGCAGCTGCGGGTGCCTGCGGTCCCGCCCGGTGTGCGGATCAAGGAGGAGCCCGTGAGCGAGGAGGGCGAGGAGGACGAGGAGCAGGAGGCGGAGGAGGAGCCCATGGACACTTCCCCCAGCGGCCTCCACAGCAAGCTGGCCAACGGGCTGCCTCTCGGGCGGGCTGCGGGCACAGACAGCTTCAACGGGCACCCGCCCCAGGGCTGCGCCAGCACCCCTGTGGCTCGGGAACTGAAGGCCTTCGTGGAGGCCACCTTTCAGAGACAGTTTGTGCTCACGCTGAGCGAACTCAAGCGCCTCTTCAATCTGCACTTGGCCAGCCTGCCCCCCGGCCACACACTCTTCAGCGGCATCTCGGACCGCATGCTACAGGACACGGTGCTGGCCGCCGGTTGCAAGCAGATACTGGTGCCTGTAAGTAGAGCCCTGCCTGCCAGGGGCATGGGGGGTGGGGGGTGGGGAGAACCAGCTGTTGGGAGGCCACGTGGGGACACGGGAGGCCATGCTTGGTGAGCATCTGCTCTCACGTGGGCCTAGGTGTGACATGGGCAAGTCAGCCTCTCTGAGGCTCTATTCTCATGAAATGGGATCATGTTGGGTTTTATGTCACAGGACTGTGGTAGGGGCTAAATACGGTGTCTGAAGGCCCGGCCTATTGCCTGGCCTGCAGCAGGGCCTAGTGAAACAGGGCCCCTGCCTGGTTTCTCACCCTGTCCCCCACCAAGAACACCTGTTTCCTACTAGCTTTGCCATTGTTTGGAATGATTTAACTTCTAAGATCGTTTGATCTTCTTTGCAATCTGCAGATGAAGAAACTGAGGCTCCAAGGAATGAAATGTACGTTTAAAGGTCACTACCTAGGAGGTAGTAGAGCTGGAATTTGGACCTCAGTATAGTGGCCTGGAGTTTTGAATCCTTTCTGCTCAGCTAAGATGAGCTGCTTCCCCACAGCTGCGCCACGCCCCAGCTTGGGCCTGGGTCCTGGCGGCCTCCCTGTGCATCAGAAGCAAGCTGACCAGCTCAGCGCTGTGCTCTCAGCACTTCCAGTGCCAGGCCTTGAGTGTGGTATTGCAAGCCTCCTGCCCCTTCCCCCTGGGCTGCTTTTCTGTCACTGGGAGGGGCCCTGACGGGGGAGCAGAGTGCTTGCTGGGGACCGTTTCCCTGCGCTGAGGATAGAGAGCGCCAGGTGCTGCCTGAGGCACGCCTTTCCCGTGCTCCTTTTCCACAAGGCTCTGCCCAGACCTGGCAGCAAAATGGGGTGAGGTGGGGCTGTGGTGGTCTCTAAGAAAGCATTGATGTTTTCATTGCCAAGGTCAGGAGCGGGCCTGCAGCCTTGGGTGATGATCTGAGGCCAAGGCCCATCCCTGTGTATGAGGAATAGAAACTAGGACAGGAGGCCTTGTGGAGCCTAGGCTGTCTCAGGGGATCGGCCCTGCTGGCAGGCAGCCCCCTGTGGGAGGTACTGGCAGAGTTCGGAGCTCCTGCCCACCCAGCACATGGGTCTGGGTCTCCACAAGCTCACCTTTCTTCATGAGCTGGGCCAGGACAGGCAGGACACCTGCCTGACATTAGTTGTTTTGGGCCGCTGGAGTGGACAGAGGTGAGGGGTGGGACATGGCCACCCTCAGACACCCTCACCCCTCCTTCCGGACCCCCTCTGTCCATGTTGCTTTGGGGTGGGGCCAGCGTCTCCAGGAGACACCATGGCCCTAACTGTAATGCTCTCCTTGCCATCCTGACAAGGAGACTGTATTGTAGTCACATCCAAGACGTAAGAGACCTCCGATCCCAGCCACCTCTGTGTTGTACATGAGGGAGCTGAGGTCCAGGGCAAGTGAATAGATCGAGAACTTGACTTGAACTCCTGGTTCTGCTGCTTATTAGCTGTGTGACCATGGACAGTGAGCAAACCTCTCTGAGCTTACTTTTCCCCATGTACTACCTCCCCAGTTTCTAATGCTCAAATGCAAATGTGTATTGGAGGCCTCACAGGGCTTTTACTGGTAGTAACCATTATTGCTACTTGTGTGATGGAACCAGGACTGGAAACTACCATCCCAGATGCCCCCTCCCCTGTCCCCTTCTCTCCAGGACCCAGGCCTGTGTCACACTTGTCCTGGTCTACCTTTGGACCAAGTGGCCTGGATTGCTTGGGAGTCAGGCAGTGCCTCTAACCCACACTGACATGGTACATGTGGGAAGCAGTTGAAAAGAACCCCCAGGGTACCCCAAGAGTTATGGGGAAGGGGGCGCCCCTCCATCAGGGTTGGCATCTTCAGGAGGGAGGACTCTGGGTGTTAAAGCACAGTTGAGTTGGTGCCAGGCTGATGGGAAACAGACGCAGCTTCCCCACTGTACGGAGGATATCTGCAGACTCGAAGCCGGGCATTTCACTGGGCCCATCACACTCCCCCTCTCGCTGAAGCCCTGTCAGGCCCTGGGGGGTGTGCTGGCCTCCTCCCCATGGTGAGGTGAGAGGCACAGGTTTGTGGCTGCCCAAGGCCCTCAGAGATGGTGAGTAGCAGAAGCTGGGATTGGAACCCATGTTCCTGCATCTGGGCTGGGGCAGACAGGGAGGGATGAGGCAAGCAAATGGATCCATGGGGTAGAGATGGACAAGCAACTCACCCCTGGGCCTTGGTCAGTTTCCCCCCCAGACTGCTGCTTCCCCGGATGAGCAGAAGGTGTTTGCCCTCTGGGAGTCTGGAGACATGAGTGATCAGGTGAGGTGAACTTTGCTGCCATCTTCCCGAAGAGCCAGGGGGGTTTCCTGCAGCGTTGGAGGCCTTGGGGGACATGTGCACCCAAAGTGCAGCCACACATTTCAGATTTTCTGGCACACTCGGTTTTAAATATCCTGCTCCAACTCTGTACGCTAACAAAATAAGCTGTATGTGCCAATAGTTTGAACCTAAACCAGTGGTTCCCAGATGCCAGTCTGTGAGCCAGCTCCATCAGAATCATCTTTTAAAAAATACAGGCTGGGCGTAGTGGCTCACGCCTGTAATCCCAGCACTTTGGGAGGCCAAGGTGGGTGGATCACCTGAGGTTGGGAGTTTGACACCAGCCTGACCAATATGGTGAAACCCCATCTCTACTAAAAATGCCCATAGTCGTGGGAGGCTGAGACAGAATTGCTTGAACCTGGGAGAGAGAGGTTGCAGTGAACCGAGATTGCACCACTGCACTCCAGACTGGGCGACAGAGCAAGACTGTGTCTCAGAAAGAAAAAAAAAAAAAACATAGATTCAGTTCTGTTCAGTAGGTATGCGGTACTGTCCTAGGTATCTGAATTTCTGTAAAGCTTCCTGAGCAACTCTGATCCAGCCAGGCTTATAGAGCACTGGTGAAGCACATTTCTCAGGCGGCCTCTGGCAGCAGGAATCAAAAGGATTCCTTGTCAGATGTCAGGTCCTGGACTTTTAGGTTAAAGAAATTGGTCATTTTGCCTCTAGTCATACTGTGATGGGGAGGGTCACAGGTGTCCAGTGCCCAGAAATGTGAGTGGAAGCAGCAGCGCCTTGCGTGTGTGTGGTGTAGTCATGGACCCTGCATCCCAGCTTTTCTTAGGCCGTGAACGTACCTAATTTGATGGTCGAAACGCCAGTCGGTCTGACCGTGTCTAGGCCCTGCTCCTAAGGTGTGGGGAGAAGGGAGTCAGCAGAAATCCCACTGAGCTCTCTGTCCCCAGCTGCCTCTTAGGGGAGCCAACTGGCAGGCTGAGGATCTAAGGGGCTGGGGCCTTTTCCTGAGCAAGCTTGAGTGCTTTTGTCCAGAATAGAGGGTATCTGAAATACTTTGATAACAAAAAGGCAAAAAAACAAAAGTCATAAATGCAGATTTTTAAACATCAAATCAGACTAGAAGTTTTAATAGGAAAGCTCTTGCACTGCTGGACCTGACTGCCACCCCTCAGAGGTGACCACTTTTATTACTACTTTTTTAATAGAAACAGGGTCTCACTATGTTGGCCAGGCTAGTCTTGAACTCCTGGCCTCAAGCAGTTCTCCTGCCTCAGCCTCCCAAAGTGCTAGGATCATAGGCATTTACATCACCAAAAGATACCACTAAAATAGCTGCCCCCATTTAAAAAAAAAAATCAGCCTGTCATTAGCAATGGGCTTCCCATTGTGGTGGATGAGATTTAGCTCTCAACTATTTTAGGAGACTGTAGAGATAGATATGTTACGCCAGTTTTTTTTTTTTTTTTGAGATAGATAGCGTCTTGCTCTTGCTCTTGCTCTGTCATCTAGGCCTGGAGTGCAGTGGTGCCATCTCAGCTCACGCCTCTTGCGTTCAAGCGATTCTTGTGCCTCAGCCACCCGGGTAGCTGGGATTACGGGCTTGTGCTGCCTCACCCAGCTAATTTTTGTATTTTTAGTAGAGATCGCGGTGGTAGGGGTCGGGGGGTGGTCCCACCATGTTGGCCAGGCTGGTCTCGAACTCCTGGCCTCAAATGATCTGCCTGCCTTGGCCTTCCAAAGTGCTGGGATTACAAGCGTGAGCCACCACACCAGGCCTTTACCTCTTTTTAATTGGCTATCATTGTTTATAGCATTGTCACAGAATGAACTGAAAATCTATCCATTGTAGAGCCAAACATCAGTAATATACTATGATTGCATTTCCTTGTTCACTGCTTCCTGTTTTCACTTGTGTAATTTTCTGAACACATGTGTACCGAGGGTGATACTTTGCTTAATTAAGCCTGGTTCCCGGGAAGCCTCTCCCTCTGCTTCTCCAGTGAGACTCGCTCTTCCCCATGTCTGTTGCTGAATTCTGGAATCTCTGCTTCTTCCTTGCTTTAGCTTCTGAAGAGACAGAGGAGTTGTCTGCATTCTTTCATGTCTTAAAATGGATTACAATACAGTATTACTGTTTGTCTGGGACTAGAATTTTAAGAGGCAAAGGATACTTCATGTAGCAGTCAGCTGTTTACATGAACCATAGCAAAAAAAAAGGAGAATCAAATCCATCTCCTCTTAATGTTTGCAGAAAGATGCAAACAAAACCAGCTAAGTATGGAACAATGTGTGAGGTTATCAAAGTTTCTATTTTTACGTGATCAAATGATTTGCCTCTCAAAATTCTAGTCCTAGACAAATAGTGATACATGAAGCATCCTTTTTTTTTTTTTTTTTTTTTTTTTTTTTTTTTTGAGACAGAGTCTCCCTCTGTCAGCCAGGCTGGAGTGCAATGGCACGATCTCGGCTCACTGCAACCTCCGCCTCAGCCTCCTGAGTAGCTGGGATTATAGGCGTGTGCCACCACGCGTGGCTGATTTTTGTATTTTTAGTAGAGACGGAGTTTCACCACGTTGGACAGGCTGGTCTCGAACTCCTGACCTCAGGTAATCCGCCTGCCTCGGTCTCCCCAAGTGCTGGGATTGCAGGCGTGAGCCTCTGCGCCCGGCATGAAGCATCTTTAAGAGAGTTTCCATTGTTTAAGTTTTCAGAGTTGTTGAAATTCCATAACATTCTCCTTCTTGGTCTTTTAAATTTGGCCTGTATTCTTTCCTTTATGCCAAACTGCAGAATTTTTCATTATTCTGTATATCAGTCAGTGCCATTTCAGCTGTGCCCTGGTGCGGGTCATTATTGTACTAGACAATTGAGTTCTTATAAAATCCTGTGAGTTGTTACTTTTTTTTGTTTTTTTCAGAATTCTTATGACAGATATTAGACATACTGAATCCAATCTTTTCCATTTTTATTTTGGGGTGTAACGTATTTTACGGCATCCTGTTTCATGGATGCAGTGGCATGTTTGTGCATTAAGACTTCACACCAATTTTGACACCCTCTTCTCATCTCCGTGCAGCTTAGATTGTCGCTTCACCTGCTTGCTAAGTCCGATGCACGCCTGCATTTTACCATGCAGAAATATGTTCAAGCCACTCATCCTCTCATGTCTCTTCACCAGTTCTTTTGTTATGCTGGCATATACCTTTGTTTTTATTTATATTCAAGTTTCCAGACATAGCATTAATGCCTTTACTTTTGTGTTTTTATTTCTGTACACTGTCTTGCTGGGTCTCTAGAGATGACTTGGCTCATCTTTAACCAGAGGTGCTGCGTGAGGGTTTTTATCAGAGACTGCAACACAAAGTCAGGTGCATGGCTTGGGTGTCTTGTTTGGGGATGTTTCTCTTTTTAGATCACTGTTTCCCATCATAACGTGTTTTTGCTACTAAAGCATCGACAGGTTTTGCTTGAAATTTTTTCCAAAAATTACCGGGTACGCCGAAACATGATCCAGTCTCGGTTGACTCAAGAGTGTGGAGAAGATCTCAGTAAACAGGAGGTGGATAAAGTACTAAAGGTACATCCATTTTGTGCATAACAAACAATATCAAAGGCTCTGGAAGGGGCTGACAGTGTGTAGAAGGGACTCTAGTGTCTTTGTGTATATGAAATCAGGCTTCCTTGGGACCACTCCCCAGTCAGTCTTGTCTTGAGCAACTGTTAATGATTGATTGATTGGCATTGGTTGGGGAAGGGGGTATGTGCCAGAGGACTGACCCCTTCAAACAATATAGTCACAGTGGTGTCCAAGGGAAAGAATACAGCCATGGATGCTTTGTTTCTCTTTCTGGTTGGGCCAGGCCAGTAATGCCCCTTTCATCCCTCTTCTCTGCTTGTCACTAGAGACAGAAACTAAAAACCATGGCTTCAGGCTGCTAAGAGCCTAAAACAATAGAACAACAAAAAAATATGGTAGGTTGGATGAGCTTGGCAGTGGGTAGGCGTCTTCTAAAATGATAGGGCCTAGTTGAGAATCCTCACTCTACTCTCCCTTGAATTTTGAACTATCTTCTGATTGTTGCCATAGCCACACACATGACTTTCAGTAGAATCCATTCTTAAATTTAGTTTAAAAAGGAATATGATCTGTTTACTATATGAAAGCACCTAATGTACAACCTATAATGCTTTTCTGAAGTGACTGTAGTACAAATACCAACCATATTTGCAGCAACACTGAGAGACAGAAAACTGATGACAATGTCTTGTTTTGATTAAACATCCAGAGCCATATAAGTAATACTGTTTTTTAAGCACCCTTGTTCTGGGCATGTCAGTATCTGTATTTCGTAGACCCCCTTTTTTTTTTTTTTTTTTTTTTTTGAGATGGAGTTTTGCTCTTGTTGCCCAGGCTAGAGTGCAGTAGCACAATCTCGGCTCACCGCAACCTCTACCTCCCAGTTTCAAGCAATTCTCCTGCCTCAGCCTCCTAAGTAGCTGGGATTACAGGTGTGAGCCACCATGCCTGGCCCACCCTCACTTTTAAAATGCCCCTGAGGAATGGCCAGGCGCGGTGGCTCACACCTGTAATCCCAGCGCTTTGGGAGGCTGAGGTGGGTGGGTCACTTGAGGTCAGGAGTTTGAGACCAGCCTGACCAACATGGAGAAACCCCATCTCTACTAAAAATACAAAATTAGCCAGGCGTAGTGGTACATGCCTGTAATCCCAGCTACTTGGGAGGCTGAGGCAGGAGAATCGCTTGAACCTGGGAGGCAGAGGCTGCAGTGAGCCAAGATCATGCCGTTGCACTCCAGCCTGGGTAACAAGAGCAAAACTCTGTTTCAAAAAAAAAAAAAAACACTACCCCTGAGGAAAGGGTGGCTGGTAGTAGCCATGGTGGTATGGTTAGGCAGTTTTTGATTTCCCATTTGTATTCTATTCACTAATCATAAATCGAGTGTTGACATTGTGGACAGAATGTAATTAGCTCCTTTTCCTGCAAAAATCTGTGCTTACCCTGTTTCTCTCTCATAGGACTGCTGTGTAAGCTATGGTGGCATGTGGTACCTTAAAGGGACAGTACAGTCTTGACAATAGTAGCAAACTACTAACCCAGCAAATCTAAGCCCAAGGAAGAAGGGCGGAACCAGAAGTAGGGCCTCGACTTGCTTCAGACGACACAGAGCAAGAGGAACTGACCATCTCATGACCTGTGGCATTGCACGGTGCAGTGGACAGAAGGGATTATCCTCAGCCAGTCGCAGGGTCAGCTTAAGTTAGTTAGATCACTCCCAGAAGAGACCAGCTGGGACCTTCTTTGCAGTACAATTTGAAATTCCTGATGTATTTTGCTTATTATTTGGTTTCATTCTCATAATAAAGAGAGTGTATACTGACATGGGCAGGATGATAAAAATCATGGTTTAATATTTTCTTTTGTAAACTTAATGCCAACAAGGTCTAAGTTATGTTTACAACATGAAGAAAACCTCAAAGTTCTTAATTTTTAAAATGCCTAGAAGACAATATTTAGTCTTGGATTATCTATCTGCTAAGACCTCCACCAATTTCATTAAACCAAATTGAATTATTCTATTCTTGGGATTCTGTGGCCACTTCACCTTTGACAACAACCTACTTTATGTAGCAGTCTCAACTGTTTACATGAACCATAGCAAAAAAATCAGAATCAAATCCATCTCCTTTTAATGTTTGCAGAAAGATGCAAACAAAACCAGGTAAGTATGGAACAATGTGTAAGTGAGGTTATCACACTTTGATGTAAAAATTTCTATTTTGTGTATTTTTAAAATAAATGCAAACACTAAACTAGCATCATGGTGCTATCTTCAAATGGTTACAGGAAGGCGATCTTGTTGGGCTCAGCGTTACGTGTATCTAGAGGGAACGGAGCTAATGGAGGAAGACAGAGCAGCACTGTCCACTAGAAAGAGGCGAGTCACGTACATAATTTTGAAAGTTTCTAGCAACCACATTAGTTTAAAAAGGTCATGTTAGCATATTATTTAGCTCAAAATATCTAAAACATCAACATAAGGTAAAAGTCTTCAAAATCTGGCATTTTACACTTTCCTCAACACTCAGTTTGGACTAGCCACATCATAAGTGCTCCGATGCCACATGGGGCTATTTGCGACAGTATTGGATAGCACAGCCCTAGAAACTGATGGAAAAAATAAGAGTAAGCTAGGTTGGATGACATGTGAATTTTGGTATCTAGATAAGGCTTTCGCCATCTTTTTTGTACAACACAGTCACTAATTGTCTGAAGGTTTAAATGACGGTCTATGCTATTTCCCCACTCCCCCCAAAATAAAACATCTAATATTTTAGCTATAGAATCACTAAGGCATTGATCAAGGATGTACTTTGCCAAATAAGTATTTGGTAACATCACTTAACAAGTTGATCGTGTATTGATTCTGTTAACATATGTGAACCTGAAAAGTAAAGTTACCAAAAGCGATTTGGAATATGTCTCAGCTTTTCCATCCTACTTCCTTCTCACTTTGAAAGGGGAAATGCTCATGTGGGACGGCACAGAATGTTAGTCCCATCACCTTGCAGAACTTAATTGGCTCAGTGGAGAAGTCAGAGCCTTAAATACTTTACATTGATAAAAAGAACTGGTTAAAACACCAAACTCAAATAGCAAGAAAAAGAAACAAGGAATATAGGAGGGAACTATTGTTTTAAAAAAAATTGAGGGAACTTGGGATGTCAGAATAGGACTTTCCAGCACTCATCCCCCTGCAGAAACATGAATTTAAACAACTGTCCACACACAAAAATACCTTCACAAGAGTTAAGGAACCTCTAGAGATTACAGCACCTTGGTGTACCACAGAAATAAGATGTACTAAAGAGGATAGGAGGGACAATTTTACATTACCTAGCTTACCCCCTCCCCAGCCCCAGGCAGCACAGGGTGGAGAGAGAGAGAGAGAGAGAGAGAGAGAGACCCTCTACTTGGAGGAAGGAGAACATTGGACCCCAAAATCATGCCAGCCCCAGACTCCAGGCCTGCGCCAGGAACACAGGCTCTAAGCATACCCACTGCCAGGCCTGCACCCATGAGCTCACACTCTAGCAGGCACCCCCTCCCCACCCTGGTCCAGCCCCATCTGAGTAAACCCCAGCACTGGGCTGGCCCTCACAGACTAGGCTCCAATATCCCCTGCAGCCCCAGGTTCTAGGCCAGCCCCCATGGCCCCAGGATCCAAGCGAGCCCTCAGAGACTAATCTCCAGGCCAGTATCTATATACCCCTGGCTCCAGGCTGATCTATATGCCCCCATGCCAGCACCCACAATCCCAGGCTCCAGTACAATACCCCTGGACCCAAGGTCCATGTGTGCCTCAGCACCAGGCTCCAGTGGACCCAGGTTCCAGGCACATACCTCAGTAAGCCTCAATGCCAGGCATGCCCTGGCGGACTGAGGCTCCAGAACAGTCCCTATGGACCCAGAACCTAGGCCCACCCCTGCAGGTTTTTAGGCTTCAGGTCAGCTCCCTGGATGCAGGCTCCAGGCCTGCCCTTGTGGACTCAGGCTCTGGTTGTACCCCTGCAGACCCAATCAACTGGCCCACTCCACTGGACCTACGTTCCAGGATTAATCCTATGCATGCAAGCACCAGGCTCATCCATCTGCTGACCTAGGTACTAGGTCAGCCTGCTCAAGGACTCCAGCAACAAGCCTGCCCACAGAAGACCACACCAGACAACTTGCCCAGAATCTCTGAATGGGCTCACTGGTAAACGGCTGTTCCAGGCAAAGTCAGACTGCAAAGATTAGAATCAGTCCTTACCACTTCATCCAATGTACAGACATCAACATATGACCACAAGGATCAAGAACAATCAGGGAGACATGCTATCACCAAAGTAACAAAATAAAGCACCAGAAATCTACCCTAAAGAAATGGAGATTTATGAACTGCCTGACAACTCAAAATAGTTTTAAGGAAGTTCAGCAAACTTCAAGAAAATACACAGATATAACTCAACAAAATAAAGAAAACCAAATCAAGAAACCTAATAGATTGAAGTTATATATTTTTTACAAACCATTCTGAAGCTGAAAAATAATATGAATGAAATGAAAAATGGAATAGTGAGCATCAACAGAATTGATCAAGCAGAGAATCTATGAACTCAAAGACAGATTATTTGAAAATATAGCCAGAAGAACAAAAAGAATGAAAAGGAATGAAGAAAGCTTAAGGGATTTATAGGACAGCATCAAAAGAGCAAATATTTGAGTTATAGAAGTTCAGTAAGGAGAAGAAAGAAATAAATCACAAAATAGTAGCAGAAAACCTTCCAGATCTGGAGAAAGATATAAATATCCAGGTATAAGAGTATCAAAAGTCTCCAATCAGATTCAGTATGAACAAAACTATACCACGACACATTATAATGAAATTGTCAAAAATCAAAAGACAAAGGGGAAGATCCTAAAAGCAGCTAGAGAAAAGAAGCAGATCACATATAAGGGAGTTCCAATAAGGCTAGCACTTCTCAGCAGAAACCTTACAGGCCAGGAGAGAGTAGGATGATATATTCAGAGTGCTAAAGGAGAACAAATTGCCAACCATGAATACTTTATCCAGCAAAACTTCAGAAATGGAGAAAAAGACATTCCCAGACAGACAAAAGCTGAAGCATTTCATCATCACCAGCTCTGTGTTTACAAAAAAATGTGAAAGGGAGTTCAAGCTGGTAGAAAAGGATGTTAATTAGTAACATGAAAACATATGAAAGTATAAACCTGGTAAAAGCATAATGTCAAACTCAAGAATACTCTAATACTGTAATGGTGGTATATATATTGCTTATCTTTAGTATAAAGGTTAAAAGATAAAACTATTAATAGCTAATTTGTTAAGGGATACAAAATATAAAACTTGTAAATTGTGACCTCAAAAACAAAATGTGGGAGAGAGAATAAAGTATAGTTTTTAATGCAATCAAAGTTATCTGCTTAAAATAGTCTGCTATCACTGTGTTTTACATAAGCTTCATGATAACCACAAAGCAAAAACCTATAGCAGATATGCAAAAGATAAAAAGGAATCAAAGCATACCTCTAAAGAAAATAAATCACAAAGGAAGACAGTAAGAGAGAAACAAAGGATCTACAAAACAACCAGAAAACAACAAAATTGCAGTAGTAACTCCTTACCTACCAACAGGGATAGGTAAGGAGTTACTACTGTGAATGTAAATGGATTAAATTCTCCAATCCATTTACTGTGAATGTAAATGGTTTAACTCTTCCATAATCCAAAAACGGAGTGGCTGGATTAAAAAAAAAAAAAAGATCTAACTATATGCTGCCAAAAAGTGTCTCATTTAACCTGTAAGGGACACATAGAGACTGAAAGTGAAGGAATGGAAAATGGCATTTCATGCAAATAGAAACCAAAAGAGAACAAGAGAGCTATACTTACATTAGATAAAACAAACTTTAAGTCAAAACTGTAAAATGAGACAAGGTCACAGTATAATGATAAAGGGGTCACTTAACAACTGTAAATATTCACTCAATATCTGAGCACCTAAATATAGAAAGCAAATATGAATAGCTCTGAATGGAGAGACAGACTGTAATACAATAATAGTAGGGGATTTCAATATCCCACTTTCAGTAATGGACAGATCAAGGCCAAAAAAAAAAAAAAAAATCAATAAGAAAGCATCAGATTTTACACATTAAACAAAATGGACCTACCATATACAGGAGATTCCATCCAACAGCAGAATACACATTCTTCTCGAGCATACATGGAATATTCTCCAGGACAGATCATATATTAGGGCGGTATCTTTTCTGACCACAATGGTATGAAACTAGAAATCAGTAACAGGAGGAATTTCAGAAAATTTACAAATACGTGGAAATTAAACATGCTCCTGAACAACAAATAGGCCAATGAAAAAAACTAAAAGGAAAAATTTTAAAAATATCTTGAGACAAAAATGGACACAAAACATGAAATACAACAAAAGCAGCTCTGAGACAGAAGTTTATAGCAATCCCCACCCACATCAGAAAGAAAAGACTTCAGATAAACAACCCAATGTTACACCTCAAGGCACCAGGAAAATAAAAAGAACTAGGCCCAGTTAATAAAAGGAAATAGGCCAGGTGAGGTGGCTCACACCTGTAATCCCAGCACTTTGGGAGGCCAAGGTGGGCAGATCACCTGAGGTCAGGGGTTTGAGACTAGCCTGACCAACATGGAAAAACCCCATCTCTACTAAAAATGCAAAAAAATTAGCCATGTATGGTGACACGCTCCTATAGTCCCAGCTACTCGGGAGGCTGAGGCAGAAGAATCGCTTGAACCTGGGAGACGGAGGTTGCAGTGAGATGAGATTACGCTACTGCACTCCAGCCTGGGTAACAGAGCAAGACTCCATCTCAAAAATACATACATATATACATAAATGGAAATAATAAAGACCAGAGCAAGACTACGTCTCAAAAATAAATAAAAGAAAGGAAATAGTAAAGACCAGAGCTGAAAAAAATGAAAAGATCAACAAAATTCAGTTGGTTTCTTGAAAAGATAAAATTGACAAACTTCTAGCTAAGAAAAAATAGAGAAGACTCTCATAGAATTAGAAATGGAAAAAGATAATCCCAGCACTTTGGGAGGCCAAGGCAGGTGGATCACCTGAGGTCAGGAGTTTGAGATCAGCCTGGTCAATATGGTGAACCCCATCTCTACTAAAAAATACAAAAATTTGCTGGGCATGGTGGCAGGCACCTGTAATCCCAGCTACTTGGGAGGCTGAGGTAGGAGAATCACTTGAGCCTGGGAAGGGAATGTTGTAGTGAGCTGAGATCCCACCACTGCACTCCAGCTTGGGCGATAAGAGTGAGACCTTGTAAGAAAGAAAGAAAGAAAGGAAAGAAGGGAGAGGGAGAAGGGAAGACATTACAACTGATTCCATAGAAATACAAAGGATCAGGCCAGGCACGGTGGCTCATGCCTGTAATCCCAGCACTTTGGGAGGCCAAGGTGGGCGGATCACTTGAGGTCAGGAGTTTGAGACCACCCTGGTCAAAGTGGTGAAACCCTGTCTCTACTAAAAATACAAAAAATTAGCCAGGCATGCTAGCAGGTTCCTGTAATCCCAGCTACTTGGGAGGCTGAGGCAGGAGAATCACTTGAACCCGGGAGGCAGAAGTTGCAGTGAGCCAAGACCATGCCATTGCACTCTAGCCTAGGCAACATGAGCAAAACTCCATCTCGAAAAAAAAAAATTAGCTGGGTGTGGTGGTACATGCCTGTAATCTCAGCTACTTGGGAGGCTTAGGTGGGAGAATTGCTGGAACCCGTGAGATGGAAGTTGCAGTGAGCCAAGATCACGCCACTACACACTCCAACCTGGGAGACAGAGCAAGACTCTCTGTCTCAAAAAAAAAAAAAAAAAAAAAAAAAAGAGAAAAGAAAAGAAATACAAAGGATCCTAAGAGACTACCATAAAAAATTACCAGCAAACTGGATAACCTACAAGAAATGGATGAGTTCCTAGACACATACAGCCTACCAAGACTGAATCACAAAGACACCGAAAATCTGACCAATGAGTAAGAAGGTTGAATCAATAATTTTAAAAAGTCTGCCATCAAAGAAAAGCCCAGGACCTGGTGGCATCATTGCCGAATTCAACTAAACATTTATGGAAAACTACTACCTATCTTTCTGAAACTTCCAAAAATTTGATGAAGAGGAATACTTTCAAACTAATTTTACAAGGCCAGCACTACCCTGATATCAAATCCAGACAAGGACACTATAAGAAAAGAAAATTAGGCCGAGCACAGTGGCTCATGCCTGTAATCCCAACACTGCGAGGCCAAGATGGGCAGATCACCTGAGGTCAGGAGTTTGAGAACATCCTGGCCAAAATGGTGAAACCCCGTCTCTACTAAAAATTAACCGAGAGTGGTGGCGCATGCCTGTAATACCAGCTACTCAGGAAGCTGAGGCCGGAGAATCGCTAGAACCTGGGTGGCGGAGGTTGCAGTGAGCCAAGATCGCGCCACTGCACTCCAGCCTGGGCGACAGAGCGAGACTCCACCTAAAAATATAAAGAAAGAAAGAAAGAAAGAAAATAAAAGCAAATTAGACCAATATCCTTATATCCTTGATGAACACAGCTGCAAAAACCTCACCAGAACTAGCAAACCAAATTCAGCACATTAAAAGGCTCATTCACCAGGATCAAGTGGGATTTATCCCAGTCTGGGCAATATAGCAAAACCCCATCTCTGCAAAAAAAAAAAAAAAAAAAAATTTTTTTTTTTTAATTAGCCAGGTGTGGTGCTGTGTGCCTATTGTCCCAGCTGCTTGGAAAGCTGAGGCAGGAGGACTGCTTGAGCCCAGGAGTTTGAGACTGCAGTGAGCTATGACCACCACTGCACTCCAGCCTGAGTGACAGAGTGAGACCCTGTCTCCAAAACAAAGTTGGATTTATCCCTGGGATGCAAGGATGGTTCAATGGTTCAACATATGCAAATCAATAATTGTGATACACCACATTAACAGAATGAAGGACAAAAACCATATAATCTTCTCAATAGATGCAGAAAAAGCATCTGAAAATTAACAACCATTCATGATTAAAAAATCAACAAACTAAGTATAGAAGGAATGCCCACTCTTACCTCTTCCATTCAACAAAACACTGGAAGTCCTAACTATAGCAATTGCACAGGAAAAATAAAAGGCTGGTGGCTCACGCCTGTCATCCCAGCACTTTGGGAGGCCGAGGCAGGCGGATCACCTGAGGTCAGGGGTTCGAGACCAGCCTGGCAAACATGGTGAAACCCCCACTCTACTAAAAATACAAAAATTGGCCAGGTGTGGTGGTGATAAGCCTGTAATCCCAGTTACTTGGGAGGCTGACGCAGGAGAATTGCTTGAACCCAGAAGGCAGAGGTTGCAGTGCGCTGAGATTGCGCCACTGCACTCCAGCCTGGGAGACAGAGTGAGACTCTGGAGAAAAAAAAAAAAAAAAAGGCATCCAAATCAGAAAGAAAGAAGTCAAATTGTTCCTGCTTGCAGATGACATGATTTTATACATAGAAAATGTGTGTATCTACATGCAAAAGAATGAAGTTGAACTCTTATCTTACACCTTACACAAAAATCAACTCAAAATGGATTAAAAACCTATTTTTAGGCTGGGCACAGTGGCTCACACCTGTAATCCCAGCACTTTGGGAGGCTGAGGCAAGCGGATCACTTTAGGTCAGGAGTTTGAGACCAGCCTGGCCAACATGGCAGAACCCCGACTCTACCAAAAATACAAAAAATTAGCAAGGCGTGGTGGAGCATGCCTATAATCCCAGCTACTCTGGAGGCTAAGGCAGGAGAATCACTAGAACCTAAGAGATGGAGGTTACAGTGAGCCAAGATCGCACCACAACTCCAGCCTGGAGGACAGAGCGAGACACCATCTCAAAAACAAAAACAAACTAACAAAAAAACCTATTTTAAGAACTGAAACCATAAAACCTTAAGAAAAAAAAATAGAGGAAAAGGTCTTTGACATTAACCTTGGCAATGATGTTTTGACTGGGACACCAAAAGCACAGACAACCAAAGCAAAAACACAACAGGACTACCTCAAACAAAAGCTTCTGTACAGCAAAGGAAACAACATGAAAAGGCAGCCTACGCACTGGGAGAAAATACTTGCAAACTATATATCTAATAAGGGGTTACTAACCAAAATATATAGGGAACTCAATAGCATTCAAATGAATAACCTGATTTTAAAATGGGCAAAGCATCTGAATAGACATTTCTTCAAAGACATAAAAATGGCCAGCAGGGATATAGCTGCTCAACATCACTAATCAAGAAAATGCAAATAAAAACCACAATGAGATATCTCACGTTAGGATAGCTTTTATCAAAAAGACAAGAAATAGCAAGTGGTGAAGTTGTAGAGAAAACTGAACATTTGTACACTGTTGATCAGAATGCAGATTGGTGCTGCACTGTGGAAAACAGTATGGATGCTCTTAAAGATAGAACTACCATATGATACAGCAATCCCTCTTCTGGGCACATGCCTAAAGGAAATGAAATCACCACCTTGTAAAGACAACTCTGTCCCCATGTTCATTGCAGCATTATTCACAGGAGCCAACATATGGAAACAACCAAGGTGTCCATCAACAGATGAATGGATAAAGAAATTATGCTATAATAATATACATACATACCATGGAACTTCAGCATTAAAAAGGGAGGTCCTGCCATTTGCAACAACAGGGATGAAGCTGGAGGAAGACATCATGTTAAATGAAATAAGCTAAACACAGGAAGAAAAATACTGCATGATCCCACTTATATGTAGAATCTTAAAAACAAACATCATCAACAACAACAAAAACAGTAAAATAGTGGTTACCAGGGGTGGGGGAAATGGGAAGAGGCAAGTCAACGTTGCAGTTATGTGGGATGGACAAGCCTAAGAGATCTAATAGACAACATGAGGGCTTCTAGTTAATAAAATTGTATCATATACTGGTAACTTGCCAAGAGAGTTGATTTTAGGTACTCTTATCACATACACGGGTATGTTATGATGGGTATGTTAATTTGCTTGATCTTAGTAATCACTGTATATATCAAGTATATCAAAACATTGAACATATTAAATATATACAATAAAAAGAACATAAGAGGATACAGACATGTATATAACAAAGGAAAGAGAAAAATGAAAATAAACAAGTTTTATTTGATGAAACAACAAAAATATGTATAGTTCTTTTTCTTTTTTTAGAGACAGGATCCCACTATATTGCCCAGGCTGGAGTACAGTGGCTATTCACAGGTGCGATAATAGTGCATCATAGCCTTGAACTCCTGGGCTCTAGTGATCCTCTTGCCTCAGCCTGCCAAATAGCTGGGACTATAGGTGCACACCACTGTGCCTGTCTCATTTTTGATATAAATTCTTAAAACAGGAATAGATGGATTCCTGATTAATTAAAAAAAATCCAACATTATGCTAAATCAAACAATGGACATATTGTTTAGGATTCAGACAAGCAATTTTACTCCCACCATATTTAATATTCTGGATATTTCAGAGCATTTAAACAAGAATAAGTGTAAAAATTAAGTAGCCAAACAATATTTTTCCAGGTATATCAAAAGAGTCAAATAAAAGATATTCCCCCATGATAATTCAACAAGATAGCTGAAATCAATAGCTTTTCTATACACAACTAGTTACAAAGTATAGCAGGAGAAGAATCCCACTTAAAACATCCAAGAGACAAACCTTTAAAAATATGCGAGACATAAATGGTAAAAATTTGAAAACTGAGACATACAAAGACCATTGGAACAAATGGAAAAACACATAACCGTTCATGACCAGCCTGGCCAACATGGTGAAACCCCGTCTCTACTAAAAATACAAAAATTAGCTGGGCATGGTGGTGGGAGCCTGTAATCCCAGCTACTCGGGAGGCAGAGGTTTCAGTGAGCCAAGAATGCACCACTGCACTTCAGCCTGGGTGACAGAGTGAGACCCCATCTCAAAAAAAAGACATATAGCCATGTTTTTGGATAGAAGCCTCCGTATGATTAAGCCTGTTCTTATTAATCTATTTATTTAACTTGATCTTGATAAAAGTACCAATTTCCCCTCAAGAACCAGACAAGCTAATTTTAAAGCTCATATGGGGAAAAAAAATGCAAAAAAAAAAAAAAAAAACCAGGAAAATCCTGAAAGAGTAATGAGAGTTTAACTTCCCCTTAGCAGTTATGAAAATATAAATATCCAAGTACAGCAACTTAAAACTACAAAATAAGACAATAAAAAATAAAAATTTAAAACTGCATTAGGTACATGAAAATCAGATCCTAGAAGAAATAGGTTAAAATTCATGTAGACATTTAGTACTAATATGGGTGGCATTTCAAGCGTTGGTGGATAGACTTCAGATGGATCAAAGAACTCTCAAACACAAAAAGAGACGTGTTAAAGATTCATATACATAAAAGTGTCCAGGTGTGGTGGCTCACACCTGTAGTCCTAGCACTTTGGGAGGCCAAGGCAGGCAGAACACTTGAGGCCAGGAGTTCGAGACCAGCCTGGCCAACACGGCAAAACCCCATCTCTATTAAAAATACAAAAAGTTAGCCAGGTATGGTGGCACGTGCCTGCAGTCCCAGCTATTCAACTTGGGAAGGCTGAGGCACGCGAATTACATGAACCCGGGAAGTGGAGGTTGCAGTGAGTTGAGATCGTGCCATTGCACTCCAGCCTGGGCAACAGAGTGAGATGCTGTCTGCCCCCGCTCTAAAAAAAAAAAAAAAAATTTTTTTTCATATACATAAAATTGTGCTTGGTGAAAAAAAAATGCCATTAACAAGGTAAAAACTGCTGGGTGTGGTGGCTCGTGCCTGTAATCCCAGGAGTTGCCTTTGGAGTTACCTTTGGGAGGCCAAGGCAGGGCAGATTGCTTGAGCCCAGGAGTTCGAGACCAGCCTGGGCAACAAGGCAAAACCCCATCTCTACCAAAAGTTAAAAAATTAGCTGGGCATGGTGGCACGCACCTCTGGTAGGAAGGCTGAGGTGGGAGGATTGCTTGGGCCCATAAGTCAAGGGCTGCAGTGAGCCGTGTTCATGCCACCACGCTCCAGCCTAGGCAACAGAGCAAGACCTTCTCAAAAAAACAAAAAACAAAAAAAAACCACACACAACAAAAAAATCAGATAAAAATTAAGATAATCTGGGACAAAACACTTTCAAACTTCTAACTGCAAAACTGCATATATAAATAGAGCTCTTTAAATAGGCAAAGGAGACTACAAATGGCTAACAGATTAAAAAATATTGTCTTATTAATAGAAATGCAAACTGTTTTTAAATAAGCTATACTATTCAAACATTAATAGTATAGTTTGAATAGTATAGTTTGAATAGTATAGTTTCTTTGCTATGGTTGATCAAATGTTTTGAGAATCAATTTGTCAAATGCTATTAATTCAGAACCAAGTCTGACATTTCTGAAATAGTGAAAATTACAGAGTATATAAATTTGAAAATGTTTGTCCAGAGTAGTTTTAATGAGCATTTAGCAATATGAGCAGAATTTGTGCTATTAAGTTACACAAATCCAAGGATTCCCTGTTTAAAATAGGAAAAAAAAAATCACTGCAAATCTTTCTCGCGATATTTGTTGGAAGAAAAAAAGTGAACAGTTGGTTATAAGAGCGAAATGGCTTATATTGAAAGTAAGACACAGATCCATCTGTTCATTTTCATAGGTAGCTTTATTTGGTTTTTAGAAAAATATATACAATAATCGGAACATCAGTTCTTAAATAGTTTTAAGTTAAAAGAATGCAAGTGAGAGGATGTTTCCACAGTCAGATCAATACTGCTTAATAAAGTAGATAGGAATTTCTGCAACAAGTCAAAACATTTACAGGAATGGTAAGAACTCTGCAAGAGCAGCTTGTGGCTGGCAAGTCAGCCAGCTCAGAAAACAGGTAGGAAGGGAAGGGGTTTGATCTTTCCCCTTTAGTTTGAATTTGAGAAAGTGATAAAAGATTTACATATTCACCTATCCTAAAGGCTAGAGCTTTGAGTAAAAACATTAGAATACAGGGATGGAGGCCCTCTAGGGCATATGCTAACAAGCTAACTTATATCAAACAAAAATTTGCCATCTCAATTTGGTATTCAGTTGGATTTGGATATATTAGGATTACCTGTCAGTCACAGTTCAACTAGTTCAGATATAACAAAACTCAAGGACTTGGAGTATTGGTTAATGACATTTCTTTTGGATTAGACCCCTGCTTTCTCTCGAACATTCTTCGTAATGAATTCACAGTATTCAAACTGTTTGCAAAGATATTTGAGTTTGACAGCCTTCTGACTTTCATCGTTTTGAGAAGTTGCGCAAGGAAGCAATAGGAATTGCCTTAGCTTTGTTCTAACTCGACCCTTTTCCCCCATACTGTAGTAACTCCAGGCCTACTTCTCCAGAAGTATAGCTCTTCCCTCCACTGGTCCTTTTCAGGAACTGAAGTCTAATCAGCGCGCCAGCCAGAGGCCAGTTTGTCATGGGATTTCCTGGGGAGCTTAAATGGAAGTGGATCAGAGAACTGATACCACTAGCCACCTCCTTTCCTCGTTGTATGCATTTGCTAAATAAGCAAAGCAATGAGGCAAACGTCATGAGTAACATTAGGCTTCAGAGTCTACAAACACTTGTCTGAATGGGAGAGAGAGGCGATAGGCAATAGGCAAATTAGTAGTAGAGCTAGAGGTTCAATTAAGAATGAGAGGAGAGTGATCGGTATTTTGTTCTCTGTTCATCTATTTCCTGCTTAGTTTTCTTGATGCAACTAAAGATCTCCTTAAACAACGCTTTGTATTCTGGAGGTGTTGTAGGGGAACTCACGGGCTCTGGGTTGACAGAGGCCAGTTCCCAGCCGCTGGCAACAGGCTCAGACTGGGCGTTCACTCCAGTCAGGTCCTTGGCTGCAGCCCTGGAGGTCTGCACAGCCTTGTGTGACAGGGAGTCCTGTTCCTCTTGGCACTTCTTCAGCAACTCTTCATACTTCACCTTCAGGGCGCTGTACTGCGTGTCCACTTCGTGCAGAAGGGAGATGCCCCTCTGTTTCACAGCCTTGGCCCTCCTGATGCAGGTCTCCTCGTGGCCCTTCACGATGTCACTCCCTGCCAAGCTGCTGAGGATCGTCTCACTGCTGCTGCGCTTGAGAGGCTTTCTATGTGATTCCGGCACAGTCAGGAACATCTCTTCCAGCAGGCTCTGGCTGGGCTCTTTGAAAGGAACATACAGAGAGTCTGGCACCAGCTTCTCAACTCCATTCACAAATGGATGCTCTGACTGCAACATCTGTCGCATCTCTGCCACCTCGGCCTCTAGTTCCAGCGCCCGTGCTCGGTAGGCACCTGTGGCCCCCAGCTGCTGCTCCAGTTCACTGTTCTCCTTTAACACGAGCCCATATTCCTCCTCCATAGTCACCCGCTTCTGCCGCTCCAGGCTCAGCTGGGCCTGCAACATTGTCACTGTTTTTTTCAAGTGCTCATTTTCCTCTTCATCAGGGCTTGGCTGACCTTGCAAGGAAGTGATCTTCTCAGCGAACACATGATCATACACGAAGTGTCTAGGGAAAAAAATATTGAAAGAATATATTACACAGGTCCACTGAAAATGACGAGAGGAAGACTGGTGATTTTTTTTCAACTAAATAAATTTGAGGAGCTGTGACAGTGACTAATTTTTTTTTCTTTTTTTTTGAGACGGAGTCTCACTTTGTCGCCAGGCTGGAGTGCAGTGAAGCGATCTCAGCTCATTGCAACCTCAGCCTCCCAGGTTCAAGCGATTCTCCTGCCTCAGCCTCCCGAGTAACTGGGATTTTAGACATGCGCCACCACGCCCAGCTAATTTTGTATTTTTAGTAGAGACGGGGTTTCTCCATGTTGGTCAGGCTGGTCTCGAACTCCCAACCTCAGGTGATCCTCCTGCCTTAGCCTCCCAAAGTGCTGGGATTACAGACGTAAGCCACCACACCCGGCCAACAGTGATTGGTTTTTAGCCACACTTGGAGCAGTGGCTAAAATGGAATTGTGTGAGGCTGGTAAATAAACACATGAAAGCAAACTCAATTTTTGTGACAAATCTTTTTTTAATGTTAAAAGTACTAGAGAACATCTATTCTAGCAGTATGACAATGACCTCACAAGGGAAACCTTAAAAAGTACTGGTGCCTGGGTCCCAACCCACAGATTCCAACCTAGTTGGTCTGCTACCTGGCCTGAGGGTTTCTAAAGGCTCTCCAAATGATTCATAATATGTAACTACGATTGAATCACTACAGCAAATTACTGTTGCTGTGGTGATTTTTAACCAGGAATGTTCATCAGAATTGCCTGGGCAGCTTTTTACCCGCACCTAGAAATTCTGATTTAGGCCTGAGGAAATGTGTTGGTATTTGCATTTTGAAAAACCCCACAGGTGATCTGATGTACAGCCAAGGTTGAGACCCACCAAATGAACCACCTGGTTTCTCCTGCTCAGTCTGAAGCACCTTGACTATTTATTTGTGTTTTTATTTGCTTATCTGCCGTTCCGTTAGACTGAAAGCTCACAGGGGTAGAAACTATTTTGCTCGCCAACCCTTGGGTCTAGCATACAGCTTGCCACACAAGTGTTCCATAAATACTTCTTAAAGATTCAGACTTATAACTCTAAATTATAAAGGTACTTCTTTAAGCAAAAAATCTCCTGTTCGCTTGAATTTTTGTTTTACCAGTATTTCTGTTTTTCTTCACTCTAATGTAAAACACAACTCCCAAATCTAGTCTATCAGAATTCATCTTAAACTATGATTTAATACATTAAAAACACTGAAATAAGTGTTCCAAGACTTTCAAAATGAGAACTACTAATATCTAAGAACTCTGTAATTTATATGTTTAAGTGATTTTGTTCAAACCAATGGTAGCTTAATAGCTAAGTGACTTTTCTTAAAATGGTACTTTCAATCTACTGGAAATCAGAATGTGCCAATGACATGAGACAGTCCCTGCTGTAACTCCACAGAAAGGCAGGCTCTTACTGGCGGAGGTCATACAGCTCCTTCAGACATGCAAAGCTGGGTGCCGGTTTCTCCTGGTCACACTTTCCCGGGCTCCTTCTCCCTTGGCCAGATGACTTCAGCTCCTCCACTTGGCTCTGGAGGTGATCAATGTTGGTTTGCAGGCATTCAATCGTTTCAGTCAGGCTGTGAGGAACAGACAGAAGCCACTGCTGCTTGTCATATTGAATCAAGGGCAAAAGCGGTGAGGAGAGATTAGGTGCAAACCACTCACACTGGGCTTTCTTAATTGGAAAGGATGTCTATTTAATCTCCATTCTCCAAAAAGAATTAAATTAAACCTTATCCCATATTGACCCAAACCCACTGCAGCCATGTTCTATTCTAGTTTATACTAAAGAACTTCCCCCTAGTCCTTCCTTGTCAGATTCTAGAAAATTTACCTCAGAATCTTTTGCTGTGAGGCCTTGCTGTCAGCAACTAGCTTTTGATTTGTTTCTTCCAGTTCCCTTGCTGTGACGTCTAATTGTTCATAAACCTTTGCATGTTGTTCGTTCATCTGCCGTAGAAGTTCCACTTGCTTCGTCAGATACTGTAAGAGAAGATCAGGACCAGGTGACACAAACAGATAAGATACCTGCTGTTTCTTGGCTGGCTGCGGTGGCTCACGCCTGTAATCCCAGCACTTTGGGAGGCCAAGACGTGTGGATCACCTGAGGTTAGGAATTCGAGACCAGCCTGACCAACATGCTGAAACCCCGTCTCCACTAAAAATACAAAAATTAGCCAGGTGTGGTGGCACACGCCTGTAATCCCAGCTACTTGGGAGGCTGAGGCAGGAAAATTGCTTGAACCTGGAAGACAGAGGTTGCAATGAGCCGAGATGGCGCCATTGCACTCCAGCCTGGGCAACAAGAATGAAACTCCATCTCAAAAAAAAAAAAAAGATACCTGCTGTTCTGCTGTTCCAACACCAATTCTCCGATTGTCAGCACCAACTCTTGTTGGGGTGGGGCTGACATAGAGTCTCCATCTCTGGGCTCACTGGCCTCCCAGCACTGCCCAGAAGCTCCTTTAGACCCATTTCAGTTTTCTCCAGGTCTTCTCTCACATCAGCATGATTGATTCAATTATTGGCCATTGGTGACTGAACTCAAGCTCCAACCCTTCCCTCTATCCAGAGGTTGTGGGGCTGGGACTGATAGATCTAACCCTCTAATCATGTGGTTGCCTTCTCTGGTGACCAGACCTCAACCTATCAGGAAATTCCAAGGGTTTTAGGAGTTCTATGCCAGAAACCAGGGACAAAGACCAAATATATAATTTTTATTATACCACAATACCATATGTTTATTTTAAGAAAAGAAGAAATTAAACTCCCTGTCTTCATAAGAAATGAGCACAGGCTGTCCTTTATATGCTTAGCTCCTCTAATGCTCACCAATACCCCAGTGCATTGTGAGGCTAATTTTCCAAAGCATATACCATGCATAAAATTAATATTCAACTAAAAAATCTAAAGTGAGACATAACAATCCCTTAAGACAAAAAACATGGAACATGTGATCAAAGTTTAAGCAAAAACATCATGTTTAACAGAAATAAAGCCTAACGTGGAGGATTTTTAAAAAAAATTATACTCTAAGTTCTAGGGTACATGTGCACAATGTGCAGGTTTGATACATAGGTATACATGTGACATGTTGGTTTGCTGCACCCATCAACTCATCATTTACATTAGGTATTTCTCCTAATGCTATCCCCACCCCGACAGGCCCCAGTGTGTGATGTTCCCCACCCTGTGCCCAAATGATCTCGTTGTTCAATTCCCACCTATGAGTGAGAACATGCAGTGTTTGGTTTTCTGTCCTTGTGATAGTTTGCTGAGAATGATGGTTTCCGGCTTCATCCATGTCCCTGCAAAGGACATGAACTCATCCTTTTTTATGGCTGCATAGTATTCCATGGTGTACATGTGCCACATTTTCTTAATCCAGTCTATCAACTGATGGACATTTGGGTTGGTTCCAAGTCTTTGCTATTGTGAATAGTGCCGCAATAAACATACGTGTGCATGCGTCTTTATAGCAGCATGATTTATGATACTTTGGGTACATACCCAGTAATGGGACTGCTGGGTCAAATGGTAATTCTAGTTCTAGATCCTTGAGGAATTGACACCCTGTCTTCCACAATGGTTGAACTAATTTACACTCCCACCAACAGTGTAAAACGTTCCTATTTCTATGTGGAGGATCTTAATTTGGAAAAAAAAATCAATCTCTTTCTCTGAATGAGGCATTCTGGACCAAAAAAAATGAAAAGTATGTTGCTTTGACGAGAAATATATTTTAGCTTAATATGCTTCAAAGACTCCTGTTATTTTTAATTTTATGAGAGTTTTATCACCATTATCCTCCTTATTCACGAGAAATTTATCAGATGATTTATTCTGGTCCTGCTAAGACTGCTTCCTAAATGGCCAAGGATAAAGGGGAATAATCCCAACCTTAATGCCGCAGTGTAAGTCACCTTGATTCCCTCCCTGCTCAGCTCTACCTGAAGACACTAAAACACAGTATATATTCCAAAGGAAAAAGTCACAGTATTTCCCTGGACAGAACCAGAAAGAGGGGAGAAATGGTTTGAAGCTTACTGATGATCAAACTGTAAAAGACTCAGAACTTGACTTTAAAAACACTCTTCTTGGCCAGGCATGGTGGCTCACACCTGTAATCCCAACACTTTGGGAGGCCAAAACAGGCAGATTGCTTAAGGCAGGCCAGGAGTTCAAGACCAGCCTGGCCAACATGACAAAAACCCACCTCTAATAAAAATACAAAAATTAGTCCGGCGTGGTGGCACGCGCCTGTAATCCCACGTACTCAGGAGGCTGAGGCATGAGAATCTTTTGAACGTGGGAGGTGAACGTTGCAGTGAACCGAGATCGTGCCACTGCACTACAGCCTGGGTGACAGAGACTGTCTCAAACACAACACAACACACTCTTCTTGAGGCTTTTTCTACAACTCTAGAAGGATTTGCAAGGCTAACAAACAATGGGCTAAATGACACTCAACGGGCCCTTAAAGTGTTGAAAAAAGCATATATGGCTTTTTTTTTTTCAAATCCATTTACATAACTCAGCAGCAAAGAGTTGAACAAACACTTAACCTAACTTCAACTTTCTCATCTGAAACTCTTGAAGTCAAAAGTGTTTTGGAAAATTCTTTAAATTTTAGAAAGACAACATGGCGCTCATACCTGACACACAGCTGACACCTTATAATACCTGTGAGGTCTGGGCAGCACCCTGTAATCAAGCATTAATATTTCTGCATCAAAAAGTATGAACTAAGACTATAAACAGCCTCACATCAGTTCAGGTAAAGATCTACTACCAAATGAATCTGTTGCAAATTTAAGGGGAAAAAAAAAATCTTGCTTTATAGAGCTTTTTGAGTTCGGAATTAGTAAGTGGATCTGTTAGTACCTACCATGTAGAACTGGCAGAATTAAATGAGAAAGGTGAGCACATGGCACGGTCTATAAAAGCCTGTGTGTAGTCTTCACTGCCTCAACTCCCACCAGCTTCTTCTGGTCCTTTGGAAATCAACCACTAATTCTCATGCGTGAAGCTTTCTCAGAACTAAAGGAGTAGGCCCTTAATCCTGCCCTCGGGCTAGTAATTCCATAGTAGGTTCTTGTCATTGATGGGAACATGTTCAATCTCTTAGGAATTGATGAGATTCCACAGGAGCGGAAAAAAGGCTTAGAATCACAAGAATATATATATAATAGCTGCAGAAATGTTTCAAGCTTCTTTATATCAAGTATAAATTATCAAGTATTCTTTAGGACTCAGAACTACCTTTAAAAAGGCTAATGCATAAGCCAGACATTAATTTATTAATATACAACAGGAACTGTTCCTGCCCAGTGACAAGAATATTCACATCCTCTATTAGGACACAGCTGCCCCACAAAGGGCATGTGAAAGGCCGATTCATGAATGAGAGTCTCTGGTAGACATGGGATCAGAGGAGTCTGATGGGAGGCAGTGGTATAGTAGCTAAGAGCACAGGCTTTGGAGTCAGAACCTGGTTTGAGGTCTTGCTTTGCTGTTTAGAACTGGGTAACCTACAGCAAGCACATTTTTCTAATGTGAGTTCTCCTCATCAACTACTTCATAAGGCTGTAAAGATAAATATGTGTGTGGGAGAGACTGGACTATGTCACCCCAAAGCATGCGTCTTTGGCATAAAAAGGTTCCTGCCTCCTCCCTCTCTACCAGGGAGAACAAAGGTTAACCACTAACAACTTTAGACCTTTATGGGCCAGAAGACAGCACCAGAGGAATCCACACTAACAAGCTTTGCTAACGGGCCTTTATCACCACTTACTTGCCTTCCCACAAGTTCTGCCCCTAGACAAAGTTCTTCCCCTTTGTCTTGTCACTTCTCTAAAAAATTACCATTCTTTGTTGAAGATACTACATAAGCTGGAATTCAAAGCCACCTCTGAGAATGACTCATCCCCTGGGTATCTCCCACACATATAAATGAAATAGATATGTTAGTAAGCTTGTTTTTCTCTTGTTAATCTGTCTTTTGTTGCAGGGGTCCTTTCCAACTAAGCACTCATGAAGGTTGAGGAAAAAAATATTTTTCCTCCCTGACATATACAAATATATAATTTACAAAAACGTTAATATATGTAGAGAGCTCAGCATGAGATCTGGCAGATGGTAAATTGCTCAATAAGGAGAAGCTACTGTCATCTTTATTTAAAGCTACAGTTTTCAAACTTTACATGTGCTAAGATTCACCTGGAAGAAGATTTATTAAAGTGTAAGAACCTGGGTCCCTTCCCCTCAAACGGCTGAGACTGGAGTAGAGCCAGGATTCTGCATTTTTAGCAACAAACCCAGGTGATATTAGTACAGGCAGTCCAGAGATCACACTTAGAGAAATGTTGATCTTGGACATGGAAAATCCTGGACGTCCCCTGCCCTGACCAATGTCCTTTTCTCTTGGGTCTAGGAGACACAGGCATTCACTGGATCAATGATGACTCTTCAGCTTAATGCTCACCGTCTCCCTGCATAGGGCTCAGCTTAGATGCAGTTATCCACTAAGATTAGGTTATATTTTAACTGTACCACAGCAGCATTCATCATCATAACGCTTCACTTTGGTATGTTCTTAACAATCATTAATTCCCTGAAATTACAAACTAGTTACCTTAACCTTGCTTGAGTGATCCTTCCTAACTTCTCAGTCCAAACAAATACTGAATTTCTACAGATGGCTAATCTTATCCACTGCATTTTAAAACTTTCTATTGTGGACCAGGTGTGGTGGCTCATGCCTGTAATCCCAGCACTTTGGGAGGCCAAGGCGGGTGGATCACTTGAGGACAGGAGTTCGAGACCAGCCTGGCCAACATGGTGAAACTCCATCTCTACTTAAAAAAAAAAAAAAAAAATTAGTTAGGCATGGTGGCACACGCCTGTAGTCCCAGCTACTTGGGAGGCTGAGGCATGAGAATCACTTGAACCCAGGAGGCAAAGGTTGCAGTGAGATAAGATCACACCATTGCACTCCAGCCTGGGCGACAGAGTGAGACTATGTCTAAAAATAAATAAATAAATAAAACTTTCTATTGTGGATAATCTCAAACATATATACATGCAGAGAAATGGTTTAATGAACTCCCACGTACCCATCAACCAGTTTCAACAATTATCAACATACAGCCAATCTTATTTCATCTCTACTCTCCTACTTTCCTCGTCCTCCAATCATTTTAAAGCTAATCCAAGGCATCTCAAGTATACATCTTCATACATTTCTAGGACGTTTTATTTTAACCACAATTCCTAAGGGAAAAAAACTCAATAATTCCTTAACATCTATTACGTTTCAGCATTAATATTTTCCCAATTGTCTCAAGTGGTTTTTCCAGCTTCATTTGTTAGCTATTGATTTTTTTAAAATTTCACACTTAGGGGAGATATCTTTGCCTTTTTTGGAGTTGCCCCACTGCAAGGCAAGTGCCTCCCTCCTCTAATGCCTTTACGATCCCCTATCCGGGGGGATGCAGTTCTCCTGGCTGCTCCACCTAAGCCAGCAGTTCTTAGCCTGGGGTCCATGGATAGACTTTAGAGGGTCTGTGAACATGGATGAATTTAAAGGGTCTGAACAGCTACATCTTCATTTTTGTTAACTTCTAAATGAAATTTGACATTTCTTTCAAGTACTAATAGATCTGTTAAAATTTATAGGAGACCACTGGTTTGGACTGAGTCCCTGCCCTAGGCCCAACAAACCAAACCAAAATGGAGTCACTTGTGCTAAAGTTCCATGTCAGCAAGCCAAAGCAAAGTTGTTCATCTGACTTCTGAGAAATTAGAAGAGATAATAGCCAAGCCCCCAAACATGCCAGTTTTAGCCAGCATAAGGGACTTCCCTCTGCTTTAACCTTTACAAATAAATTAACTTTGAAACCACCCATTTTTTGTTTTCTGTTTCTGCTTTCCTCAGCCCCTGTCTATAAAACCAACTTCCTCTGCTCAGCTCATTGAAACCCTCATTCTCTAAGAATGAGGTGTTGCCCAACTTTAGAATCTCAAATAAAAGCTAATTAAGATCTTTATACTATGTTTGTCGTAATTTTTTCTTTTGACAGAGGCAATAAACCACTAGTAGTATTAGGTTTATCTGTGACTTCATCATCAACAGAAATCACAGGTATTTTCATATTGCACTATAGTTGCAGAAATCTTGATTTACTGCCTACATTCATCACTATTTGAAATCATGGTAGTTTCTAGATCTTGTTATTAAATATGTTAATACGTATCTATATTACATCACAAATTTACTTTTTTCAATATTTGACAGGTATTTCATTCTAACAGGTTTCCTTTGTAATTCAATGAATTTTAAGAGGATTATCCTAGATCTCATTAGATAATCAAAGGGATCCATGGCACCAAAGAAAGATTATAAATTCCAGTTATCCTTCTGGCCTCATTTCAAACATAACCTCTTCAGAAGCCTTTTAAGACCACTTTGGCCAGGTGCTGTGGCTCATGGCTGTAATCCCAGCACTCTGGGAGGCCGAGGTGGGCAGATCACTTGAGGTCAGGAGTTCGAGACCAGCCTGGCCAACATGGCAAAACCCCGTCTCTACTAAAAATACAAAAATTTGCTGGGTGTGGTGGCTCATGCCTATAATCCCAGCACTTTGGGAGGCCGAGGCAGGTGGATCACCTGAGGTCAGGAGTTTGAGACCAGCCTGGCCAACATGGTGAAACCCCATCTCTACTAAAAATACAAAAATTCGCCGGGCATGATGGCAGGTGCCTGTAATCCCAGCTACTCAGGAGGCTGAGGCAGGAGAATCACTTGAACCCAGGAGGTGGAGGTTGCAGTGGGCCGAGATCACGCCACTGCACTCCAGCCTGGGGGACAAGAGCAAGACTTTGTCTAAAAAATAAAATAAAATAAATAAAAATACAAAAATTATCCAGGCAAGGTAGTGTATGCCTGTAATCCCAGCTACTCTACTGGGGAGGCTGAAGCAGGAGAATTGTTTGAACCTGCGAGGCAGAAGTTGCAGTGAGCCAAGATCATGCCACTGCACTCCAACCTCAGCAACAGAACAAGACTCCATCTCAAAAAAAAAAAAGAAAAAAAAAAAAAAAAAAGAAGACCACCTTAAAGCAGGTCTAAAGCGGCAGCATTCCCAAGGTACCCTAAATTGATTTCTCTCAAAACAATACAATAATATTCAATTTTTTGTTGTTGTTGAGATGGAGTCTCACTCTGTTGCCCAGGCTGGAGGCACGATCTCAGCTCACTGCAATCTTGGTCTCCCAGGTTCAAGTGATTCTGCTGCCTCAGCCTCCTGAGTAGCTGGGATTACAGGCTTGCACCACCACACCAGGCTAATTTTTGTATTTTTATTAGAGACTGGGTTTCACCATGTTGGCCGGGCTGGTCTTGAACTCCTGACCTCAGGAGATCCACCTGACTCGGCCTGCCAAAGTGAAGGGATTACAGGCATGAGCCACCGTGCCAGGCCAGTACTGTAGTCTTCTAAGAATGGAAGGCTCTTGTGTATCTAGTCCATTCCTGACACACAGTAGGGGACAAAAAAATACTGGCGAACTGGCAGTTTCTAGACTTTTCTTCACAACAGCTTATTGTGCTTGGCATGACTCAGACTGTGAGATGTCAAGGGGGATTTAACTGAAAGGTTTTGAGAAGGGCTTTGGCTTTAGCCCTCTTGGGAAAACAGCCTATTAACCATGAATTCTCTCCCCGCTTTTCCATTTATAGATTATTTCTCTGTATTTATTCCCATGGCAGCAATTGCCCCGGTAATCTGAGGGGGAGACTTTTACAGTTCCTACCAGATACCAGATGGGTCTCAAGTTGTTGTTCTCTTACAGATAGGATGTTCAAGTTAGAGTTGTGGCCAACATACAGGAAACAAGTCAATATGCAAATAAGTACAAACAGGCCATTTAAGAAACTATAGAAAGTTCCTTGTTTGATATATAAAAACCTGTGATACCTGTGATAACAACATAATGAAACCATTTAAGAACTTGTGATATTTTGGTTTTAGATGACTTGGCTTTAACAACAATCTAAAGAATGTCAAGGAGCTTGTTTTCACATGGTAGGAGCTTAATCTTATTATATAAAACCAAAATTAATCAGAAAAGCCCTTCACTTCTCCAAGATTCAGTTATAGGGGACCTACAGAAGAGTCTGACAAAACCAGTCAGCAACTTAAAGAAAAATGATGAGCTCTCTAAGTACGTACTGATGTAAGGCCAGACATCTAGGTCTATGGAGTCAGTGCTTCATTTTTTTTCTGAATCTAGAAGGAAATGGGTTAGCTTATTTCCTACCTCTCATCTCAAGGTACAGACATGCTGCTGACATGCTGGTTTTCTCTTTGATACACAGCCTCCAATGAATCTGACTGCCATAGTAAACAGGAAAGGGAGACATTTAAAGCAAAACAGTGGGGGAAGGGGGTCATGGGGTAGCAGAAATGTGGGCAAAAATGTCAACTTATAGCAAAATGCCTTGGGTTTATCTCACTGTCTAGGAATTTGCACAGACTGTCACCTCAACTATGAGTACAAGGTTCCAGTTATGCACAAAAGCTACAAACAGGCCACCTTTACAATTAAGGTAAATCTTTAAAAAACAAAGGCCAGCAGAATTACATAAATACCTATTTGCAATTGTGGAATCCTAACCTGGAACGCAGGGAAAGATAGAAACAAACGACCCCAAGTAAAAATGCATAGAAATGGAGTGGAAATCTGGCTTGTAAGCAGTGTTGGGATTATCCTGAAATTAAGGATTACAGCCTAAATCCTCTGAATTTACTATCAAAATGAACTTCCACAATAATAAAGAAATATTTCCTATTACTTTTGAAAAATCTCTTTCCCCTGATGAAATATATTTCCCCTGTAGAAATTTGGTGGCGGGAGGCATGAACATGAAAATAGAAACCACCTATAATCCCATTATTAAAATTGTGGGATTAGATTGTTTTTAAAGTCTATTTCCAGTAATTCTGGAAGATTTATTTTTTCAGAATTTAAGTTCTTTCATGACTATAGTTAACAATATCTTATTGTATACTTCAAAATAGCTAGAAAAGATACGCAATATTCCCAACACAAAGAAATGATAAATGTTGGAGGTCATGGTTATCTCAGTTTAGATTTCATCATTACACATTGTATGCTTGTATCAAAACGTCACAGGCGCCCCAGATATATGTAAAGCTGTTATATATCCATACAAATTTTTAAAGACTTTTTTCACTACTAAAATTCTTTTTTTTTTTGAGACGGAGTCTCGCTTTTTTGCTCAGGCTGGACTGCAGTGGCGCAATCTTGGCTCACTGCAACCTCCACCTCCCGGGTTCAAGCAATTCTCTGCCTCAGCCTCCTGAGTAGCTGGGATTACAGGCGCCCGCCACCACGCCCAGCTAATTTTTCTATTTTTAGCAGAGATGGGGTTTCGCCATCTTGGCCAGGCTTATCTTGAACTCCTGACCTCGTGATCTACCTGCCTCAGCCTCCCAAAGTGCTGGGATTACAGGAGTGAGCCACCGCCACCGGCTCACTACTAAAATTCTTAAAACATTGGTAAACTATGCAACGATTTATACCGTTCAAAATATATATGCTTCCATAATCTCATCCCCTCAGAAAAATCCTATACCAAAGTAACAATTTATACTGTTCAAAATATATATGCCTCCATAATCTCATCCCCTCAGAAAACTCCTACACCAAAGCAGTGTAAGCATTATCACCATTCCATAACGGAGCAAAGAGAATCTGAGGGGTAATTCATATGTCTAAATTCTCTAGCTATTTGCAATTAAAATTGAGGGTTTAAACCTGAATCTCCTAAAACAGAGGCCAGAGCCCCTTCTGCCTGCCTTAAAAATCTCCAGAGGTGGAAACCCAAAGTTTAGGAGTTATTAGAAGAGCTTTGTAAGCTGTTTCTCCTCTGTTAAAATACTGATTTCAACAAAGTATTGATTACCTAGTATGTGTGAAAGACCATGAATAAACACAACAGTGCTCACTGTTGCAATGGGAAATAAGGGGAAAGGAAAATAAAGCAAATCAATTAAGTATCATATGCAGTAGAATATTGATACATGCAGTAAAAGCAGCACAAAATATTTTTCCATTTCCAAAGAGGGCATGAACTCTTGAAAGAAGGGATGCCTTGAAGGCCAGACTACTTTGAGTGCTAGGCACAACTCCTGTAGGGGATAATGCAGGTGTCTAAGCAGGGAAGTAACCAAAACACAAGGCTGTAGGCTGCTTACACGGTTGTAGCAAAGTGTAAATGAATCCAATGGTGTCTGATCTCATTACTCTCCCAAGTAAGAGTTCTCTCCTCCCCTCCTTCCACCCAGAACAGAAAAAACTTGCTCTGGATTCTTAAAAAATTATCTAAGTTTTTCAAATTAGCACTGAAAAAAAGTAAGACAGGCTACAGGCTTCTCTGAAGCCAGTTTAACCATTATTTTGAATAGTTTAATCTTTTTTCGTTTTCACATAAAAGGAAATTTTTGTTTTTTTCGTTTTTACATTAAAAATGATGCCTACCAAAAATACTGATCAATTTTTAGGAGGATTGTTTGAAACCCTCCAAGAGTCTTTGAAAGAATATTTGTGGTTCTACTTACAAAATACCCTTTGGCAGTGTCCAAGTTGTCTATTTCCATAATAAGTCAGAATCTTAGGGATCTTGTCCTAGTATTTTCACCAGTTCTCTGCACTATTTTTCATTCGCTCAGATGAGTTTGTTCCCAGACCATTCTTCTGGACTGTCTCATTTTAAATTTCACTGGTGGTGGGATAGGAGCTGACTTTTTGTTCTTCAACTATATATTTTTCTGAATTAAAAAAATGATCTTTTTTTTTTTTTTTTTTTTTTTTTTTTGAGACGGAGTTTCACTCTTTCGCCCAGACTGGAGTGAAGTGGCAGGATCTCGGCTCACTGTGACCTCCGCCCTGCAGGTTCAAGGGATTCTCCTGCCTCAGCCTCCCGAGTAGCTGGGATTACAGGGATGCACCACCATGCCCAGCTACTTTTTGTATTTTTAGTAGAGACAGGGTTTCGCCATGTTGGCCAGGCTGGTCTCGAACTCCTGACCTCAGTGATCCATCCGCCTCAGCCTCCCAAAGTGCTAGGATTACAGGCGTGAGCCACTGCGCCAAGCTGTGTATTACTTTGTAATCTAATTCCCAATAAACATTCTAAACAGTTACTTTAAAACTTGTACAAGTGATTCCATTCACGTAAAGGTCAAAAACAAGCTAAACTTAGGATGCTAGCTCACCGGGTGGTGACCAGATGAGCTGATAATGCTCTCAACTCCTTATCTAGGAATAGGTTGCATGGGCATGTTTACTTTATGAAAATTCATCAAACTATACACTTAGGATTTATGCCCTTTTCTGTAATGTAGATTTCAATAAAAAGTTTAAGGGAAGGAGAAACACGTTGAAAAGGCTCAAATTAAGGAGAGGGCCCTTATAAAGTTTAGGGGGCCTCCTGAAGGTTGCAATAAGAGGAACATATGCAAGGGTCATTGTTTAGCAAGGAAGTAGGCTCTTTAGCTGCCTGGTTACTTTTACAAGAGCACATGGCATTCTTTTAGGCTATTAGAGAGACCTCAGAAATCTACATCGTGATCTCTACATCTGCCCAGGCACAGTTGTGATGGAGCAGGCAGCAAGGACAGTCTGTGGGAATCCCCTGGCTGGTAAGTGGGCTTAGCCATTACTGCCATCTCATCTCCCCTACTGAGACTGGAAACTTACTTTCATGAAGCAACTTATAAAAGGAAAGAAAAAAGAAAGTCAACTGTAATGGTGGTGAAGAAACCTAAGAGAGTAATTATTCTTAGCCAAAAACAGCTTTGGATAAAGAGTAAAATACTGCATTGTGCAATGCTCAGATCTAGGAACCAGTGGACTACATATTACAGGAACAAGAGACTCATGAATATGTTTCCCGAAATATTCCAAGCTAAATCTCCTGAATAGTTTTATACATGAATTTTATACTTTTTTTTTTTTTTTTTTTTTTGAGATGGAGTCTCGCTCTGTCACCCAGGCTGGAGTGCAGTGGCACGATCTCGGCTCACTGCAAGCTCCGCCTCCCGGGTTCACGCCAATCTCCTGCCTCAGCCTCCCAAGTAGCTGGGACTACAGGCGCCCGCCACCACGCCCGGCTAATTTTTTGTGTTTTTACTAGAGACGGGGTTTCACCACGTTAGCCAGGATGGTCTCGATTTCCTGACCTCGTGATCCACCCGCCTTGGCCTACCAAAGTGCTAGGATTACAGGCGTGAGCCACCGCACCCGGCTGAATTTTATACCTATTTAATCATGAAGGTCTGAACTGGATTATTTCATTTCCATGACGCTTTGCAATATCTTATGGATAATATTAGATAATAAAGTGTTATTTGTAGATTTAGAGAATCTCAGATATCTTTGGATACTTTCAGAATACCAATGATCTAGCTTAAATGTTTAATCATCCTCGATACCACAGAAAACAAAGCAGTTGTTTGTAATCTCCTATGCTAATCAATAGGCATCATTCTCCCAACTTACAAATATTTACACTTCTTTCAGCTACACTTGAAAGATATGCTAAAATAAGTACCAGTTATAGTGTTTTATAAATGCTCTAACAGGAAACATCAATACAATTTATTAACTATTAGCAATAATCAGGCCTCGGATAAACCTCATAGACTACGATAATACAATTAAGACTATGTCTCTACACAAATACAAACAGTGATGATCGTTTAGGACTATTCTGAAATCTCCCACTGAGTTAAAAAACAAAGTCTACGAAACAAAGTAGGAAAGAGTTCCTTGACCACGTAAAACATTTGGCTAGTTTAATAGTTTTGTTTTTAGACTAGAGACACGGTCTCACTTTGTGGCCCAGTCTGGTCTCAAACCCTAGCCTCAAGCAATTCTTCCACTTCGGCCTCCCAAAGTGCTGGGATTATAGGCGTTAGCCACCATGCCTAGCCTAGTTTAATAGTTTTTAAATGCCTAGTTTCTCTGCATTTTAGGTTTCTGGCAAACTCTACAGTAGGTCTTTTTTTTTTTTTTTTGAGATGGAGTCTTGCTCTGTTGCCTAGGCTGGAGTGCAACTGCACAATCTCAGCTCACTGCAACCTTCACCTCCCGGGTTCAAGTGATTCTCCTGCCTCAGTGTCCCAAGTAGCTGGGATTATGGGTGCTTGCCATATTTTTTGTATTTTTAGTACAGACAAAGTTTCACCACATTGGCCAGACTGGTCTCGAACTCCTGACCTCAAGTGATCTGCCTGCCTCTGCCTCCCAAAGTGCTGGGATTACAGGCTTGAGCCATCGCGCCCGGCCTACAGTAGGTCATTAAATTCAATTTAGTGTAAAACATATTGTACGCTCTTTTGATGTAGAATATGCTAAAAATGGTACCTGGTGACTTCAATATCATTGCAAGCCATACTTTCCTAGAATTATAAAAGTGTATTTCAGAAATCCTGCTCAAGGGGAGGGTCTACTGTATACACCTTTTATGTTACTAGGTAAAATTAATGGATACTGAGATTGCACATTTGCCTTTGTTTTGATGATAGATTTGTATTCAAAAGTTTAAAACTGTATGATGTGATCACTTCTAAGGAAGGACTGTGTAATTCTCCGCTTGTTTGAATTCCCAGCACCTGGTTCAGGAAATAATCAAAGCTTTAGTAAGTACTCATTATGATGAACTGCTTCACTGTTCTAGAGTCTTTTACATTTTTCTGTGCACAGACACAAAAGTCCTGGGTCTACTGTACCAATTTAAGGGGGAGGAGCTTATAATTTAAGTACAGACCCTTTTTGGGGGAAGCATGGGTTGGGACATGGAGAAAGGTGTTCTGATGGGACACTGGTTAATATCCGTGATTATCTTTACAGTCAAGTGGCCTACACATAACTGAACTACTTGAAGGGGACTATTTATAAGATTAGCAGCATAGAGGGCCATTTTAATGCCCTAGTCTAGCATCTTTCATTTTAGTTTGTTAAGCTGGGCAAAAGGTATTATATTATTATTATTTTTTTATTGAGACAAGGTCTCGCTCCCATCACCTAACCTGGAGTACAGTGGCACGGTCTTGGCTCACTGTAGCCTTGACTTCCCAGGTTCAGGTGATTCTTCCACCTCTGTCTCCCAAGTAAGCTGGGACTACAGGCACACGCCACCACACCAGCCTAATTTTTGTATTTTTTTTTGTAGAGATGGGGTTTTACCACGTTGCCCAGGCTGGTCTCGAATTCCTGAGCTTGGGCAATCTGTCTCCCTCGGCATCCTAAAGTGCTGAGATTATAGGCATAAGCCACCACACTCAGCCAAAAATGTAGCATTTTAATAAAATATCCAGCAAAAATGTAAACAAATCAAGATCACAGCAGAGAGAAAGCAACATGTATTTTATGATTATTTGAATGGAGCAAAACATCTGAACACACTGTGAAATCAGGAACTATGATTTTTTTTTTTCAAATTTAGGATATGGTTTGGTAGTAGGTGGGAGGGATATGTCACCAAGGAGGAGGTATAAGTTCCCTCTCCGGTGGGAAGTTCAAGAGTGTGGGCAGTCTTCTTTTTTAAGCTAGGTGGTGGATATATGGGTATTCACTGTATTGTTCTCTTACCCCATTCTGTATATCTTAAATATTGCATGTTTTAGGCCGGGTGTGGTGGCCCATGCCTGTAATCCCAGCACTTTGGGAGGCCAAGGCAGGTGGATCATCTGAGGACAGGAGTTCGAGACCAGCCTGGCTAACACAGTGAAACCCCATCTCTACCAAAAATACAAAAATTAGCCAGGCGTGGTGGCAGGCGCCTGTAATCCCAGCTACTCGGGAGGCGGTTCTCATTCTCAAAAAAGTTTGTGTTAAAAAATAAAATGCTGCATCTAATTGCAAGTGCTTTTTTACCAGTATGTGATTGGCATAACAGCAACACATCGAAGTGTCAAAAGTGTAACTCTCCTGCCAAGTGAATTACCTCAATTTCCTGTAACTGCTCCTGATTGGTTGTATACATCTGCTGAACAGAGTCCTCCAACTCTGTGTTCCGATCCAGTAATGTCTTCCCAAGCTCAGCAGCAAGTTGAAGATCTAGCACAACAAATGAATCTTAGAATAATACAAATGATCTCACATCAACAATTTATATAACCCAGTCCTTCAAAAAAGAACATGTAGTTTAAGTCACATCCCAATGGAAGGTGGAGTGGCACAGAAGGAAACCCGAGTTCTACTTAAAATTCAGTTAAACTGACGCCTCCAGCAGGTAATGTATTCTCTTATGTACCCATACTTGTAAGAAGTGAAAAATGGTCATCTACTTTATGGAGATGCAGTTATTTGTTCAGGAATGATCATTCCGCAGTGTTACTTCTAAAATCCTATTTGCTAGTACAATGAATGTATTCATATCCTGACAGTCTACTTTTTTGAATGGACCCTTGAGCCAAGGTATAGGTGGAGCTTTCAAAAATCTTTAAAGTTCCCATGAATTTGCCTGCTGTGAATACAACTGTTAAAGTTTATTGTCATATATCCTGGACTCCTAAGGGGACTAAAATTTATTAAGTCAAGAAAAGGAAAAATACATCAGCATTAAGAACACTGCCCCAGGTCACTCTACTTCTCTTCGTGTCCTTCTGTAAGATGAGCAACTAGAAAAGCAAAACAGAAATGTGGTTTTTGAGGTAATTACATGTCAGTAGCTCATACTTCCATTTAGCACAGAACCATATTTTATTTTAAACCTCATTTTTCAACTCTCTCTATTCTTAGGTATAATGCCCATAAAACAGGATTTGTTTATATTATACTCAACTCCCAGAAATGAAAATTTAGTTAACAATATAAGAAAGGACACTAGTTGTAACATACGTCATTGAAATACTTCTTTGCATAGTAAATCTTATGGAGCAGTCCTTTGATACAGTGGGAAATGCACTGCACTCTGGGCAGGTAAGTCTCAGGCCCAGTTCTATCATTTACCAGAACACTTTCAATATGGTGACTTTAAGGCCCCTATAGTTAGTATTCTTGTTTAGAGAGATGACTGTCTTATCAATATAAGATTGTGAAAATCAAATGAAATAATACATAAAGGAGTACTTTACAAACTAAGTTGCAATACGCACGCAAAGTACTATTAATAGTCATTGATTCACAAATGAATGTTTTTGTTGCCAGGCACTATGCTAAGCATTAGCTATAGAACAGTGAATAAAATGAAGTCCTGCTTTGCTGACATTCCCAGATTAGTGGAGGAAGCCAGACAAATGAGTAACTAAACTCACATACTGTGATAAACAGTATTCATGCATGCATGCATATACTCAATAATATCAGACACTATTCTAGGCACTGGGATGGTGCCCAGGAGCCATAAGGAACTCACATTAAAAAAATATCCCTGCCCTCATGGAGCTTATATTCTACTGGGAGAAACAGCACAATAAAACTTGATAGCGATAAATGCTAAAGAGAAAAAAATAAAGCAAGGAAGAAGTACAGGAGGAGTGTGGATGTGGGAGGCTGAAATTTAAGAACATGTGACCAGGGCCACATTAGAATCAATGTGTGAAGGAACAGAATAAGTGACCCATGTGTATCCATCAGGGAAACAGCACTCCAGGCAGAGGCAAGGCAAGTGCAAAGCACCTGGGAGGAAGCATGACTGAGTCATTAAGGAGGCTGAGGAGGGTGGAGCAGAATGTATTGGGCAGGGAGGGGAGGGGGAAGACTCAAATCAGAGGGGCTCCAAGATGGCCAGTTTGCGGAGGGCCTAACTAAAGAGGTCAAGAGTTTGGCCTTTACTCCAAATGAAGGAATCCAATGGAGGTTTAACAGGATCACTCCGGCTGCTGTTATACAGGGTGAATGGGACAAAGGTGGGAGCAGAGTGACAGAAAGATACTGCAATCGTCTGGGTGAGAGATGATGGTGGCTTGGACCAGGGTGGCAGAGATGAAGATGGGAGAGGAGGGGCAGAATTCTGACATGTTTTGAAAGTAAAGCTAAAGGATTTGTTGACCAATTCAATATAAAGTCTAAAAGATAAAGCGGGGGAGAAAAACCTGGATTTGGTGATAATGAACAAAGGGCTTTCTTTTTCTGTCTCTTTATTAGGCACGGTCTCGCTCTGTTGCCATGCTGGAGTGCAGTGGTGCACTCATGGCTGACTGTAGCCTTGGATTCCTGGGCTCAAGTGATCTTCCTGCCTCAGCCTGCCAAACAGCTGGGACTACAGGCATGCACTACCAAACCCAGCTTACTTACTTACTGATTTATTGTAGAGACAGGGTCTTACAATGCTGCCCAGGATGATCTCAAACTTCTGGCCTCAACACATCCTCCCACATCAGCCTCCCAAAATGTTGGGATTACAGGCATGAGCCACTGTGCCCAGCCTAGGGCCCAATTTAGAAAGGGAGGTCATAAGGAAGGTCTGACAAGACCTTTTAGCTGAAGCTTGAAGGATGAAGAACTTGCCATGAATTTGGCATATTCTACAACCTGACAAGCAGCCAGTATGATAGAAGCATGAGGGATCAGATCATATAGGATTTTATAGCCCATGGTAGGTAAAGTTTAAATTTTATTCTAGGTATGATGGAAAGTAGCCTCAGTTATTGTCATAAAAGTATTATGAAAAAAATTTATCATAAAAACAAGGAAACTCACTACATAATGATTTTTAAACTTAATTTTTAGAGGTTGACAAATAAGGCTTAATGGCTATCCACCACTACTCATAGTAAAACTTAGCATTGAGTAAATGGTAACAACAGCATTAGTTGTTGTAATGTCCACTCAAGTGCATAATTAGTATTCTACTTGGTTAGTTTTCACTCTGGAAAAAGCAGCAAAACCTACCACACCCAACTCCAGATCATTTAAAAACATTTTACACCCATTTAAAATAAAACAGTATACTGTTGGTAGATAGGTGCTAAAATACATTCTCTTGTGATTTCAAAACTAACAATGTCTATTAGTCATTACATTCATTAAGACTTTAGAGGCCAGGTGCAGTGGGTCATGCCTATAATCCCAGCATTTTGGGAGGGTGAACCAGATGGACTGCTTGAGCTCAGAAGTTCGAGACCAGCCAGGGCAACATGGTGAAATTACATCTCTACCAAAAATACAGTGAGGCCCTGTCTCAAAAATAAAAAAATAAAAAATAAAGACTTCCATTAAATCTATGAAATAACTTGTATTTACAAAACACAGAACTTTTACAAATAGCTCAAAGCATTTAAGAGACATTAGTCTTTTTCTTGTCATTATTTATTTATTTTTTTTGAGATGGAGTCTCTCACTCTTGTCACCCAGGCTGGAGGGCAGTGGTGCGATCTCGGCTCACTGCAACCTCTGCCTCCTGGATTCAAGTGATTCTCCTGCCTCAGCCTCCTGAGTAGCTGGGATTACAGGCACCCACCACCACACCTGGCTAATTTTTGTATTGTTAGTAGAGATGGGGTTTCACTATGCTGGCCAGGCTGGTCTCGAAATCCTGACCTCAAGTGATCCGCCCACCGCGGCCTCCCCAAGTGCTGGGGATTATAGGCATGAGCCACTGCCCCCAGCCTACTTTTTGTTTTCTAGAGACATTAGTCTTTATATCTTTAAAGGTATTTAGTCCAGTTTCTCAGATGAGACAGCCTGAAGCACAAAACTGTTAATTGACCTAATCAAGCTCCAAGGTGAGTCACAGATCAAACAGAAACTCTTAGGTCAACAGGTTCTCACTCTCACTCTCATCACGATTCTTTGTTATCTTCATCTGCAGAGTTTTAAGGCAATTGAAAGAGAGGTCCGCAGGCTTCTTTAAGGTAGAGAATACAAATGTTCCCCTTGTTGAGGTACTTAATTTCTTCTACTTGTTTTCACAGATTGCAATGAGAAATTAGAGTTCAACTATTTGGGTTTTTATTGCCTGCTCTGCTAGTGAAAGCACATACAACCCCAGGCAAGTTAATACCCTGTTTTCACCAAATGAAAAAGGAACTATGTATGGCTCAACATGTTCCAGAAAAAATGATTTTGTACTCACAGAGTGTGTAATGTGTATACATAGACCCATATGGAAGCTACCACACTGTATTAAAGACAAAGTATAAAAACATTACCTAGGTATTACTTAAGTCTTTCCTTCTTAAATGTGTGAAGTGGTAATTCCTCACTGGGAAGGCTCAGATTCACCAAAGATGCTCTTAACCAGCAATCAAAGCCTGAGCCAAGGACCGGGTGTGGTGGCTCACACCTGTAATCTCAGCACTTTGGGACGCCAAGGCAGGAGGACTGTTTGAGGCCAAGAGTTCGAGACCAGCATGGGCAACATAGCAAGACCTTGTCTCTTAGCAGGAAAAAAAAAAAAAAGAAAAAAAACAAAACCCAACTGGGCTGAAACCTCTCCCAGAATCCAGACTGTCTTGAGACTATCACCACTTTCATTCAGTTATGGAACTACCTGTGCTACTTAAGAGTAGCCAGGAACCTCTTCCCTGCTCCTGCAGAAAGAGATACCAAGGACAGCACTCTTTAGTAGATAGCAAACAAAAAAGAATTTGAGACTTGTCCTTATCTCAAACCTTATTTCCAGTAAAACAAAGCACCAGCCTGGCTCAGAAACCTGAAGTCTCGATCTCCTAAATATTTATAGGCTGTTAAGGATAGAATTTTAACAAGTCCCAACTACAAGAAAGCTCCTGTGAAGTCACACTGTATAACAGGATATTACTTCATCTGTTAGCTTAAAGACACCGGACTTTGTCTTTAAAAAAAGTTCATTTCCTGTTGAGTAGCAGCTGGCTTCCATAACCAAAAGAGGCCAAAAGCTGGCAGTAAGCCCAAGAAAGTTTTCTAAATAATTAGTGGAGGGAATAGAATATTGAATGTCCCTTATAGTTTTAATTAAGGCACAAAAGAAAAGGAAATAATATAGTTTCGAAGCCTTATACACCTGTTCATCTCTACAGGATTACAAAATGAATTTTCATTAAGAGGGTCTTCTCTAAATCCTATTGAACTGGCCTGGTTTAGGCAACTACTAAAAATACTGTAGATTTATTGCAGGCTTGAGAATTTCAACATATCAATACCTTCATATGTTGAATATTCTTTCACTAATGAGTCTTTGCAGGTAATAATATATTTTTAATGGTGTAAACTGTTAGCTTTAAACAGATACTCAGCTCTATGCTTTAGGCAAAAAATTAGTACTGGCAGCTGTAGTCTGTAGGAGTAATTCACTAACAGTAAGGCTGAAAGTTTTTCCTATTACAAAGTCAAATGCGTCATTTAGTGATGCTTCTGTTTAACTCCTGTTGCCAATGTTACTATAATTGGGAAAGCAGAAAACCTGAATATAAATATCAAGAAAAATGATGTTGTCAGTTTTAATAACCCTCCAAACAGTGATTCAGCAAAATAGTTGTACACAAGGAGGATGTACTCATCCTGCAATTTTAGGATTCCTTTAAACTAAGAGTTCATTTACTGATCCACATAACAGAAACCTGAATCCTTATTCTAAGTTTGCACAGCTCACCAAATGACAATAGCAGCTGGTTTAAAAGAAAATCCAGTCTCTGAAGTCTTTCCACCTTGTTCTCAGGGGCATGTTTCAAAGCAAGCACCATCATTACCTGCACTGAAGGCTCCTGCTGTCCCAGAAAAGATCTTACCCACAGAGATTATTGTCAGTATTCCTACTGAGCCAACTCAGCTCTCTGACAAAAGACAGTCTCTTCATCAAAGAGTTTTGTAACAGCAAAGGGTTTTCTCCTCCTGCCTACACAAAAGCTTTACATGTTTCTAACAAGGTATGAATAGTAGACCAGAGTTTACTGAGGTTAGAAATTTCCAGCAATTTCAATTTAAAAACGGATACCCTAGGAAACTTTGATACAAAGATTCAATCTATTCAGAGCATGGCTTACTACTGCTAAAGGAAAACATTCTATAGTTGTAAGATACTGAGAACAGGATCATTAAAAGTTGTTTTCCAGCCAGGTGCGGTGGTTCACGCCTGTAATCCCAGCACTTTGGGAGGCCGAGGCGGGTAAATCACGAGGTCAGGAGATTGAGACCATCCTGGCTAACATGGGGAAACCCCGTCTCTACTAAAAATACAAAAATTAGCTGGGTGTGGTGGCACGTGTCTGTAATCCCAGCTACTTGGGAGGCTGAGGCAGGAAAATGGCTTGAACGCGGGAGGCGGAGATTGCAGTGAGCCAAGAGCGTGCCACTGCACTCCAGCCTGGGGACAGAGCGAGACTCCACCTCAAAAAAAAAAAAAAAGTTTTAAGCAGTTCTCTCCAAATAAGCCTTGCTCAGTAATAATAATGAGGATGTTAAAAAACGGACAGATGCCTGCACATAAAATCCCACTAGACTTGCTGAATAATCTGTTTAACAGGACAGACCTGCTCCCAAACTTAATTCAGCAGCAAGTGTCTACTGAGGGCCTACAATGTACGAGGCGCTGTAGTGGGCACATCCCATGAGGCGGCACCTCCAGGCTTCTCTAGTGAACAGATTCCTGGAACATTCACTCTATGGGAGTAGGAATCCTACCTATCCACTCATGTGGGGAGGTGCTGTGGCCCCAGGGCCCAGGCGAATACCTGGCAAAGAGCAGATAATACATTTTTGAGAAATGAACAAGTTTTAAAATCTGTTAAAAGTTTAGGAGTTAACATATAACTTAGCAAAACTGGGGAAAGGATACCCTTTTATTCACACTGTAGCCTTTATTCTTTGACAGGCCATATTCACAAGTTACAATTGTTGGAATTTCACATCTTCTACTCGTACTCCATATAGTTGGTTATGACACAGAGGGTTAAGTCAAAGTCCACTGTGATAACGTAACAGCCCTTTGAAAAACACAGAAATGCAACTGGCAGTAAAGAGGTTCAGATATGTGTGTGTGTGTGTGTGTGTGTGTGTGTGTGTGTGTTTTGAGAGGGAGTTTCGTTCTTGTCATCCAGGCTGGAGTGCAATAGCACGATCTCAGCTCACTGCAACTCCGCCTCCCAGTTTCAAGCAATTCTCCTGCCTCAGCCTCCCGAGTAGCTGGGATTACAGGGGCCTGCCACCACACCCACCTAATTTTGTATTTTTAGTGGAGATGGAGTTTCACCATGTTGGCCAGGCTGGTCTCGAATTCCTGGCCTCAGGTTATATGCCCGCCTCGGCCTCCCAAAGTGCTAGGATTACAGGCATGAGTCACTGCGCCCAGCCCAGACCTGTGTTTTTAAGGTTAAACTTGAAGAGCTGATGACTTTATTTTGATCAGAGGTTAAAGAGAATTCCTCGTGTAACCCTGACACGTTGCACTTGCTGCTCGGTAGATTGAAGTGTTACAGCTGTTGTTCCTAACAACCTCCCACAGCGGGAGAATGCAGCGTGGACTAAGGCACCTGATGGAAGAGAGCCATGAAAACAATTCTGTGCGAGTGCTTCAGTGCAGTTCAACAAATATTAAAATCGAGCTTCCAGTATGTGCCAAGTATTATGCTAGATGCTGGAAACACAAGAAAAAAGAACCTGCCCCCTCTATGCCCTTAAAGATTAATGCTTCTTAAATACAGGAAAGAGAAATATTTAGTTGTGATGATACAAATTAAATTATAGGGAAGTACTGCAGTGGTACAGTGGTTGCCTCACAAATCCTGGAGAAACTATCAAACTAGGCCATCAATCCTTACGGGGAAATCTGAAAACAGGTTTGTTAATATGTATAATAAATTTGTCTCTTGGACATAAAGAAGATGGTGCCAAACACTGCACTGCAACCACTAAGTAGCTTGGACTCTGTAAGTGTAATAAAGGTGAATTACTTTGGTTAAAGTGATTGCATGTTAATTTAAGAAATTATCTTCCTCCAAAAGAGGTGCTCATTTTATTTTCCTTTTCTGAGTTATTCAGGTCTACATTCTTTTCTTCTGCCATGTTCAGTGGTTAGCATGAACAAGCAACATGATCATTTAATATTCAACTAAATGAGATGTTAATTTTCATTGCAAGATTAGAGCTGAGAGCATTTACACAGAATTGCAGAAACTGAAGATGCCTGGAAAAATTCCTGAGGATTGTTCAGTACTCAGTATAGCGGTTAAGAACGTTTGCTCTGGAGTCTTAAGGAGAACCCTAGCACTCCCCAACATTACTACCTCTATTGTGTTACTGGGAGAATTAAATGAGCAACTGTGTTATGGGCCTATCAGTGTTAGGCACATAAAAAGTGTTCCCCAACTGCTAGCTCCTGCTATTAGTATAAGAAAAACAGGGGCCCCACTGGCCCCAAAGAGTGGGCTACTCTACGATTGTTCTCTGGAGACACCATCGGCAGGCCTGTTTCTAAGTGAAAGCTGGCGTGCAAACTGAAGAAAAGTGGCAGAGATAGATGCGCTCTTTCTTCTGTCGTTTCAATTGGCATCTGGTGAACTATGCCTAACAGCTTAACGCCCAACTGAAAAAAACTGTAAACTAGGATGGTAAGGAAGAGATGGGGTTTGAGCAGTGACTACAACTCTTCTTCTGAGTGTGTGGGTTCAAAAAACACTCCCTCCCACACTTAGCTTTAGGCAAGCCACTTTACCGTTTTAATCTCCGCTTTCCTCATATGGAAAATGGGATAACAAAAGTGTGTAATTGGATTGTTTGTACCTCAATGGATAAATGCTGGGATGGACGCCCCGTTCTCCATCACGTGCTTATTTCACACTGCGTGCCTGTATCCAAACATCTCATGTACCCCACAAATATATACACCTACCATGTACCCTCAAACATTAATTTTTAAAAAGTTACTGTCTCCTGGAGTTACGGTGCGGAGCGCACAGCTCCCGCTACGCCGCAAAACAACTACCACCTGCAGCAGCCGGCCCTCCACGCTGGCCATGAAAGGCGCTGGGCTAGACAGCCTGCGACGGGGCGGCTTCTCGGGCTATGCCACTTACTGCGGGACACACTGGCTCACCCGGGTCTGCCTCGGAGGAATGCAGTGAGGATTAAACTAGCTAATCCACGGAAAGCGCTTAAAACGGTGCCTGGCTCGTCCCTGGCCCCCACGCGCCTCGGGGCTGATATTCAACTGCGCATTAGCAAGGCCGTGGGCCCCGTGCCGAGGCTTCCTGCGGGCGGGATCCGCGGGCACGGCCGGCCCAGCCGCCAGGTGAGCCTGAGCCCTTCCCGGCACCTGCATCCTCCGCCGCCACAAAAAGCAACTTTTTAACAGTTTCGCAGCGGGGGCCTCCCGGGCCAGGCCGCCGCCCGCCCGCGGGGCGCCCCCGCCCTCACCTTGCTGGAGGTCCTGGTGGTCGTACCACGGCTCGTCCTCCTTCATCTCAAACTCCTCTACCAGGTTTTCCGCCAGCATCTCGGCTGGGTCTTCTAGGGGCAGCGGCCCCCGCCGCCGTCCCGCCTCAGCCGCTGCCCCGGGCTCTTCCCCGGCCCCTCCGCCCTCAGCCAGAGCCGCCCTCGGGCGGGACGCGCCGCCGCCCAGACTCCGCTGCGCCGCCTCAGCCCCGTTCCCGCCGGCGGCCGCCGACCGGCCGGCTGCCTCGACTCGCCTCGCGCCTACCGACGGCCCCAACGGCCGGGCATTACGGTGCGAACGCCTGGAGCCGGAGTCTCACGCAGCCGCCAGTCTTCACGCCGCCGCCGGGCCCAACGTGGCACTTTGGCAGAACCCTCCCCGGCCGGGGATGCGATTCAAACCCCCGGCGGCGCCTCAACCAATCGCGAGCGGGCTGCTGGCCGAGCGGCAGGGACTTCGTCCAATCGCCTCTCTCCAAAGACCGGCGGCTCGCCCGGTATCGAGGGCAAGCAGCCAATGGTGGGTCCGGAATAAACAAAGAAGGCGGGGAAAGAGTGAAGGGGTGCGGCCGAAAGCCCGTCCCCTGATCTGCGCTGTGAGGCTCCTAGGAGGGCGTTCTGGGTTTCGGGCTGGGGAGCTGGCAGAGGCGCGTCTTACCCCTGTGGTGGGTGTCCCGAGGCCGGCGCGTCTGTGGACAGGCAACGCAGGCCGGAGGGCCTAGGACTCCGGCCTCTGAGAGGCGGGCGGTTGTCCAGGGGAGTCCTTCGTGCCGGCGGGAAGCGCAAGGGTGCCGGAAGCCTGAGGTCCGCCGCCCGGCCACCCCTTCTCGCATCTTGACTCTGAGATTTGCTCCGGGTCCGGCGGGGAGACTCGAGGTCGATCGGGAGTTTGGGTTGAGAAAACGCCCACTGAGCGGTAGCTCTTGTCTCCTTGACATCTGAGCCCTGGGAATTAAACTCACGCTACATAAAACGGTGGGCACCAGACCCCCTTGAGAATCTGGGGCGGTGAGGGATGCCCGAAGCTGTCCACTTGGAGGGCGAAAATTGTAAGCAGTGTTGCAACGATTTTTAAAAGGTACCCCTAGACCACAAGTTAAGCATCTGGGGACGTGACATTGCACCTGGAGGGGACAGGCTGCAGCTCCAGCACTTAGTAGCCAGCGAGGCAGAGCACGCTGTCCTCCACCGACATAACCCAGCAAATACTGCTCCTAGGTAAAGCTTTAAGCACCATCTTGCAGACAAAGCACGGAAACTCTTAAGCAGGATGACAGACCTGAAGGTCAATGTTCTCAACCTTGACGTAAAGGTAAAGGTGCAGCTGATGGAAGACAACAGGGCCAATATCTAACTAACTTTGAGCAACGAAACAAAAAAAAATCGAGGTTTAAGTATACAATTGAAAGATTATCTCTAGAACATGAGGTAATAAACTGTTAGAAATTCAGAGAGAGGGAAGAGGTGGAGAGGAGTGTTAAATCCTGATCTATTTTAGAAGTGAGTCGACAGATAATACCTTACATTGATAATCCAATGAATAGTTTCCACAAATATGGAGAGAGCTGCCAGAACTAAAAATGGGAAGCAATTAAGAGTTTTCCGAGGCTGGACACGGTGGCTCACGCCTGTAATCCCAGCATTTTGGGAGGCCGAGGCGGGCGGATCACCTGAGGTCGAGAGTTCGAGGCCAGCCTGACCAACATGGAGAAACCCCATCTCTACTAAAAATACAAAATTAGCTGGGCGTGGTGGCGCATGCCTGTAATCCCAACTACTTGGAAGGCTGAGGCAGGAGAATTGCTTGAAACCCGGGAGGTGGAAGTTGCAGTGAGCCGAGATTGCGCCATTGCACTCCAGCCTGGGCAAAAACTGCGTCTCAAAAACCAAACAAAAAAAAAAAGTTTTCCTAAGAGGAGGAGTGATTTGAGGCTGGGGACTTTGGCTTTTTGTTATAAACCCTTCTGTGATCTTGCTTTTTTAGTTACTTGCACATTAAAAATAAGGGAAATTGTAGGGAAGGAATTATAGACTCAAGCTACTTTTTTTGTCTTTCTGTATAAAAAAAGACTTGGGTAATTTGGAAGGGGGGAAAAACTCATCCTGAATAATTCTTGTGGGTAATAAAATTCAGGGTGTCTCTCTGCCTCCCATCTTTGCTCAAACCAGCATAACCTAACCTCACGCTGATGCTGTATCAAACAGCACTTGACTCCAGGGTTACCTTACACATAGGCTGTAGGCTACTCTGGAGAAGTCTTGCCAAGGACAAGACCTCCCACTGTGGAGTTGTTACCTGAAGTTTTACCCTTCAGTCCTTAAAGGAGACTGCTGAATAGAGTGGAAAGCACAAGGGACCTAGAGTGAGAAAACCTAGAGTTCTCGCCATACTCAGTACCAGCAGAGAAGCCTTTTAGCAAACAGTTTACAGGAAAGATGATTGTTTGCCTTGCTCACAGAGCTATCTGAATCAGAGAGACCCTGAAAGCAAGTATTTTGTGCTCATTTTAAATGTAAGGCTGTGTTCTTGTGACCTATACTGTAGAAGTGCAGGTACCCTTGAGGACCAATTATGAGCATCACAATAAATAATCATAGTAATGGATTATAACCCATTGAATAAAAAGGAAAGAATCCATGAGTCCATACTGACATAAATAAATGGGAGAGAAAAGAAAACTTTCTTACAGTAGGATGCCAAGCAAAAAATGTAGAAGGAATAACACTGTTAGAAAGTAATAATAATAATAAAAGAGGAATGGTAAACTCACAAATCCCTTTCTTCAAAAAGGCAAAATGTTACTGGCACACCTGTAGTCCCAGCTACTTGGGGGGCTGAGGTGAGAGAATTGCTTGAGTCCAGGAGTTTGAGGTTACGATGAGCTATGATAGGTGACAGCAGAGCAAGACCCTGTCTCAAAAAAAAAAAAAAAAAAAAAAAAAAAAAAGGCTGTGTACAGTGGCTCATGCCGTAATCCCAGCTCTTTGGGAGGCTGAGGCAGGCAGATCACCTGAGGTTGGGAGTTCAAGACCAGCCTGGCCAATAAGGTGGCCCATCTCTACTAAAAATACAAAAATTAGCCGGGAGTGGTGGTGCAAGCCTGTAATCCCAGCTACATGGGAGGCCAAGACACAAGAATCCTTTGAACCTTGGAGGCAGAGGTTGCAGTGATCCGAGACCGTGACACTGTACTCCAGCCTGGGCAATAGAGTGAGACTCTGTCTCAAAAAAAAAAAAAAAAAAAGAAAGAAAGAAAAGAAAGTGAGGTCCTGTAAAGCCTCTTCTACTGCCCTAGTTGTCCATCGAGATATTCAGAGTTGAAATAAGATCACTTCAAACAAACTATCTTAATCACTAAAGATAGAACCCTTTGGAAAGATAGCAAGTTGGATTTAGGAATAATTGGCAATGGTGATTTGTGGAAGCTAAAGGGCTAGAATCATGCAGGGGCATTTTTTTTTTTTTTTTTTTTGAGAGAGTCTCACGCTTGTCACCCAGGCTGGAGTGCGATGGCGTGATCTTGGCTCACTGCAACCTCCGCCTCCTGGGTTCAAGTGATTCTCCTGCCTCAGCCTCCCAAGTAGCTGGGATTAAAGGCGCCCACCACCACGCCTGGCTAATTTTTGAATTTTTAATAGAGATGGGGTTTCAGCATGTTGGCCAGGCTGGACTTGAACTCCTGACCTCAGGCAATCCACCAGCCTCAGCCTCCCAAAGTGCTAGGATTACAGGTGTGAGCCACCGTGCACGGCCCCCTTCACGATTCTTATCACTGATTCGCAAGGTTCAAAGTGCCCGCTGTTTGCTCCATCGAAAACAGAAGCTCATTTTGACTTCAAATGCATATTGAAATGTTCTTTAACAATTCTCCATTTTTTTTTTCTTTTTCAGAGTCTCACCATGTGGCCCAGGCTGGAGTGCAGTGACACCATCTCTGCTCACTGTCACCTCCACCTCCCTGGTTCAAGTGATTCTCGTGCCTCAGCCTCCTGAGTAGCTGGAATTACAGGCATGTGCCACCATATTCGGCTAGTTTTTGTGTTTCAAGTAGAGTCAGGGTTTAGCCATGTTGGCCAGGCTGATCTCAAACTCCTGGCCTCAAGTGATCCGCCTGCCTCAGCCTCCCAAAGTGCTAGGATTACAGGTGTGAGCCACCGCGCCCAGTCAACAATTCTCCTTTAAAAAAGAAAAGAAAAGAAAAGAAAGATATGGAGAATTAAAGTTTTTGAGGGTCAGGCGTGGTGGCTCACGCCTGTAATCTCAGCACTTTGGGAGGCCTAGGTGGGCAGATCACGAGGTCAGGAGTTTGAGACCAGCCTGGCCAACATGGTGAAACCACGTCTCTACTAAAAATACAAAAATTAGCTGGGCATGGTGGCGCATGCCTGGAATCCCAGCTACTTGGGAGGCCAAGGCAGGAGAATCACTTGAACCCGGGAGGCAGAGGTTGCAGTGAGCCGAGATCATGCCACCGCACTCCAGCCTGGGCAACAGAGTGAGACTTCCTCTCAAAAAAAATAAATAAGTGAATAAATAAAGTTATTGATAGTTTAAAAAAGCAAAAAAACCCACAAACTTTATGTCTTTTGGTGTGTTATTGGGTTGTTTTTAAGGACACTATTTAAGGAAACTTCTTTTCCCCTGGAAAATCTTGAACAAAAATTGCATTGAAAAACTGGTGTCAGTTTTCTGTGCTAAATTTGGTGAAGTTTCCATTGTTCTTTTAGAGTCTACTCAGTCATGGTTTAGAAGCAATCATAAGTAACCTCTTCAGTGACGTTAATATTATTTGGTTTAGTAGGTTAGTAAATAACCACCCAAGTTGATTCCAAAAGGAGAATTTATGGTGTTCATAATAATTCACCATTATTTAATGAACTTGCCCAGCCTAACTAACCATGGCACCATTTTGCTACTATTTAATTCTTTTTGTTTGTTTGTTTCTTCGTTTATTTTTGAGACAAGATGTCACTCTGTCACCCAGGCTGGAGTACAGTGGCGCTATCACAGCTCACTGAAGCTTCAACCTCCCAGGGCTCAGGTGATCCTCCTACCTCAGCCTCCCTAGTAGCTGGGACTACAGGCATGTGCGACCACATCTGGCTAATTTTTGTATTCTCTGTTGAGACAGGTTTTCACCATGTTGCCCAGGTTGGTCTTGAACTCCTGGGCTCAAACAATCTGCCTGTCTTGGCCTCCCAAAATGCTGGGATTGCAGGCCTGAGTCACCATGCCTGGCCAACTTTATAAGTTTTCTTTATAAAATATGTTGTGATAAATAAGATCAGATTCAGAAATCCTTTGTCTTCGGTTGTAAAGATAAAATGCTCTTGTTCTCTTTTGTTTTATTGCTATAGTAAAGTCATGTAAGGAGAGTTTTTAGGTAGCAATGGGGGCTTTAAAAAAATTGTAAGTGGTGATTTTCAGTTTGATACTTACAGAAATAAGTATTTACTATGATAACAGTAATCTATTTTTAAGGAAAATTTGTATTATTTTAATTATTTTTATGTACAGAAAACTTAACAGTGTACATTTAACCCAGTTTAGTGGCAAGTTCTTTAGCCTTTGCCCTTTCGAGCTTGGCGATACGAGCCACAGACTTAGGACCCAGGACGTTGCCGCCCCAGTGACGGTGGATCTCATAGTATCTGCCATTGTAATTGGGATGACAGTAATCTAAAGGAAAATATTAATGGCTCCTTTTGCAGAAGGAAATAAAGATTTCTACTTCACGCAATATGTAAAAACAAAGAGAAGTTCAGAATGTAGACTTTTTTAAATTTTTAATGTTTTAAATTTTTTTTTTTTTTTTTGAAACAGTGTCTCTGTTGCCCAGGCTAGAGCGCAGTGGCATGATCTTGGCTCATTGCAACCTCCACCTCTCAGTTTCAAGCATTCTCCTGCCTCAGCCTCCTGAGTAGCTGGGATTACCGGCACCTGCCACCACACCCGGCTAATTTTTGTATTTTTAGTAGAGATGGGGTTCCACCATGTTGGCCAGGCTGGTCTCAAACTCTTGACCTCAAGTGATCTGCCCACCTCGGCCTCCCAAAGTGCTGGGATTACAGGCGTGAGCCACTGTGCCTGGCCACGAAGTTCAGACCGTAGAGTTTTTCATAATGCAATTGAAACCTTATATTCTTATGTTTCGGACAGGCTGGGTACTTAACTTAAATCTTTGAAAAAAAAATTGAATTCAACTCTCAGAAAGCTTATGGCCTTTTGCAGAATTATAAGTTTACAAATACCTGCCATGCAACTTAGTGATAGATCAGATTAGAAAGGTGCAGCATGCTTCTTGTTTTAGCACGCCTGAAATAAAACTAAAAGAAACAAGAGTCCCTAGGTTTTGGTAGGCTAAATTTGTGTCTTGGCTTTTGATTCTACTGTCTCCCTTGTTTTTGACTCTTTTAGTAACCAAGCAACCTCTAGCCTCAGTCTTCATTCTCAGGGATGAACTCCTTAGAGTGAAGTCTTCACTGGTAGTTCCCAGCATTTTGAAATCTGAGAATTGCTTTTAAAGTAAAAAATGTTGGCTGGCCTCCACACAATAGTAGTTTTGAAGTGTTTGGGAACTGCATCATGATGAAAACAATCAGATTTGTATTTTTAATCATTATAGCAGAAGCTACAAACATTTTAAGAATACAAGTACACATGTGGACAAAACATTCTTTATTCTATAGACAATGCTTGGTATGCATATGGGTTTGATAACCCATTTTTGATAATTCTAGGACCCTGCCACTCATAGAATTAGAGTCTTCTTTTTTTTTTTTTTTTAATTTGAGACAGGGTCTTGTTCTGTTGCCCAGGCTAAAGCGCAGTGGCGAGATCATAGCTCATTGCAGCCTCAAACTCCTGGGCTCAACCAATCCACCCGCCTCAGCCTCCTGAATAGCTAGGACTACTGATCTGCACCACCACACGTAGCTGAATTATAATCATTCTTGGGTCTACTTGGTGCAAAGTGAAGTGTAGAGACCTTAAATAATTTGGTCATTTGAGCCAAATGCCAACTTCCTCCTTCTGACTTGCCCTCTTTTTCCCTAAGAAATTTGGCAGTGTAGACCGAACTGTCTGCTTAATTCTGTTCCTGGATCTACAAAGTTAAAGCGAGGCCCAAGGATTACTCAAGCAAGTAACATCCTTTGAGTTATCTGAATCTGTGTCTGTTTTCTGACTGAATAAGATGCAGAGACCTGGCTAAATATTCAAGTAAGCCAAGAATAGAACAGAAAGATCATGGTATTCTCTTTAAACTATAGTCAAGATTGAAAGGAAGATGAATCTATGCCTTCCTCTTGCTTGGTTAGCCTTTTCCTGTTTTCTACTTATAAAAATCAAAGGGTAAGACAGACAATAGGCTAGATTTAAGATAGGCCCATACAAGGATCTCAGCAAGGATCAGAATGTGTTATTTCTGTACCCATTGTAGTGATGTCCTTGCTGTCAAAGCTACAGAAGATCAAGAATAAGTCTTCAAATGCAAGTCTGTACTACTGAATGAACAACTTTAAACTAAGATGAGGGACTTATTTTCTTTTTGACTTGAGCAAAAGGCTGTCACCTTGTTGTTCTGTTTCTGTTGTACCCTACCAAGTAAGGAGGATAATAATGGCATAAACATATCTCCTTGACACTAGTTAATCATGTCCAAGCTCTTGGATGAATCCCACTTTATTTTATATATTTTTTTGAGGTGGAGTCTTGCTCTGTCGCCCAGGCTGGACTGTAGTAGTGCCATCTCAGTTCACTGCAACCTCTGCTTCTGGCGTTCAAGCAATTCTCCTGCCTCAGCCTCCCAAGTAGCTGGGACTACAGGTGCATGCCACCACACCCAGGTAATTTTTGTATTTTTGTGGAGATGAGGTTTTGCCCTGTTGGCCAGGCTGAAATCCCACTTTATAAGTTCGAAGAGATAGACAAAAATATAAGTGGAGTCATACTCTATGCAAACTAGGTTTCCTGGCGAGCATCTCAAAAAATATTGAGTGAATAGATAAGGAAGTAAGGTGTTAAATCTGGTGACATACTCACAGCTCGTAGGTTTGAACTCTTATTTGGCTAAAATAAGTACTGGCCAGCCATGTTTTGCCCCCCCATCCACTACTGTGTGCAGTGAATTTTAACCTTTTTTTTTTTTTTTAAACAAAGGGAAGAAGAGTTCCTCTGCATGGAAAATGACACTTTTAAATATCAAACCCATTGCTTGGGCATACTCTATGATGACATTAGGGACTGAAATGCTGAATTCTGTCTTTGGTTTCTACTATGTGAAACTTTTTCTACATCTGTACAAGATTTCAGAAGTGGCCTTTTATCAAGCCCAGGTGAGATGGAATCTTTACTGTCCTTTCACATAGGACAGATCTCCTTCCTTTGAGGGAAAGAGAGATTTTTATTTTTTATTTTACTTTATTTTCTTTTATTTATTTTTTTTGAGACGGAGTCTCACTCTGTTGCCCAGGCTGGAGTGCAGTGGCACGATCTCGGCTCACTGCAAGCTCCGCCTCCTGGGTTCACGCCATCCTTCTGCCTCAGCCTCTCGAGTAGCTGGGACTACAGGCACCCGCCACCACACCCGGCTAATTTTTTGTATTTTTTAGTACAGACAGGGTTTCACTGTGTTAGCCAGGATAGTCTCAATCTCCTGACCTCGTGATCCACCCGCCTCGGCCTCCCAAAGTGCTGGGATTACAGGCGTGAGCCACCGCGCCTGGCCTTTTATTTTATTTTTTGAGACAGAGTTTTGCTCTGTCACCCAGGCTGGAGTGCAGTGCACAATCTCGGTTCACTGCAACCTCCACCTCCCCAATTCAAGTGATTCGCCTGCCTCGGCCTCCCCAATAGCTGCGATTACAGGCCCATGCCACTACGCCCGGCGAATTGTTGTATTTTTAATAGAGACAGGGTTTTGCCATGTTGGCCAGGCTGGTCTCAAACCCATGACTTCAGGTGATCTACCCACTTTGGCCTCCCAAAGTGCTGGGATTACAGGTGTGAGCCATCGCGCCCAGCCGGAAAGAGAGATTTTTAAAAGATTGCTAGTTAAAATGTAAAGGCATTAGAATTTAAAGAATAAGCTTAGGTTGTCTGGAAAATTAATTTATATGGAAAAATCAGTATTATTACTAAGATATCCAGTCTCTGTCCCTCTCTTTTTTTTTTTTTTTTTTCTGAGACTGCTCTGTTGCCCAGGCTGGTATGCAGTGGTGCAATCATAGCTCACTGCAGGCTTGACCTCCCTAGGATCAAGCAATCCTCCTGGCTCAGCTTCCTGAGTAGGATGACAGGTGTGAGCCACCACACCTGGCTATTTTTTTTTTTTTTTTTTTTTAGAAATAGGGGTCTCACTATGTTGTCCAGGCTGGTCTCGAACTCCTGGGCTCAAGCAATCCTCCTGCCTCAGCCTCCCAAACTGTTGGGATTACAGGCATGAGCCACTGTGCCCAGTCCTAAAATATTCTGTTTTGAAAAGGCCCACAGTATTCACAAATTGTGTTGTAACTCATTACCAATTAGGTGGCAGGCTGGAAGAGTTCATGGTTTTAAAACCCTTATATTTTATAATGTTACTCATTTATTACCAGTAATAACATACTAATTAGATTTAATTTGAAATGCCAAACATTGATATTTTAACCTTTCCTAATGAAATTATGTAAAACTATGCCTTGGTGTAAACAGGCCATCAACCTTTGCAGAGGCATGGCCCTGTGTGCTGTTGTTGGAAGGCAGTCTAGCACAAGATTGAAAGCACATGCTATGGGGTCGTCTACCTTGGGTTAGACCCTGGCTCTGTTGTTTATTAGCTAGGCAAGTTGCTTAACTTCTCTGGCTCTCAGTTTTCTCATTTGTAAAGTCAGAGTAATACTTGCCTCAAAGGATTGTTTTTTGTTTGTGTGTTTGTTTGTGATGGGAGTCTTGCTCTGTCACCCAGACTGCAGTGCAGCGGTATGATCACGGTTCACTGCACCTCGACCTCCTAGGCTCAAGCAGTCCTCTTACCTCAGTCTCCAAGTAGCTGGGACTACAGGTGCACACCACCATGCCCAGCTAATTAAATAAAAAAAATTTTTTGGCCGGGCGTGGTGCCTCACGCCTGTAATCCCAGAACTTTGGGAGGCTGAGGTGGGTGGATCACCTGAGGTCAGGATTTGGAGACCAGCCTGGCCAACATGGTGAAACCCCGTCTCTACTCTAATACAAAAATTAGCCAGGCGTGGTGGCATGCGCTTGTAATCCCAGCTACCCAGGAGGCTGAGGCAGGAGAATCACTGGAACTCTGGAGGCAGAGGCCGCAGTGAGCCAAGATTGCTCCACTGCACTCCAGCCTGGGCAACAGAGCAAGACTCTGTCTCAAAAAAAGAGAATTTTTTTTTTTTAATTTTAGAGATAGGGTCTCGCTATGTTGCCCAGCCTGGTCTTGAACTCCTGGGCTCAAGCAATTCTCCTGCCTTGGCCTCCCAAAGTGCTGGGATTACAGACATGAGCCACTGTGCTCGGCTAGGGTTTTTAAGGATTTGATAAAATAATGCACATAAACACTTATACAATGCCTGAATACAAAGTGAATGCAAGCCGGGCGCAGTGGCTTATGCCTGTAATCCCAGCACTTTGGGAGGCCGAAGCCGGCAGATCACGAGGTCAAGAGATCAAGATCATCCTGGCCAACATGGTGAAACCCCGTCTCTACTAAAAATACAAAAATTATTTGGGCGTGGTGGTGCGTGCCTGTAGTCCCAGCTACTTGGGAGGCTGAGGCAGGAGAATCACTTGAACCCGGGAGGTGGAGGTTGCAGTGAGCCGAGATCGTGCCGCTGCACTCTGGGCTGGCGACAGAGCAAGACTCCGTCTAAAAAAAAAAAAAAAAAAAAAACAAAGTGAATGCACATTGGCTTTTGAGTAGTATTTGCTGTTATTAAATTTTTAAGTAGTTCTGAAAACAATGAGCTTTTCTACTGATCACCTTCGGTTACTTCACGTAAGTAAAAAAAAAAAAATCAGGGGTCATTTTTGTCTTGTACTGAGGGCAGTAATTTGTTCTACTACACTGAAACATCCTGTGTGTTTTTTTCTTCCTAAATAATTTTAATGATATGGAATGTTCTTAATGACCTGACTGGATATTTTCCCAACAACTCTAAAGCCAAATGCTGTTCAAGTCATCATATTTCTGTCTTGTACTGTGTCCCTTTCTATGCAGCAGCCTTCCTGCTCCCGTGGTTCCCTTGGAAATACTATCAAGAAGGTGACTGGCTTAGTGGACTTCACCTGGTGGTATCATTATGTGCATTTGATAGCATGCCCACCTGTGTCCAACAAGCCCAATGTAAACTGTTTGCAGAGATTTTCACTAGACATGAAAGTCGGCTTCAGCTTATTAAAATTAACCAAGTGGCATCACTTGTGGGCTCTACCAGTATCCTTTTCTATGGCCTGATCTCTAATAACATGGAAATTTTGCCCCATTTCCAGGCTGTTGCCATCGTCATTGCTTTCCTTGCTGCTGCCAGCCTTTACGCTGGGATGTATCACGTGAGGCGTTTCAAACCTAAAAGAAGCCCCAAAGAGAACCTCCTCTTGGAATCTAAACAGAATCTCGCCTGGACTCCTGTCATTTTATCCGTGAGATAGATCTTGCCCCAGAAATACTTTTACCTTTTTCTGATCATGAATTTCTTTCAAGTCTTTAATTTAACCTTTTTCAGCAACTTCATGATGATCTTTGCAGATATTCTCATTCCCAGAGATGTACTATCTTCTTCTATAAGGAGCATTATGTACGGGGCAGGCTTTATTTGCCCACAGGTATGTAATAGTTCTTTATGTTATTTACTATTATTATAATTATTATACTTATGTTCTCTATGATTTATAATTTGTGATAATTTTTCCTGCAGGGATTAGAGATTTAACTCTTAGCTGGATGATGATATTAGAAACCTGATTTCATCAGTAGTTTGAAAAAGTGACACACAGTTTTTTTTTGTTTGTTTGTTTGAGACAGTCTTGCTCTGTCACCCAAGATGGAGTGCAGTGGTGTGATCTCGGCTCACTGCAACCCTCGCCCTCCCAGGTTCAAGCAATTCTCCTGCCTCAGCCTCCTGAGTAGCTGGGATTATAGGTGCACGACACCACACCTGGCTAACTTTTGTATTTTTGGTAGAGACGGGGTTTCACCATGTTGTTCAGGCTGGTCTCAAACTCCTGACCTCGTGATCAGCCTGCCTCGGCCTCCCAGAGTGCTGGGATTTCAGGCATGAGCCACCGCACCTGGCCGACACACAGTTATTAAAAGACCCATAGATTCAGAGCTCCACATATCATACAAGATTCAGTAGAAACATAATGGAAAAAAGAGACAAGGTCAAGCCCACTGGCCCATGCCTATAATCCCAGCACTTTGGGAGGCCGAGGCGGGTGGATCACTAGAGGTCAGGAGTTCGAGACCAGCCTGGCCAACATGGTGAAACCTTGTCTCTACTAAAAATACAAAAATTAGCCGGGCTTGGTTGCGGGCACCTGTAATCCCAGCTACTCAGGAGGCTGAGGCAGGATAATCGCTTGAACCCAGGAGGCGGAGGTTGCAGTGAGCTGAGATCGCACCACCGTACTCCAGCCTGGGTGACAGAGTAAGACTCCATCTCAAAAAAAAAAAAAAAAAAAAGAGACAAAAGGAAAAAAGGAAAGAGTCCCCAATGAGAACCGAATAATGTGATATTTTAAACATTTTTGCTGTGGAATTTTGTTCCTCTCAGCTTTCTCCTTTAAGCCTCAGCAGAACTATGGAAGAAAACAGCTTCCTGTGAGCGTGTCGTTTTGCTTTATTTGGGTGTTTAAGACTTCTGTGACCATCACATGGAAGAACAGTTAGTTGATCAAGTTTCAAAACACTTGGCTAAAAGCCTGAGTCCTGGAATTTCAGAGCACTATTAAAATTCCATGGTCATGATCATTATTGTAGAGGTCATGTCCTCTTAAAAAAATATACTGGTCTGCTGCTTATACCATTTGGAGAGCTGATATGTTGTTCCCCTTAACCTAAATATGTCCTCTAAAAATATGACTTTATCTTGCCTATGATAAAGGTTTTTCCTGTTTTCACAAATGATAAGCAAAACATCTTAGCAATACTCTTCAGGGAAGAGGTTATTCTAGATAGACTAGTTTTTACTGTTTACCAGCTTTCAAAAATCGTTAAGCCATTTGGGATAGAAATAGTTCTAAAATGTTTTAAGTGTTGCCACAATTTCTTTATTTCTATTTATTTATTTATTTATTTATTTAGAGATGAAGTCTCGCTCTGTCGCCCAGGCTGGAGTGCAGTGGCGCAATCTCGGCTCACTGCAAGTTCCGCCCCCCGGGTTCATGCCATTCTCCTGCCTCAGCCTCCCGAGTAGCTGGGACTACAGGCGCCCGCCACCACGCCCAGCTAATTTCTTTGTATTTTTAGTAGAGATGGGGTTTCACTGTGTTTGCCAGGATGGTCTCAACCTCCTGACCTCGTGATCTGCCCAGCTTGGCCTCCCAAAGTGCTACGATTACAGGTGTGAGCCACCACGCCCGGCCTATCTCTTTATTTTTTTAGAGACAGTGTCATGCCCTGTCACCCAGGCTGGCGTGCAGTGGCACAATCATGGCTCACTGCAGCCTTGATCTCCTGGGCTCAAGCTTTCCTCCTACCTCTGCCTCCTGAGTAGCTGGGATCACAGGCGTGCACCACCATGCCCAGCTAAGTTTTTTATTTTTTGTAGAGACAGTGTTTTTCAAGACCAGCCATGTTGCCCAGGTTGGTCTTGAACTCCTGGTGTCAAGCAGTCCTCCCACCTTGGCTTCCCAAAGTGTTGGGATTGCAGGCATGAGCCACAGTGTCCGGCCCACCACAATTTCTTAAGCAAAGTATATAGAATAGAATTTGCCTGTCTGCTATTATCCCAATGTCTTTATAATTACTGTATGTGCCATAATAATGGTAATCCACAGTTTTGAGTGTTTACCCTGTGCCATGGACCATTGCCAAGTGCATTGTGTACATTACCTGACGTGATCCTCATAACAATCTTGGAGGAAGAGATTCTTATTCTTACAGACGAGAAAAGGGAGATGGTACCTTTAGAGCTGTGTACTTTAAGATTCTGTCTCTAAAATGTACTGTGCTTGCATCATTTATTTAGCAGAGTATATCAAATGGAATTTCATGTCTGGCTTATCAGTATAGTCCATGTACTGTGTATGCATGATAAAATGATGCTCTCCTTTCAAAGCAATTTGAAGTTTGTTTGCTCCTCTGTTTAACCACCCAGAATGGGAAGCTGTTTGAGTTCCTGTCTCTGCTTATTATTTGCTATCATATTCTAGGCTATATATGCTTTCTTACTTTAAATCATGTATAATACTTGCCTATAGTTTATCCTCTTCACCAGGTTAAAAAAAAAATTGTTAAACTCTTATGTAAGCCTGGGTGTGGTGGCTCATGCCTGTAATCCTGGCTTTTTGGGAGGACGAGGCAGGCAGATTGCTTAAGCCCAGGAGTTCAAGACTGGTCTGGGCAACATGGCGAAACCCTGTCTCTACAAAATATACAAAAATTAGCCAGACATACTGGTGTGCTCCTGTAGTCCCAGCTATTCAGGAGGCTGAGGTAGGAGGATCACCTGAGCCTGGGGAGGACAAGGCTGCAGTGAGCCGAAATCACACTTATACACTCCAGCACGGGCAACAGAGTGAGACCCTGTTTGTCTCAAAACCAACAAACAAAAACTCTCGTGTAAAGACAAAGAGTAGGCTGGGCGCAGTGGCTCACGCCTTTAATCCCAGCACTTTGGGAGGCCGAGGCGGGCGGATCACGAGGTCAGGAGATTGAGACCATCCTGGCTAACACGGTGAAACCCCGTCTCTACTAAAAATACAAAAAATTAGCCGAGCATGGTGGCGGGCGCCTGTAGTCCCAGCTACTCTGGAGGCTGAGGCAGGAGAATGGCATGAACCTGGGAGGCGGAGCTTGCAGTGAGCCGAGATCGTACCACTGCACTCCAGCCTGGGCGGCAGACCAGCCTGGGTGGCAGAGTGAGATCTCTGTCTCAAAAAAAAAAAAAAAAAAAAGTAGATTTTTTTTCTCTTAACTCAGCTCAAGAACAACCAGCAAAGGTAGATTTTTTAAAAACAGTTTTGTTGAAATGATTCACATACCATACCTCATTTAAAACATACAATTCAACAAATTTTAATATATTCATGGAGTTGAGCAACCAGCACTACAATCATTTTTAGAACATTTTTATCATTTTGAAAAGAACTAGTCAATTTTTGAGGAGTTGAAATTCTTGAAAGTACAATCTCATTGCACTTTCCCCTCATCCCTTGGTTACCATCAGTCTACATTTTGTCTCTATGGATTTGCTTGTTCTAGACTTTCATATAAATTGAATCATATAATATGTGGTCTTTTGTGACCAGCTTCCTTCACTTAGCATTTTTTTTACACTAGATGTAATTTGATGTACACTTAGCATGTTTTTAAGATTGTAGTATGAGTACTTCATTCCTTTTAATAACTTAATAAGTCATCATATGGCTATAACACATTTTGTTTATCCACTCCTCAGTTGATGAGCATTTGGGTTGTTTCTGCTTTTTGACTATTAACAAGTAATGCTGCCATGAACATTAATGTACAGGATTTTTGCACAGATATATATTTTCATTTCTTTTGGGCATATATCCAGGAGCGGAATAGTTGTGTCTCACATAGTAACTCTATGTTTCACATTTTGCGATACTGACAGACCATTTTCCACAATTGGTGCACTATTTTACATTCCTACCAATAATGTACAACGGGTCCAGTTTTTCCAAATCCTCACCAATACTTGTTATTATCTGTGTTTTTGATTATAGCCATCCTAGTGTGTGTGAATGACATCTCATTGTAGTTTTGATTTGCATTTGCCTGATAGTTAATGATGTTGTGCATCTTTTTATATGCTGTTGGTCATTTGTATATGTTCTTTAGAGAAATGTCTATTCAGGCCAGGCGCGGTGGCTCAAGCCTGTAATCCCAGCACTTTAGGAGACTGAGGCGGGTGGATCACTGGAGGTCAGGAGTTCAAGACCAGCCTGGCCAACATGGCGAAACCCCATCTCTACTAAAAAATACAAAAATTAGCTGGGCGTGGTGGTGGGCTCCTGTAATCCCAGCTACTCGGGTGGCTGAGGCAGGGAGAATTCCTTGAACCCTGGAGGTGGAAGTTGCAGTGAGCCGAGATCATGCCACTGCACTCCAGCCTGGGTGACAGAGTAAGACTGTCTCAAAAGAAAGAAAGAAATAAAGTAAAAGAGAGAAATGTCTATTCAGCCCATTTGCCCAGTTTTTAATAATTAGGTTGTCTTTTTATTTAGTTTACTAATACTCGAGTTGTAATAGTTCTTCATATTAATATATGTTTGATGCAATCTGTTATCAGATATTGTTTGCAAAATTTTTCTCCTGTGGGTTGTCTTTTCACTTTCTTTCTTGATGAGATTGAGAAGTATGAGTCTTCCTACTTTATTCTTCTTTTTCTTTTTTATTTAATTTAATTTTTTTTGAAACAAGAGTTTCAGTCTGTTGCCCAGGATGGAGTTCAGTGTCGCCTTGACCTACACTGCTCACTGTAGCCTCGACATCCTCAGCTGAACCAATCCTCCCACCTCAGCCTCCTGAGTAGCTGGGACTACAGGCATGCGCCACCACTCCCAGCTAATTTTTAAAAATTATTTTTTGTAGAGATGGGGCATCACTATGTTGCCCAGGTTGACCTCAAACTCCTGGTCTCAAGTGATCCTCCTGTCTTGGCCTCCCAAAGTGGTAGGATTATAGTCGTGAACCACTGCACCCAGCCTCGTTCTTCTTTTTCAAGATTGACTTGGCTATTCTGAGTCTCTTGCAAATCTATATACATTTTAGAATCAGTTTGTCAATTTCTACAAATAAGTCAGCTGGAATACTGATAGGGATTGCACTGAATTTGTAGATCAGCTTGAGTAGTATTGCCATATTAATGATGTTAAATCTTCTGATCCATGAACATGGGATGTTTTTCCATCTATTTAGATGTTTAGAAATTTCTTTCAATATTTTATAATTTTCCCCTTCTTTTGTTAAATTTATTCACAAGTATTTATTTGTTTATTTATTATTGATTTATTGAGATGGAGTCTCACTCTGTCTCCCAGGCTGGAGTGCAGTGGCGTGATCTCGGCTCACAGCAACCTCCGCCTCCCAGGTTCAAGCGATTCTCCTACCTCAGCCTCCCGAGTAGCTGGGACTACAGGCATGCACCACCAAGCCCAGCTAATTTTTGTATTTTTAGTAGATATGGGGTTTCACCATGTTGGCCAGGCTGGTCTTGAACTCTTGACCTCAAGTGATCCACCCGCCTCGGCCTCCCTAAGTGCTGAGATTACAGGTGTGAGCCACCATGCCTGGCCTTTTTTTTTTTTTTTTAATCTTTTAGAGACAAGGTCTCACTCTGTCCCCCAGGCTAGAGTGTAGTGGCATGATCATAGCTCACTGCAGCCTCAAACTCCTGGGCTCAAGGAATCCTCCCACCTCAGGTTACTGAGTAGCTAGGATTACAGGCATACACCACCATGCCTGGCTGACTTAATTTCTTGGTAAAGATGGAGTCTCGCTATATTGCTCAGGCTGGTTTTGAACTCCTGGTCTCAAGCAATCTTCCTGCCTCAGCCTCCCAAAGTGCTGGGATTACAGGTATGAGCCACTGTGCCTGGTCATTAACAGGTTTTAATATAAGCTTCTGTTTTTGTTTTTCATGCTTTATTTAATATTTGGAAAAATTTAAGAGTTGAAAGAAAGGCAGGATTTTTCTTGTAGCTTTATTGCAGTATGATTGACCTACAAAAAAAACTGCATGTATTTAAACTGTATAGTTTGATACATTCCAGCATATGTACACACCATGAAACCATCACCACAATTAAGATGGTTAACGTATCTATTATTCCCCAAAGTGCCTTTCTGCTTCTTTGTTAATCCCTTCCTTCCACCCTTCCCTAACCTCCCTAATTCTCAGGCAACTGTCGAGCTACTTTCTATCAGTATAGATTTGTTTACATTTTATAGGTTTTTATATAAGTGGAATCATACAGTAATGTACTATTTTTTGGTCTGGATTCTTTTGGTCATGTTGTGAGTATCCATATTTAATTCCTTTTTATTGCCAAGTAGTATTCTATTATGTGGGTATACCACAATTTGCTTTTTTTTTTTTTTTTAAATAATTCCTCCCCCTCCGCCCACGTTTTTTATCATTTCAACTTTTATTTTAGATTCAGGGAATATATGTGCAGGTTTGTTATGTGGGCGCATTGTGTGATGTTGAGGTTTGGGGTATGATTGATCCTGTCACTCAGGTAGTGAACATAGCACCCAATAGTTAGTTTTTTAACCCTTGCCCCCTGCCTTTCTAGTATTCCCCAGTGTCTATTGTTGCCATCTTTTTGCCATGAGTACCCAATGCTTATCTCCCACTTATAAGAGAGAACATGTGGTATTAGCTTGTCTGTTCCTGTGTTAATTTGCTTTGGATAATGGCCTCCAGCTGCATCCATGTTGCTGCAAAGGACATGATTTCATTCTTTTTATGGCTATGTGATAGTCCATGGTGTATATGTGCCACATTTTGTTTACCCAGTCCACCGTTGGTGGGCACCTAGGCTGATTCCATGTCTTCACTATTGTAAATAGTGCTACAATGAACAGGAGAGTGTATGTGTCTTTTTGGTAGAGCAATTTATTTCCTTTTGGATATAAACCCAGTAATGGGATTGCTGGGTCAAGTGGTAGTTCTGTGTTAGGTAGTTTGAGAAATCTCCAAACTGCTTTCCACAGTGGTTGAACTAATTTACATTGCCATCAACAGCGTATAAGTGTTCCCTTTTCTCTGCAGTCTATCTGTCTGTTGGTTTTTTTTTTTTTACTTTTAGCAATAGCCATTCTGATTAGTGTGAGATGGTATCTCATTGTGGTTTTGATTTGCAGTTCTCTGATGATTAGTGATGTTGAGCATTTTTTCATGATTGGCTGCTTATGTCTTTTTTTGAGATGTATCTGTTCATGTCTTTTGCCCACTTTTTAATGCAGTTGTTTGTTTATTGCTTGGTCAATTGCTTAGGTTCCTTATAGATTCTGGATATTAGACCTTTGTCAGGTGCATAGTTTGCAAGTATTTTCTCCCATTCTATAGGTTGTCTGCCTACTCTGTTGATAATTTCTTTTGCTGTGCATAAGCTCTTTGGTTTAATTAGGTCCCACTTGTCAATTTTTGTTTTTGTTGCAATTGCTTCTAAGGATTTAGCAATAAATTATTTCCCAAGGTTGATGTCCAGAATGGTGTTTCCTAGGTTTTCTTTTAGGATTCTTATAGTTTGAAGTCTTACATTCAAATCTTTAATCCATCTTGAGTTAATTTTTATATGTGGTGAAAGGTGCAGTTTCAGTCTTCTGCATATGGCTAGCCAGCTATCCCAGCACCATTTATTGAATAAGGAATCCTTTCCCCATTGCTTATTTTTGTTGATTTTATTGAAGATCAGATGGCTGCAAGAGTACAGCTTTATTTCTCAGTTCTCTGTTCTGTTCCATTGGTCTATGTGGCTGTTTTTGTACCAGTACCATGCTGTTTTGGTTACTGTAGCCTTATAGTACGATTTGAAGTCAGGTAATGTCACTGGCTTTGTTCTCTTTGCTTAGGCTTGCTTTGCTATTTGGGCTCTTTTTGGTTCCATATGAAATTGCAAATAGTTTATTCTAACTCTGTGAAAAATGATGTTGGTAGTTTGATAGGAATAGCATTGAATCTGTAGATTGCTGTGGGCAGTATGGACATTGTAACAATATTGATTCTTCCAATCCATGAGCATGGAATGTTTTTCCATTTGTGTCATATATGATTTTTTTCAGCAGTGTTTTATAGTTCTCCTTGTAGAGATCTTTCACCTCCTTGGTGAGATGAATTCCTAGGTATGTTAATTTTTTCTGTGGCTACTGTAAATAGGATCGCATTCTTGATTTGGTTCTCAGCTTGAACATTATTCATGTAAAGAAATGCCACAGATTTTTGTACATTGATTTTGTATCCTGAAACTTTACTGAAGTCATTTATCAGTTCCAGGAGTCCTTTGGTGGAGTCTTTAGGGTTTTCTATGTATAGAATCATATTGTCACCAAAGACAGATAGTTTGACTTCTTCTCTTCCTATTTGGATGTAATTTCTTTCTTTCTTTTGCTTGATTGCTCTGGCCAGGACTTCCTTCTTTCATCTCTTGATGGACATTTGGGTTGGATCTGGTTTTTGGCTGTTACAAATAAAGCTATGAGCATTTTGTGTCTTTGTATGGATATATGCTTTCCTTGCTCTTGAGTAAATACCTAGGAGTAGAATGGCTGGGTTGTATGGAAGGTAGATGTTTACCTTTCTCTTTACTTTTTTTTTCCTTTTTTTGTTTGAGACAGAGTCTCATTCTGTCGCCCAGGCTGGAGTGCAATGGCGCAATCTCGGCTCACTGCAAGCTCCGCCTCCTGGGTTCATGCCATTCTCCTGCCTCAGCCTCTCGAGTAGCTGAGACTACAGGCTCCCGCCACCACGCCTGGCTAATTTTTTGTATTTTTATTAGAGATGGGGTTTCACCATGTTAGCCAGGATGGTCTCGATCTCCTGACCTCGTGATCCGCCTGCCTCGGCCTCCCAAAGTGCTGGGATTACAGGCGTGAGCCACCACGCCTGGCCGGTATGTAGTATCTTACTGTGTTTTTGATTTACATTTTCCTAATGACTACTAATGATGTTGAGCATCTTTTCATATGCTTACTTGCCATCCATGTATCTTTTTGGTTATTTATTAAAATAATTTGTGTCTTTTTAAATTGAGTAATTAGTCTTCATATTATTGAGTTGTAGGAGTTATTTGTATATTCTAGGCACATGTCTTTTGTCAGATATATGATCAGTAAATACTTTCTCTTAGTCTCTCTTGGTTACTAGTTGTTAAGAGAAGTATAGCCAAAAGATTTTAACAGTCATTTTTCTTAAGCCCTCACAAAAACATAGGACTTTCTATTGATCTCAATAAAAAATTATTATAAAATGGAAATCCAGGTCTGGCCCAATGGCTAACACCTGTAATTCCAGCACTTTGGGAGGCTGAGGCAGGAGGATTGCTTGAAGCCAGGAGTTTGGGACCAGCCTGGGCAACACAGCGAAACCCTGTCTCTACAAAAAATAAAAGAAAATCCAAAGTTGCTTGAAATTTATTCTTAATTTCTAGAGAATTAACACGTGTAAATTATTGTGGTAAAAAATGACAGCTTGGCCAGGCGTGGTGGCTCACGCCTGTAATCCCAGCACTTTGGGAGGCTGAGGTGGGTGGATCATGAGGTCAGGAGTTCAAGACCAGCCTGCCAAGATGGTGAAACACTGTCTCTACTAAAAATACAAAAAATTAGCCGGGCGTGGTGGTGGGTGTCAGTAATCCCAGCTAGTTGGGAGGCTGAGGCAGAGAATTACTTGAACCTGGGAGGTGGAGGTTGCAGTTAGCCGAGACGGTGCCACTGCACTCCAGCCTGGGTGACAGACTCTGCCTCAGACAAAAAAAAAAAATAATGACAGCTCATTGGAATCTGTTGTTCTTGTTATTCATTTGGCTAAGTCTCTTTAACACTTTATTGGATAAAATAATGAAGGGTGAGCACTATGTTTTCATTTTCTCTTTCTCTCTCCGTCCTCCCTCCCTCCCTTTCTCCCTTCCTCTTTCTTTCTTTCTTTCTTCTTTCTTTCTTTCTTTCTTCTTTCTTTCTTTCCTTTTCTTTCTTTCTTACCTTTTCTTTCCTTTTCTTTCTTTCTTTTCTTTCTCTCTCTCTCTTTTTCTTGAGACAGTCTCTCTCTCTCTCTCTCTCTCTCTTTTTCTTGAGACAGTCTCGCTCTGCCACCCAGGCTGGAGTGTGATGGCATGGTCTCAGCTCACTGCAATCTCCGCCTCCCAGATTCAAGCAATTCTCCTGCCTCAACCTCCCAAGTAGCTGGGATTACGGGCATGTGCCACCATGCCTGGCTAATTTTTGTATTTTTAGTAGAAATGGGGTTTCACCATGTTGGCCAGGCTCGTCTCCCAACTACTGACCTCAAGTGATCCACCTGCCTCGGCCTTCCAAAGTGCTGGGATTACAGGCGTGAGCCACCGCACCCAGCCCTCAGGCTGGTTTTCTTTTTGAGGAGTTGAATAAATAAAGGAGAAAAGGATGAATAAATACTCTGTCTCCCTAATAACTGTTGGTATAGGTCTGTCACTCTTCCATATTACACTCCCCAGAGAGGCAGAGGAGTAACTGGGTTAAGAGCATGGATCTGCAGTCTGCCCAGGAGGAGCCTGGCTCTCCACTTACTAGCTGTGCAATCCTAGGTAAGTTACTCAACCTCTCTGTGCCTTAGTTTCCTCATCTGTAAAATGAGGATCAAAATAGTACCTACTGGTCTGGGCACAATGGCTCCCAGTACTTTGGGAGGCTAAGGTGGGAGGGTCACTTGAGCCCAGGAGTTTAAGACCACCCTGGGCAACATAGCGAGACCCTGTCTCTATAAAAAATTTAAAAAAATAGCCAGACATAGTGGCACACACCTGGAGTCCCAGCTACTTGGGAGGCTGAGGTGGGAAAATCGCTTGAGCCCAGGAGGTCAAAGCTGCAGGGAGCCGTGATTGTGCCACTGCACTCCAGCCTGGGTGACAGAGCAAGACCCTGTCTTAAAAAACAACAAAAAAATAGTGCCTACCTAAGGAAATTATTATGAGGGTTAAATGAATTAAAACATCCAAAGTACTTAAAACGGTTCCTGGCACAAAATAAACCCTCTAGAAATGTTAGCTCTTATTATGTACAGCCAACTCAGTGCAGCAGGTATCTATTAGACTTTCACTGTGAGCACAGCACTGCCTTTATCCCTCTGTCTTGATGTAGGCTCCTTTGCCACAGGTTTGCCAACACTTATGTTGGAACACACTGTTGAATGGGGAGCCAAAATCTTTCATCTGTAGAAGGCTTTATTTTAGTTAAAAAAAAAAAAAAAGGCGGTCTTTCTCTTTTCTTTCATGATTTTTGTGATACTACTCATCATTGGCTTATATCTTTTTATATATTGGACACAAGAAAAATAGCTACCAATTATTAAGTGCCTTATATGTTGAGTATGGTGCTAGGTAAGAGAAGAGAAATGGAAGAGAGCAAGAGTGAGAGAGAGAGAGAGAGAGAGAGAGAGAAAGTTTGTCTTGGTGGGGGAAATGCCTCTTAGGTAAAGTAACTTGTCTGTGAAGAAATAGCTGGTAAAAGTGGCAAAGCTGGAATTTAAACCTAGGGACATCTGATTTCAAAATCTTTCACTTTTTAGCCAGACGTGGTGGTGCATGCCTGTGGTCAGCTACTTGGGATGATTGCTTGAGCCCAGAAATTTGAGACCAGGCTGGGCAGCATAGTAAGACCTTGTCTGTAAAAAAAATCTTGCACATTCCACTCTACCACATATTTCTTACATTATTAACTTCTTGTATTTTGTATGTTTATGTACTAGAGATGGAGAAACAGCAGCTGCATTTCAATATGTGGAAATGTGTTCCTTTATAATATTATAATAATATTTAAGAATATAATTGGACTTGTTGGGGTATTTTATATACTTCCTCTTACAGAACTCTAAGAAATGCCTTGGACCACATCAATCACTGATCCATTGTTTTTTAGTATCCAGAAAATGAACTCTTGTTCCTTGAAAGTAGAAAAGTCAGTCAAAAAATCAGTCAGGGTAAAAAAAACCCTTATGTTTATTAAAGAACATCTGTATTCTACTTACATCATTCAAAATTCTCTTCTAACTATAATGCACATACTTTTGGTTAGTGAAAACTTATCAGGGATAAACAATGTGTGCTTTTTTATTGAAAACAAAGAGTATCTTCTGATCTTTGTTAATGTACATATGTATATTTAGCATAAACTTTTCAGTCTAGAACAATGAACTTTTTCACTGATAGCAAGAAATGCAAAAAACCTAAGTCTGAGCTCTTAAAATGAATCTGTTATAATGATAAAAACATATAAAGTTAGGCAGGGCACAGTTAGCAAGGAATGCTAACTCTTGTTTACCCTGATGCTTGATTTTAGGGTAAAAAGTACATTTCAGGCAAGATGTGGTGGCTCACGCCTGTAATCCTAACATTTTGGGAGGCCGAGGCAGACAGATCACTTGAGCCCGAGTTTGAGACCAGCCTGGCCAACATGGTGAAACACTGTCTCTACTAAAAATACAAAAGTTAGCCAGGCACAGTGGTGCTTGCCTGTCATCCCAGCTATTCAGGATGCTGAGGCATGAGAATTGCTTGAACCTGGGAGGCAAAGTTTGCAGTAAGCTAAGATCATGCCACTGCACTTCAACCTGGATGACAGATTTGAGACTCTGTCTCAAAAAAAAAAAAAAGTTACCATTCATAATCAATTTTTGGTATATATGGATAATAATGGCATATCTAAGCAAGATAGTTTTAATTGTGTGTTTCAATTGACACTATAATTCAGAAGCAAATTTATTTATTTATTACATATTTTTTGAGACAGGGTCTTGCTCTGTCACTCAGGTTGGGGTGCAGTGGGTGTGATCATAGATCATTATAGCCTCAACCTCCTGGGCTGAAGCAGTACTCCAACCTGAGCCTCCCTAGTAGCTGGGACTACAGCTGTACATCACCACACCTAGCTAATTTTTGTATTATTTGTAGAGATAGAATTTCACCATGTTGCCCAGGATGGTCATGAACTCCTGGGCTCAAGTGATCCTTCTACCTTGGCCTTCCAAAGTGTTGGGATTATAGGCATCAGCCACCACACCTGGCCAGCAATTTATTTTGCAATAAGAATGTTTATTTTGTCATCAGCAAGAGTAAGTAAGCTTAATAATGCGTGGAGTTCCATCTTAACACAATGCCATTCTGTTTCCATTTCAGTGCCTTGTACTTATCAGTCAGTCCTGGCTGAAAAAGTTTGATTACCATAAGATCATCTTAATTTCTTTCTATGTAGAAGGAACAGCCTCCATTGTAATGTTACTCCTGGGAAAGCAATACTATTACTGTTTGGCTCTTTATCTCACTATTATCATGTAAGTAAATGCTGGTTCCAGTCTCAAAATTACACTAAATTTTACTATTTGCCCTTTCAAGCAGTGACACATTTTTGATCCGGACTGAGTTTAATATTCATTTCTAGGCAAGGTCATTGTACCTTTTTGACAAATTGTCTGAATGTTAATGGCTTGTTTTATGAAGGAATTTCATACATTAAATTTTGTAGTAAACTTACTTTTTTTTAACCTATTAAAAAATTTACTTGGAAGGCTAAGGTTGGAGGATTGCTTAAGGCCAAGAGTTTGAGACTAGCCTGGGCAACAGAGTAAGACCGCATCTCTATAAAAAATTAAAAAATTTTTTGGTGGCACATGCCTGTAGTCCCAGCTACTCTAGTGGCTGAGGCAGGAGGATCATACTTGAGCCCACGAATTCAAGTCATAGTGAGCTACGACTGCACCACTGCACTCCATCCAGCCTAGGTGACAAGAGTGAGACCCTGTCTCAAAAATATATTTAGTAAATACTGCTGCCACGTATAAAAGACACTGAGCTTCTATTTCTCCTTCAACTCTTCCTCCTATTTCTGCAACCTCTCCTCCTCCCCCAAGCACCCACTTTGCCTCCATCACAGGCATGTCAAATTCTGCAGGTCCAAATCAAAGATCTTGCTGCCAAATCTGCTCTTTTGCCATTATTTGCCATCTCGGGAAATGGCTTTGCCATCTATCTGGTTGCCCAAGTCAGAGACCGAGAAGTTGTCTTTGCCTTTTCTCTCTTCTTTGACACCTAGGTCCAACACACTGTTAATTGTTAGCAGTTTTATCTCCCTAATGTGCCCTGAATCCATCTCTTCTCAGTTCCACTGACATTCCTATAGCTCATTTCTTACATGGAATAGGATACAGTCTTCCCATATGATCCCCTAGTTTATAGTCTCCAGTCTCTCCAACTCCCTCTCTCATATTGCTTCTAGAATAACATGCTCTTCCTTTGCTTAATAATCTTTTTTTTTTTTTTGAGATGGAATCTCACTGTGTCGCCCAGGCTGGAGTGCAGTGGCACGATCTTGGCTCACTGCAAGCTCCGCCTCCCGGGTTCACACGATTCTCCTACCTCAGCCTCCCAAGTACCTTTAATAATCTTAAGTGGCTTCTTATTGCTTTCAGGGTATTTCGAAATGATGACATTATGATGTCTTGTTATATAGTCCCTCTTTATCTTTTCGTCTTCATTTCTTTTTTTTTTTTTTTCTGAGACAGGGTCTTGCTCTGTTGCCCAGGCTAGAGTACAGTGGCACAAATATGGCCCACTCTAACCTCCACCTCCCAGGCTCAGGTGATCCTCCCACCTCATCCTCCTAAATAGCTGGGACTACAGATGTGTACTACCATGCCCAGCTTAATTTTTATTTTTTGTAGAGATGGGTTTTTGCCATGTTGCCCAGGCTGGTGTTGAACTCCTGGGCTCAAGCGATCTGCTCACCTTGGCATCCCAAAGTGCTGGGATTACAGGTGTGAGCCACTGTGCCCAGCCTTCATCTTCATTTCTTGTTACTCCTCAACTTACACTGTACTCTCTGCCATACAGAAATACTTTGCAGTTCCTGGTTCAGACACCTCTGTGTCTAGAAGATGCAGTTTCCTGTGCCTGGAAAGCTCTTCCCCATTTCTTGCTTGGCCCTGTCCTCACGTGTCTTAGGCCACAGTTCGGGCATGTGCTTCTCTGGGAAGCCTTCCCTGATTTCCTCATCTGGATTAGGTGGCCCTCCTATATGACTCCAGTGCCCTATGCTTACTTCTGCTGTGGTGCTTTTCCTCTACCTGCGACTATCTGTAGTCCCCACTGGATTGAGTTTATTGTGAATAGGGTCTAGTCTCTTACCACTGCGGCCCATTACCTACTGCAGTTCCTGCAAATAGTTGGTCCTTAGAAAATGTGTTTTGGGCCAGGCACAGTGGCTCATGCCTATACTTCCAGCACTTTGGGAGGCTGAGGTGGGAGGATCACTTGAGCCCAGGAGTTCAAGACCAGCCTGGGAAACATGGCAAAACCCTGTCTCTACACAAAATAAAAATTTAGCCAGGTGTGGTGGTGCACTCCTGTAGTCTCAGATATTCAGGAGGCTGAAGTGGGAGGATCACCTGAGCCCAAGAGGTGGAGGCTGCAGTGAGCTGAAATCATGCTACTGCACTCCAGCCTGGACAACAGAGTGAGTCCCTGTCTCAAAAAAGAAAAGAAAAGAAAAGATAATGTTTTTGTTTTTGTTTTTTGTTTTATTTGAGATGGAGTCTCACTCTGTTGTCCAGGAGTGCAGTGGCGTGATCTCGGCTCACTGCAACCTCCACCTCCCAGGTTCAAGCAATTCTCCTGCCTCAGCCTCCCGAGTAGCTGGGACTACAGGCACCAGCCACCATGCCTGGCTAATTTTTGTATTTTTAGTAGAGACGGGGTTTCACCATGTTGGCCAGGCTGGTCTTAAACTCCTGACTTCAAGTGATCCACCCACCTCGTCCTCCCAAAGTGTAGGATTACAGGCATGAGTCACTCATTTTGAGTGAATGAATTAATACATTCTATTCCAGGTCCCTGCTGGAACAACTTGAGAAAATTTTCATGAAGACATATTTGCATTTTGAACAAACTGGTAGTGGAGACTGTAATAATTGACTCAAATGATTGAATCCCTATGAAACTTCAAGACATTAGAACCCCATGCAGATAACTATTCTATAAGTCTGTAAGGGTGGCCCTGGCTGTATAATATGTAAAATGATAGTTTATAGTAATTTTTAGAATGAATATTTTTGCTTTTTCTTCACTTAAACCATCCCCCTCATTTTTATTCTTCTATCATAATTAAAATGCTATATGCCCTTTCTCAGTTCTTAATGTATCCTATTTCTGATATCAAGAGAAAGATGTCTGTGTGATTAATTTCCCTGGCACTTCCTGTCCTTTAGAATCTATTAATAATTTAAGCAGATTAAATGAGTTTAGTCATTTGGAATGAGGAAGAAGCATAAAAATCATTTTTAAAATTCCCAAGTGAAAGTAGTTATTTCACTTTTAAAAGAGAATTATATATTCATAGATATATAATATTTGGGAGGATAGAAGGGTATGCCTAATATAGCTTTACTTTTATAGTATATCATTTCCTTTTATCTTCTTGCAAATCAAATGTCAACTTTCATTTTATTCTTTTTTAACAAAAGCTGTGCCTCCTAGTTGTAAAATTTTCATATGTGTTTTAACATTTTTTCTAGGGTTATCGTGTGAGCTTCGGTTTCCTTGTTTACCCTGCCACTAGCTGACATGGTTGATGCAGATTTACTAAAGTTTAATCAGCAGTAAGTATACTTTTTCAAATGTTAGCTACAAAAATATCACATGTAGGCAGGACCTATCAGAGTCTCCATATCTCAGTTATATTGCCACTACAAATCACATATCTGAAAGACAATCATAAGAGGCATTGCTAGGAACCAGGGGACAGAATATAATCAGATATATTCATGCTTGTTTGCCCTGGGCAACTTTTCCCCATTTCTAAAACGACATCACAGTTTTTCATTTCTCAGGTTCACACAGCCAATATTACAACAGGGTTAAATATCAGAAAGCAAAGTGAAATCTCAGTTAGCTGTATGTTCTACATATGGCAATATGCTTTATTACATGGGACGATTAGGTAAAATGACCTTTACTCTGTGACATTGCAAGAATTAAAATTAAAAATCAAGGTCCATCTTATCCTTTCTTAGCTGAAAAAGCCTAAGCTGATGATGAGAGGTTCTGTTCTTTGGTATGATTGTAAGCACTTTAGATCAGCTATAAAGTGTATTTGATTGGCAAATATTTTCTCATACGTGTCCTATTTTGCAGATTAGAGAGAAATGTATTATTTTAAGACAGAGGCACATTGTTTTTTTTTTTTTTTTTAGATGGAGTCTTGCTCTGTCGCCCAGGCTGGAGTACAGTGGTGCAATCTTGGCTCACTGCCACCTCTGCCTCCCAGGTTCAAGCGATTGAGTAGCTGGGATTACAGGCACGTGCTACCACGCCTGGCTAATTTTTTTGTATTTTTAGTAGAGACGGGGTTTCATCATGTTGGTCAGGCTGGTCTCAAACTCCTGACCTGATGATCCACCCACCTTGGCCTCCCAAAGTGCTGGGATTACAGGCATGAGCTACTGCGCCCGGCCAGACAGAGGCACATTCTTTATTAGTTCTGTCAAAACATTTATGCTGCAAAACCTCTTTTGTTTGTTTGTTTGTTTTCAAGACAGGGTCTTGCTCTGTTGCTCAGGCTGAAGTGTGGTGGTGTGATCATAGCTCATTTCAGCCTCAAACTCCTGGGCTCAGGAGATCCTGCTGCCTCAGTCTCCTGAGTAGCTAGGACTATATAGGTGCACACTACCAGGCCCAGCTAATTTTTAAATATATATATGTTGTAGAGATGAGGATCTCGCTATGTTGCCAAAGCTAGTCCTGAACTCCTGGTCTCAATCGATCCTTCTGCTTGGCCTCCCAAAAGTGCTGGGATTATGGATGTGAACCACTTTTATTTTTAATGCAAATAATAAAATAGGGCGCCCAGCCCCCTCTTTTATTTTTAATGCAAATTAAATTGAGGAAAGATTTGCCAGCTACCTGGATTTCTCTAATTCCTTTCCTGTTGCAGAGTTTTGTTGCTAAGTTCATATTTGGGGTGATAGGCAAGGTGGTGAGCTCCTTACAGTCCAGGGCGCTATCTTCACTTTTGTCTCCTTTGTACCTGGAAAACTGACTGGCTCAAAACTCCTTCTGTTGAATGAATACATAAACAAGCAACAACTTCAGTAAACATTTTTCACCTTTCAAATTCCTTTTGAATTAGATAGGTTACAAATAAATAAAATGTCTTGAACAGTGAGAAAGGGAAAGGCATTAACATTTACCAAATGCCAATGTCCAAATGAGCTTGTATGACTGTTTGCTCATTCAGGTCTTGCAGCAGCCTTGAGTGGTAGACATTATGGACTTGACAAATATTTATCGATTTATTCTTTTGTGTCAGGCAATGTGGTAAATGCTGAGGATTCAATACAGTGGGTCTTGTAATGAACTCTCCAAGTTATCTGATGCTCTTCCTTCTCTCTAAAACAGGGGTCTCCAACCCCTAGGCTACAGGCCAGTACCGGTCTGTAATAATATTAGAAATAAAGTGCATAATAAATGTAATGCACTTGAATCATCTCAAAACCAACCCCCCTGGTCCGTGGAAAAATTGTCTTCCATGAAACTGGTCCCTGGTGCCAAAATGGTTGGAGACCATGGCTCTAAAATGTACTTATTCACATGTGCGCAGTAGGTTTGTGACCAAATGGCTACTCTTGAGGACACCTGTACTTTTCTACTCCCATGATTCAGTGTATCATTACCAAGGGTCAGTGTTTTTTAATTCAAATCTCTTAATGTCAGACGTACTTGTTACTGCAATTGCAAAATTTAATTGTACTTATATTTTATAAACAGGAAATATATACGTGAAATGAAAGTTACTTTTATGAAAATTAAGTTGAATGCTTTAGGAAGACTCGATATTGAGTTGTAGGGTCAAGCATTGTGGCTCACGCCTGTAATCCCAGCACTTTGAGAGGCTGAGACAGGAGGATTGCTCAAGGCCAGAAGTTTGAGACCAGCCTAGGCAACATACAAAAGAAGAAGGAGAAGGAGAAGAGAAAAAAATTGAGTTGTAAACAATTACTATCACGTTTGATACAGTGGAAACTAAATGTTTTGAGGGGAAAGTCAAAGAAGTCTAAAGATATTTTGTACTGAGTTTGCTTCATAAGTGACTTGAGGTTCTCTTTATAATTGACAGTAGAAACTGTCTATCATGTAATATGGATCCTGTTTATACAAGAAAGATGGCACAGCACTTTCTTTTTTTTTTCTTTTTTTTTTTTTTTTTTGAGATGGAGTCTTGCTCTGTGGCCCAGGCTGGAGTGCAGTGGCACGATCTCTGCTCACCGCAAGCTCCGCCTCCTGGGTTCACACCATTCTCCTGCCTCAGCCTCCCAAGTAGCTGGGACTACAGGTGCCCGCCACCATGCCCGGCTAATTTTTTGTATTTTTAGTAGAGACGGGGTTTCACCATGTTAGCCAGGATGTTCTCGATCTCCTGACCTCGTGATCCACCCGCCTCAGCCTCCCAAAGTGCTGGGATTACAGGCGTGAGCCACCGCGCCCAGCCGGCCCAGCACTTTCATCAGTGGACATATACTCAGCGAAAAACCCAAAGAAAAGATTTATGAATGAGTATAGTTAAGTTAAAATGGAATGGTTACTGTCTCTTCTTTTAAAAATGATTTTTTTGCTTGAGCCAACTGTCTCACTAATCATGTCAGAGAAGACAAAAACCAGTGAGCAAAACCGGACATAGCCTCTGTCCTTGTGGTACTTATAGTCTAGTTGGGGAGATAGACAGCAATTGTATTGTCAGACAATCAAAGTTATCCCCATTTTCAAGAAACTAAGACCTTGCAGAAATTAATGTTCCCAATGTTCTGGTTAATGTAACCAGCAGACTGAAGAACAGACAATCAAACCCAAGCTCTTACCATCAAATTAAATTTCCTCTAATTCTCAGACCTTGCCTCTCTTTTATTTTTTTCCCTCCCTTTCTTCTTTTTTCTCCTTCCTGTTTTCTTTTTTCTCTTCCTGAGTTGCAAGGTTTCCATCATTAGTTGATATGTGACAAGATTTCAGTTTATTCAGTCAATGCACTTGATTTATTTTATGTGACCTGATTATTTAAAAAAGTTATATGGAGGATTCTTATCAGGAATACATTAAAGTAGTCCTTAATAAAACTTGGTCAAAAAAACTTAGGCATGAATCCCAGTTTTACCATTTACTAGCTGTGTGACTGTGGATGAGTTAATCTGCTTTCCCATCTCTAAAACAGAGCTGGTAATATCTCACTCATGGGATTGTCATGGGATTTAGATGAAGTAATAAGAGCCCATAACAGAGTACAGGGCACAAATAGCGTTCACTGCATAGGCCTGTAAGAGGTGAGCTGTGTCTTCCCTTTGGATCTTAGTTTCTTCATCTAAGAGTTAGGTTCTGCTAGGTATGGTGTCTCACACCTATAATCCCAACACTTTGGGAGGCCAGGGTGGGAGGATCGTTTGAGTCCAGGAGATCGAGACCAGCCTGGGAAACGTAGAGAGACCCCATCCCGCCCAAAAATACAAAAATTAGCCAGGCATGGTGGTGCATGCCAGCAGTCCCAGCTGAGGCTGAGGTGGGAGGATCGCTTGGGCCTGGAAGTTCAAGGCTGCAGCAAGCTGAGATTGTGCTACTGCACTCCAGCCTGGGAGACAGAGTGAGACCCTGTCTTAAAAAAAAAAAAAAAAGTTAGGTTCTGGCTGGGCGCCATGGCTCATGACTATAATAATCCCAGTACTTTTGGGAGGCCAAGTTGGGAGGATGGCTTGAGGCCAAGAGTTCAAGACCAACCTGGGCAACATGGCAAGACCCTGTCTCTAAAAAAAAAAAAAAAAAAAAAGAGTTAAGTTTTTCCCACCATGGCACATGTATACCTGCGTAACAAACCTGCATGTTCAGCACATGTATCCCAGAACTTAAAGTAAAATAAAAAAAAATTTAAAAACAGTTAGGTTTTTCTAGTTTTATAATCCTTTATAACTAAAAGGTTAATATTTTATAATACTATACTATTTTTATTGTTGTCTACTTAGGATTAAGGAAGACTTCATACACAAAGAGATTCCTGATTCAAATTGTATATATGGATATATATATATATATACACACACACACGTAGTTCGTATGTGATATAGACCCATGCTATTTTTGTCTGTTCCAGGTCACCCCTTCCTTCAGTGGTTTTTGGCATTAATGCTTTGTTTACCAAATCTGCCCAGTCTTTAGCGCCCATGGTGATACTCTCTAGGCTAAACCAGTATGAATATGGAAACACAAATAGCAGGTAAAGTAAAAAAAAAAAAAAAAAAAAAAAGCTCTTGAAATAATGTAAAAGAAACATGAAAGCAAACACAGCCTTTTACGTTAATTACTAAGCAATTATCTTGACCTTTGTATATTATTAGTCACTAACTTGTATCTTGAGTAAGGTATAATAAAAAGTATTAGTATCAAATGGACTTTCATAGGAGTATCTTTAAGTATCTTCTTTAAATTATGTACATACTAAATGTCTTCACACTAAGCTACATATTAATTACTTTATCTGAGTTATTCATTCATTTACTATTTCATTTCACAAATGCTTTTGAGTACCTGCGATTATAGTCCAGGTACAAAAGTCCTTTGAATACAGGATGAATACAAACCTTCTAAGGGGCCATACAGATTACACAAAACTGTGATAAGGGACCACCAGAAGTATAATTGGACTGCAGTAATTCAGAGAAGAGATTCCTACCTGGTCTGCCTACGGTCAGAGTGTACTTCACAGAAGAGGGTTTCTTCAGCTGAGTTTTGGAGGCTGAGTGGGATTTTTCTCCTGAACATGGAGGAATGTCATTCCAAGTAAAGAAAACAGCACAGCAAATATCTGGAAGCATGTGTGAACTTGCCATAAGCTATTCATTTATTCATCCAATAAATATTGAGATCCTACCAAGTGCTGAGCTCTGTGATATGGCAGTGAGGCGTAGCAGTAAACAAAACAGCAAAAATCTCTGCCCTCACAGAGCTTACATTCTAATGGGAGGGAGGCAGACCAAGAAATGAAATAAGTAAAATATATAGTATGTTAGATGGTTATGAACTCTCTGGTAAGAAACAAAGCAAGAAAGAAAATAGGAAGGGTTGGGGGAAGCTGCATTTTTTTTTTTTTTTTTTAATTTAGAGACAGGGTCTCACTCTGTCGCCCAGGCTGGTGTGTAGTAGTGTGATCATAGCTCACTGCAGCCTTGAACTTCCAGGCTGAAGTGATCTCCTGCCTCAGCCTCCTAAGCAGCTGGGACTACAGGCACGTGCCTCCATGCCCTGCTAATTTTTAAAAGTTTTTAGGAGAGGCGTGGTCTCGCTGTGTTGCCCAGGCTTGTCTTGAACTCCTGGACTCAAGCGATCCTCCTGCCTTGGCCTCCCAAAGCACTAGGATTACAGGTGTGAGCCACTGTGCACAGCTAAAGCTGCATTTTTAATTAGAGTGATGGGGAAGACCTCACGAAGAAGGTGACATTTGAATAAAGACCTGAAGGAAGATGGCAGGGAACCAGGGAGGCTCTCTCAGGGAAGAATGTTCCTGGGAGAGAGCACAGCAAGTGCAAAGGCCCAGAGGTGCAGTGTGCCTGGCATTCTGGCTGGCAAGGAGGCCAGCATGGCTGGAGCAAAGTAAGCAGGAGGGAGGGAGGCAGGAATGGGGAAGGAGGCCAGATTGCATAGGGCCTTGCAGCCCTGTTTGTTACTTTGATTTCACCGTAAGGTGAAGGAGATGGTGAAATAGTGAAGGATTAACTGACTGACTTAATAGACTTTGTTTTTCAAAGCAGTTTTAGATTCACAATGAAATTGAGCAGAAAGTATACAGTTTCCATATACCCCTGTCCCCGCACATGCACAGCCTCCCCCATTGTCAACATCCCCCACCAGAGTGTTACCTTTGTTACAATCGAAGAACCTACACTGACACATTATTAGAACCCAAATTCCATAGTTCACATTATGGTTCATTCTTTGTGTTGTGCATTCTGTGGGTTTGGGCAAATGTATAATGACATGCATCTATGATTGTAGTATCATAAGGAATAGTTTCACTGCCCAAAATATCCCCTGTGCTCTACCTATTCATCCTTCCCTCCACACTGACCCCTGGCAACCAGTGATCTTTTTACTGTCTCCATAGTTTTGCCTTTTCTAAAATGTTATCTAGTTGAAATCATATAGTATGTTATCTTTTCATATAGGCTTCTTGCACTTAATAATATGCAATTTAAGTTTCTGGTAGGTCTTTTTATGCCTTGATAGCTCATTTCTTTTTAGTGATGAATAATATCCATTGTCTGGATGACCCACAGTTTATCCATTCACCTACTGAAGAGCATCTTGGTTGCTTCCAAATTTTGGCAGTTATGAATAAATCTGCTGTAAATATCTATGTACAGGTTTTTGTGTAGACATAAGATTTCATTTCATTTACGTAAATGCCAAGGAGCATGATGGCTGGATCACATGGTAAAAGTATGTTTGCTTTGGTAGGAAACTGCCAAACTGTCTTCCAAAGTGGCTATACTATTTTGCATTCCCACCATCAATGAATGAGAGTTCCTGTTGCTCCATATTTATGCCAGTATTTAATGTTGTCAATCTTTTGGGTTTGGGCCCATCTAATAGGTGTGTAGTGGTATGTCATTGTTTTAAATTTGTAATTCCCTGATGACATATGAGCATCTTTTCATATACTTATTTGCTATCTGTATATCTTCTTTGGTAAGGTGTCTATTCAGGTCTTTTGCCCTTTTTTAAACCAAGTTGTTTGTTTTCTTATTGTTGAACTTTAAGAATTTTTAGTATATTTTGGATAATAGTCCTTTTTCAGATCCTGCTTTTGCTAATAGTTTTTCCCATCTGTGGCTTGTCTTCTCGTTCTCTTGACAGTATCTTTCACAGAGCAGCAGTTTTTTTAAGTTTCGCTTATCAGTTCTTTCTTTCATTGACCATGCCTTTTGTGCTGCTGTATCTAAAAAGCCATCAACATCCCCAAGGTCACCTAGATTTTCTCCTGTGTTATTTTCTAGGAGTTTTCTAGTTTTGCATTTTATGTTTAGGTCTGTAATCCATTTTGACTTAATTTTTGTGAAGGGTATATGGTTTGGGTCTAGATTCATTTTTTTGGCATGTGGATATTCATTATTCCTGCACTCTTTGTTGGAGACTATCTTTCCTAATTGTATTGCCTCTGCTCCTTTGTCGAAGATCAGTTGACTATATTTTTATGGGTCTATTTTGAACAATAGAACTAAATAGTCCTATTGTTCTATTCTTTCATCAACACCACACTTCTTGATTACTGTAGCTTTATAGTAAGTGTTGAAGTTGGGTGTGTCAGTCTTCTGACTTTGTTCTTTTCTTTCCATATTGTCTTGGCTATTCTGGGTCTTTTGCCTCTCCATATAAACTGTAGAACAAATTTGTCAGTATCCAAAAAATAACTTATGGGGATTTTGACAGGGATTGCATTGAATATATAGATCAAAGAAGAGCTGATACATTAGAATATTGAGTCTTCTTATCTACGAACATGGACTATCTTTCCATTTATTTTGATCTTCTTTTATTTCTTTGATTTTTTTTTTTTTTTTTTTTTTTTAGACGGAGTTTCGCTCTTGTCACCCAGGCCGGAGTGCAATGGCATGATCTCAGCTCACCGCAACCTCTGCCTCCCGGGTTCAAGCAATTCTCCTGCCTCAGCCTCCCAAGTAGCTGGGACTACAGGCATGCGCCACCACACCTGGCTAATTTTTGTATTTTTAGTAGAGATGGGGTTTCACCATCTTGGCCAGGCTGGTTTCGAACTCCTGACCTCATGATCCACCCGCCTTGGCCTCCCAAAGTGCTGGGATTACAGGCGTGAGCCATTGCGCCTGGCCTGATTTCTTTGATTGATTGATTGATTTTTAGAGATAGGGCCTCATTCTATTGCCCACACTGGAGTGCACTGGTATGATCATAGCTTACTGCAACCTCAAGCTCCTGGGCTCAAGTGATCCTCCCATCTCAGCCTCCCAAGTAGCTGGGACCACAGGTGTGCACCACCATGCCCAGCTAAACTTTTTTTAGAGATGGGGTCTTGCTATGTTGCCGAGGCTGGTCTCAGACTCCTGGCCTCAAGTGTTCCTCCCACCTGAGCCTCCCAAAGCACTGGGATTACAAGCTTGAGCCATGCCCAGGCTGATTTCTTTAATTAGAATTTGTAGCTTTCCTTATATGGATCTTGTACTTATTTTGTTAGACTTATACTGAACTATTTCATTGGAGGGTGCTAATGTAAATGGTATTGTGTTTTTACTTTAAAATCTACTTGTTTATGGCTTGCATATAAGAAATAGATTGACCTTTGTATGTTAATCTTGTATTTTGCAACCTTGTTATAATTGCTTATTAGTTCCAGGAGAAAGTTTTTTTTTGTTTATTATTTTGGGTTTTCTACATAGAAAAGGATATTGTTTGTTTTTGAGACAGAGTCTTGCACTGTCACCCAGGTTGGAGTGCAGTGGTGTGATCTCAGCTCTGTACAACCTCTGCCTCCCGGGTTCAAGAGATTCTCTTGCCTCAGCCTCCCAAATAGCTGGAATTACAGGTGCCTGCCACCACACCCAGCTAATTTTTGTATTTTTAGTAGAGATGGGGTTTCACCATGTTGGCCAGGCTGATCTCAAACTCGTGACCTCAGATGAGGTAATCTGCCCACCTCAGCCTCCCAAAGTGCTGGGATTACAGGTGTGAGCCACTGCACCAAGCCAGATTTTTTTTTTAAGTTTTTCTTACAACTTTTCCTCCATTCTTTTATTTATGAACATTTTCTTTTCTTTTCTTTTCTTTTCTTTTTTTTTTTTTGAGACCGAGTTTCGCTTTTGTTGCCCAGGCTGGAGTGCAATGGCGCGATCTCGGCTCACCGCAACCTCTGCCTCCCAGGTTCAAGCAATTCTCCTGCCTCAGCCTCCTGAGTAGGTGGGATTACAGGCATGCGCCACCACATCTGGCTAATTTTGTATTTTTAATAGAGACGGGGTTTCTCCATGTTGGTCCGGCTGGTCTCGAACTCATGACCTCAGGTGATCCACCCACCTTGGCCTCCCAAAGTGCTGGGACTACAGGCGTGAGCCACCATGCTGGGCCAAACATTTTCAAATATACAAAAAAGTTTTAAAAGTTACACAGTAATCTACATTCAACTATTTATAACCTACTGTATTAATTTTATCATGTATTAATTAATGTATCCATCCTTCTGTCAATTAAACCATCTTATTTTCCTCACAACTTTTTATTATAAAATTTTCCAAATATAAAAAAAGTTTAAAGAAAATTACAGAGAAAATACATGCATATACCCACTTCTTAGATTCATCAATTGCTGACATTTTACCATATTTGGTTTATCTGTATCTCTGTGTGTATGCATATTCTGTTCTCTGGACTATTTATTTTTATTTTCTATTTTTATTTTTAGAGATGGGATTCTGCTTTGTCACCCAGGCTGAGAGTGAAGTGGTACAATCATAGCTCATTGCAGCCTCAAACTTATTTATTTACTTTTTTAGAGATGGGGTCTTGCTGTGTTGTTCAGGCTGATCTCCAACTTCTGGCCTCAAGTGATCCTCCCACCTCAGTCTCCCTAGTTGCTGGGATTACAGGTGTGAGCCACTGTGCCCGGCCACTTTATATGTTGAAGTTTGTGTCATGTCATGACATAAGGTGCTTTCTCATTCTTCCTTTTTTTTGAGACAGAGTCTTGCTCTGTCGCCCAGGCTGGAGTGCAGTGGCATGATCTCATCACACTGCAAACTCCACCTCCTGGGTTCAAGCGATTCTCATGTCTCAGCCTCCTGAGTAGCTAATTTTTATATTTTTAGTAAAGACAGGGTTTCACCACATTGGCCAGGCTGGTCTCAAACTCCTGACCTCAAATGATCCACTTGCCTTGGCCTCCCAAAGTGCTGGGATTACAGGTGTGAGCCATCACACCTAGCCTATATATCTTTTTTTTTTTTTTTTTTGGAGACAGGGTCTTGCTCTGTCTCCCAGGCTGAGTACGGTGGCTCAATAACAGCTCATTGCAGCTTTGAACTCTTGTGCTCAAGGGATCCTTCTGACTCAGCCTCCCTAGTAGCTGGGACTGCAGGTGCACGACACTGTGCCTGGCTAATTTTTAAAAATTTTTGTAGAGACAGGGTCTCACTAGATTGCCCAGGCTAGTTTGAAACTCCTGGGCGCAAGTGATCCTTCCTCCTTAGCCTCCCAAAGTGCTGGGATTACAGGCGTGAACCACCGCATCCAGCCTTCTCTGAACCATTTTAAGTTAAATTGCAGATCTAGTGGCATGTCACCCCTGATAGTTAACCATGCATCTCCTAGAAATTAAAAAAAAAAACAAAAAAACAGAAAAAATGGCGACTGGACAGTTTTTAGTTTTGAGCGGGGGTAATTACCTGATTTGACTTACCTTTTTTTTTTTTTTTTTTTTTTTTTTGAGACAGAGTCTCATTCTGTTCACCCAGGCTGGAGTACAGTGGTGCAGTCTCGGCTCACTGCAACCTCTGCCTCCTGGGTTCAAGTGATTCTCCTGCTTCAGCTTCCTGAGTAGCTAGGATTACAGGTGTGTGCCACCACATCCAGCTAATTTTTGTATTTTAGTAGAGACGAGGTTTCACCATGTTGGCGAGGATGGTCTCGAACTCCTGACCTCAGGTGATCCGCCTGCCTTGGCCTCCCAAAATGCTGAGATTAAGGTGTGAGCCACCACGCCCAGCCTTGACTTACTTTTTAACAGCCTCCCTTGGGGTGCCAGCCTCCCTTGGGGTGCTGTGTAACGAATAGACTGAAAGGAGTTAGGAGAAGTCACATGGAAGAACCTGTTGATTAGTGACATGAGTTACAGCACAATTGATGGCAGCTAGAGGGGGTGAAGTCGAAAAGTCAATCAGGGCTGATGATGTGAAGGATCTGTACACTGGATTTAGAAGATGTATGTGCTTTTAATCCTATACATTAGGGTTTCACAAATATGATGAATTTTTGACATTTGTTATATGAGTACTCTATGTACTAATATTTACTCAGTATTTTTCTTTAAATTTATTTTAAATCACTAACTTAAAACAAATCTTAACTGCCATAAGAAAAAGCAACCATAAAATCATTCATTTGGTAGGTTTCAATTTTTCTAACGCCAGTAAAATAAAAAGAAATGGCTGGTGGCTCACTCCTGCAATTCTAGCACTTTGGGAGGCCAAGGCATGATCACCTGAGGTCAGGAGTTCGAGACCAGCCTAACCAACATGGTGAACCCCCATCTCTACTAAAAATACAAAAGTTAGCCAGGTGTGGTGGTGGGCGCCTGTAGTCCCAGCTACTCGGGAGGCTTAGGTATGAGAATCGCTTGAACCCAGGAGGTGGAGGTTGCAGTGAGCCAAGATTGTGCCACTGCACTCCAGCCTGGGCTACAAGAGTGAAATTCCATCTCAAAAAATAAAAAATAAAAATAAAAAGAACTATTATGTATCATGTAAAAATTATCATGTGTGCCAGCAGGGGTCCAGATGCTGTACTTTGGGAAAGACCACTCTAGGTAAAGGGAAATCACTGAAGATTTGAATGCATGAGACAAACATCATCTGAGCCAGGCATAGTGGCTCACACCTGTAACCCAGCACTTTGAGAGGCCGAGGCAGGTGGATTGCTTGAGGCCAGGAGTTCAAGACCAGCCTAGCCAACATGGCAAAACTCCATCTCTACTAAAAATACAAAAATTAGCTGGGCGTGGTGGCATGCGCCTGTAGTCCCAGGTACTCGGGAGGCTGAGGCACAAGAATCGATTGAACCAGAGAGGCAGAGGTTGCAGTGAGCTGAGATGGTGCCACTGTACTCCAGCCTGGGCAACAAAGCAAGACTCTGTCTCAAAAAAAAAAAAAAAAAAAAGAAAGAAAGAAAAACATGATCTGAATTTTGTTTTAGAACAATCTGTTTATAGTGTAAAAGAAGCACTGAAGGCTTAATTACTAAATGGAAAAATGAAGGCTTAACTACTAGTTGCCTACTATATCATAAGTGCTCAGAATATGAAGATAAATAAAATAGGTTGCTGCAACTAGCTGTTTACAATCTAGTAAAGGAGACAGACATGAGGAGAGATTTTTGCAGCACGAAATAGTAGATACTATGATTAGAAGTATATATAAGATATAATGGTGGCTAAAAGGTGGGCATGATCATCACTGTCTTGGGAACCAAGTCCAGGAAGGCTTCACAGAAAAAAAAATGCTTCAGCCAGGTTTCAGTGGAGGCATAAATACTGTGCATGGGGCCAGGTGCCATTGCTGATGCCTGTAATCCCAGTGCTTTGGGAAGCTGAGGCAGGAGGATCCCTTGAGGCCAGGAGTTTGAGACCAGCCTGGGGAACATAGCAAGATCCCCTCTCTACAAAAAATTGAAAAATTTGCCGAGTATGGTGGTGCACAGCTGTAATCCTAGCTACTTGCTAGGCTGAGGTGGGAGGATTGTTTGGGCCTGGGAGTTGGAGGCTGTAGTGAGCTATGATTGTGCCACTGCACTCCAGCCTGTGTGACAGAGCAGGATCCTGTCTCAATAATAATTATAATAATAATACTGTGCATGGAGATTGGATGTATCCAGTGAAGAGAAACAGTATAGACATATGTGCAACGCATAGATGTGTAAAATGATACAGCATTCATTCAACAAATATTAACACCTACTACGTACCAGGTCCTGTGCTAAACCCAAAGGAAAAAGAGGAAAAGATGCAGCCCCCACTCTGAATAAGCTCACAGTCAATTATAGTGAGAATCTTAATGTTGGATGCTAGGTGCTATTACAGATGTAAGTGTGGGCTGTTGAGGGAGTGCCCACTGGCTTAGCATACAATTCAGACTGAGGAGAAAATAAATGATCTCTCTAATGAATTTTGAAAATTCATAGTAGCAGGGAGTCTGTGCAAGCACAGAGAGGCATGAGGTTGTAGGACATGATTGGAGGAATGGCTGATGGTTTAGTAGTAGAGCTTGAGAAGTGTAGACCTGATCCTAAAAGGAAAGGAGCATTATAATTATTAAACCAAGAAGTAATAATATCAGATTTGCCTTTTAAAAGATAACCCTGGGCTGGGCGTGATGGCTCACGCCTGTAATCTCAGCACGTTGGGAGGCCGAGGTGGGTAGATCTCTTGATCTCAGGAGTTCGAGACTAGCCTGGGCAACATGGTAAAAACCCATCTCCACAAAAAATGCAAACACTAGCCGGGCATGGTGGCATGCACCTGAAGTCCCAGCCACTTGGGAGGCTGAGGCAGAATAATTGCTTGAACTCGGGAGGTGGAGGTTGTAGTGAGCCAAGATTGCGCCACTGCACTCCAGCCTGGACGACAGAGCCAGACCCTGTCTCAAAAAATAAATAAGTAAAAATAAAACATTAGGCCGGGCGCGGTGGCTCACGCCTGTAATCCCAGCACTCTGGGAGGCTGAGGTGGGCGGATCACGAGGTCAGGAGATCGAGACCATCCTGGCTAACATGGTGAAACCCCGCTTCTACTAAAAATACAAAAAGTTAGCCGGGCATGGTGGTGGGCGCCTGTAGTCCCAGCAGCTCGGGAGGCTGAGGCAGGAGAATGGCGTGAACCCGGGAGGCAGAGCTTGCAGTGAGCTGAGATTGTGCCACTGCACTCCAGCCTGGGTGACAGAGCAAGACTCCGTCTCAAAAAAAAAAAATAAATAAATAAATAAAATAAATAAATAAAATAAAAGATTACCCTGAAGTGTGTTTTGAAGGGATGTTAGCTGGATTGCAAAGAACAGTTAGAAGGCTAACAAAGTGATTTTATATGAGGAATGCTGGTTCCACTGGTTAATATTGTGCATGGGGCCAGTGTGGTGGCTCACGCATGTAATCCAAGCCCTAAAGCAGTGGAAGACAGAAGGCAAGAGGAGACTGACATGAGAGATTAAGGAGTTAGAACCGCAGAACTCAGTGGTATCTCATTATAGAAGCATGGCTCAAAATTGGGTAATTGTGGCTAAGAAATGAGTATCTGAATGAAGGAAGTGAATGTGGACTGTCCTGGACCGCATTTCTTCTGTAGAATGTAATTCTTCCTCAGACTCATCTTCTCCATTTTCGAGGTGACTGTTTTCCACCTGAACTGGGGACATTGCTTGAAATCCAAGTAGCAGTAAAAGCCTCAAGCAATATTGTAGTAGAAAACCCTGGTGATGGTCAAGTGTGGTGGCTCTCATCTGTAGCTCTCATCTTCCAGCACTTTGGAAGGCCAGAGCAGGAGGATCACTTGAGGCCAGGAGTTTGAGACCAGTCTGGGTAACATAGCAAGACCCCATTCCTACAAAAAAAATTTTTTTTAATTACCTGGGACTGGCCGGGTGCAGTGGCTCATGCCTGCAATCCCAGCACTTTGGGAGGCCGAGGCAGGCAGATCACAAGGTCAGGAGATCGAGACCATCCTGGTTAACACAGTGAAACCCCATCTCTACTAAAAATACAAAAAAAATTAGCCAGGCATGGCGGCAGGTGCCTGTAGTCCCAGCTACTCGGGAGGCTGAGTCAGGAGAATGGCGTGAACCCGGGAGGCAGAGCTTGCAGTGAGCCAAGATTGCGCCACTGCACTCCAGCCTGGGTGACAGAGCCAGACTCTGTCTCAAAAAAAAAAAAAAAAATTAGCCGGGAGTGGTGGCACATGCCCATAGTCCCAGCTACTTGGGAGGCTGAGGTAGGAGTATCACTTGAGCCCAGGAATTCGAGGCTGTTGTGAGCTATGATCTCACTACTGTACTCCAGCCTGGGCAACAGAGTGAGAGCCTGTGTCACAATCAATCAATCAGTCATTAGGCTGGGCTCTGTGACTCATGTCTGTAATCCCAGAACTTTGGGAGGCTGAGGCAGGCAGATCACCTGAGGTCAGGAGTTTGAGACCACCCTGGCCAACATGGTGGAACCCTGTCTCTACTAAAAATACAAAAATTAGCCGGGCGAGGTGGTGCGTGCCTATAATCCCAGCTACTCAGCAGGCTGAGGCAAGAGAATCATTGGAACCCGGGAGGCAGAAGTCACAGTGAGCCAAGATCACGCCACTGCACTCCAGCCTGGGCAATAGAGCGAGACTCTGTCTCAAATAAATAAATAAATAAATAAATAAATAAATAAATAAAATTAAAACCCTGGTGGCTAAAAGAGGACAGGAACAGAATCTGGAATAGAAAAGACCCAAAGCCCTGTATTTCCTGTTATAGCTTATTTGCTGATAGATGTCAGAGCAATGGAGGAATGGCAAGTGTGTTTTTAACCTATCTCTCTGAATTTTCTTTGTATTCTCAAAGAACACGAAGGCCCTAAAGCAATAGTTCTCAACCTTGTTGCACATTAGAATCACTTGGAGCCTGAAAAAGTCCTGATGCCCAGACCATACCCTAGACCAGTTAAATCAGAATGTCTGGGGCGTGAGATCCAGGCATATGTGTTTTTTTAAAATATAAAACAATACTTCATTTCCTTTATTACCTAGTTGTATCGTTAAAATAAGAACAAATACAGTGGAATGGAATACTTCATATGACTTCATGTGAAAAATACTTCATTATACAATAAACAACCCTCATGCATTTCAACATTGCCACCAGTAACACTAAAGACTCCCAGTTCTATTCATATGTGATCATCACTGCCCTACACCCCAACCCCAGCTCCTCCAAGCTTCAACAGGCATCAGTATTTTTCGTAGCCCCTGGCTTATTCCATCATGCAGCCAATGTGGGAATCTAGAGATTGACTTCCTTGGAAACAGAGGCTCTAGAGACTAATTCTTATTGGCTCAGCTATAGACACGTTGGCAGCCAGACACGTTGGCACACTAGTCTCATGGTACTATAAGCATTTTTTAGAGGTATAAACTCAAACAGCACACTCAAGTGTCATTTATCTTTGAGTGATAATTTAACAGTTGGCATTTGGTGGCCCCACATAGCTAATGCTAATCTGAAAGTGTCCAACTGAAGTCCACAGGTTAATTGCACACTTAGCAGGATATGGTGTGATGATCAGAGAATTCTTTGAGATTCACCAGTGTAAAGAATTTAGCAAAAATGTGGCTGGGCATGGTGGCTCTCGCCTGTCATTGGATCCCTTGAGTCCAGGAGTTCAAGGCCAGACTGGGCAACATGGTAAGACCCTGTCTCTACAAAAAATACACAAATTAGCCACATGTGGTGGTGCACACCTGTAGTTCCAGCTACTCAGGAGGCTGAGGCAAGAGAATTTCTTGAGAATTTCTTGAGCCCATCAACAGGTTTTGAATGTTCCAGTCTTTTTTTTTTTTTTTTTTTTTTTTTTTTTTGAGTCAGGGGTCTCATTCTGTCACCCAGGCTGGAGTGCAGTGGTGCGATCATGGCTCACTGCAGCCTCAACCTCCTGGGCGCAAGCCATCCTCCCCTCTCTGCCTCCTGAGTAGCTGGGACAACCATGCCCGGCTAATTTTTTTTACAAGACCACTGTTAAAAGCCCGGAAGAATCCTGCAGCTCGCTGTGGTGGGCTGTTTTGCGTGTGCTAGAGTCTATTCAGCATTTCAGACAGAAAAGCCTCAGCATTCCTCTTCTGTGGGTCTCCACCGTAGCTCCTTTGAAATCTCTGCTTTCTCACACTTTCCCATCTGAGTCTTTGTGCCATGGCCGTCCCCTCCTCTCCAATACGAAGAGCCCACACTCAGTTTCCCTCCCTCCTCCTCCATCCCACACTGCCCGAGCACCTCACCTCCCAATGACTGACTCGTCCCCGGTCTTGCACACACCTGGGGAGTGTAGCTGGCCTGTCCTGCACACCAGCCTTGCAGGCTCAGTGAGTAGACCATCCTTGTCTGCTCTTGCCGGGTGCAGCTGTGTGTAGTGGCCCAAGGGGGGGTCATCTGGGAGGGCACCAGGAAGCATAAGTGACATGCACCATGAGGAAGCGTAAGTGATGTCCACCACAAGAGGTGTGGGGAGCGGCAGCAGCGCGTTCATCCACTGTGCTTGACTTTGTTTATTTCCCCGATGACCTTTTCCCGGACTTCCTAGCTGGATCTCCGTGAGTGCCAGGGCTGGGTCTGGGAAGGGTTTGGGACCCAGCACATCACCTGGCACAGTCAGTGTTTGCTCAATATTTGCTGAGAGAAAACCCCAGCCATGTCACCGACTTACAATAGGAGCTTCTCGTACGGAGCAGAAATGTGTTGTTGCCTGTGGCTTTGCAGGAGCTCCGAGCAGTGGCGAGAGGAAGTCATGGGTGACCATGGTAGGCATTACCGCCTGATGGGGTTGCTGGCTGGTCCTGAGCTCATCACCGTCCATCTCCTGCATCCACAGTGATTTCTATTAAGTGCAGCTTTTCGTCAGGCAACCACCAACGGCACTGAGGGGTGGGATGATGGCAAATTGACCAAAACGCTCAGGGGGTGCTAGCCACGCGGCGGGTGCAGATGTGGACTCCCCAGCCCCACGAGCTTGGAGTGCCATTCAGCCCCGCTGCACCCCCGTCTGTCTCCAAGGCGGAGGAACTGGGGTGGGAGGAGGAGGCACAGAGCTGTCTGAACACAGCTAGAGCCACTCACTGGCCCCTGCAGGGGAGCAACGCAGTGGGGAAGCCTGGAGGGAGGGAAGGTGCAGTTGCAGTGGGTGGGCACGGGGGCTCAGCTACTGGCACAGAGAAACACAAGGGAACTACGAAAGAGCAGGAGGGAGGACGCGGGGGTGGGCGCAGGGCTGGAGGACCGGGTGGTCCACAAGGTGGTCAGGACCTCAGCTGGTGGCTGGGCTTGGGAGGGGCTGGCATGGAGTCACGGGCCACCATCCCCTAAGTGTTTCCATAGGCAAGGTTCTCATTCCCCTAGTCAGGGGAGGGGACGGGTACAGAGAAGCGCAGCAATGAGCCAGGAACAGAGCTGAGATGAAACCTCAGCCTCCCGTCTTCAGAATGAGAATTAATCCACAGAGGAGCTAAGGAAAATGCCGGGCACCGAGTTGACGGGTGAGGGGTGTGAGCCATGTGGCCGGCATGGCCGCCCCACCACCAGCTCCATCCTGAGCACTTCACAGACATGGCCCTCTTCATCCACACAACTGCCCCAGGAGCCACTGAATGAGGCTCGATGAAACCTCAACTCGCGTTGCAGCGCACGTCTGATCACACTCGCCTTTGATCACTTTTATCACTGGGGATCCTGCAGTCAGGGCTTTGTGTCTGCAGCGGTCCCTGGGAAACAATCTACAACTCGAAGCTCCACCAAACTCACTCAGAGTCACAAAATTTCTATCACTGACTGCTTTCCTCCAAGGCCCAAACTGGATTTATAAACTTCCAAAGAAAACTTCATATTGAAAAAGCGATGTACCCACAGCATTGTAGAACGATGTTCACAAAGGAAAAACAAGGCCGGGCGTGGTGGAGTGAGGCTCTAGTCCCAGCTACTTGGGAGGCTAAGGTGAGAGGGTGGTTTGAGCTCAGGAGAAGCTTGCAGTGAGCCCAGATGCACTTCAGCCTGGGCAACAGTGCTAGATCCTGTGTCAAAAATAATTTTTTTTTTTTTTTTGGTGGCTCACATCTGTAGATGCAGCTACTCAGGAGGCTGAGGTGGGAGGATCAATTGAGCTCCGGAGGTCGAGGCTGCAGTGGGCTGTGATTGCACCACTGCACTGTAGCCTGGGCGACAGAGCAAGATCCTGTCTCCAAAAAAAAAAAAAGGAAAAACTATTGTTTTTGCCATCGCCACCCAGTAAACATAGTTACTGATATTTTTACTTGCAGTGTAACTTTCTGGCCCCTTCCCATAATCACATGTATTTGGTAAGCTTTTGTTTTCAAAATAAGCCAATAACATTTAATAAGAAACAACAGTATATTTGTCTGTTTTCATGCTGCTGATAAAGCCATACCCGAGACTGGGTAATTTACAAAGAAAAAGAAGTTGAATGGACTCACAGTTCCATGTGGCTGGGGAGGCCTCCCAATCATGGCAGAAGGCGAAAGGCAGGTCTTGCATGGTGGCAGCCAAGAGAGAGAATGAGAACCAAGCAAAAGGGGTTACTCAGGAGCCTGTGGCAGGAGAATGGCGTGAACCCGGGAGGTGGAGCTTGCAGTGAGCGGAGATCGCGCCACTGCACTCCAGCCTGGGTGACAGAGCAAGACTCCGTCTCAAAAAAAAAAAAAACCCATCAGATTGGCTGGGTGCAGTGGCTCACGCCTATAATCCCAGCACTTTGGGAGGCTGAGGTGGGTGGATAGCTTGAGGTTGGGAGCTCGAGACCAGCCTGGCCCACATGGTGAAACCCCATTTTTACACTACACTACATTTTTAGTGTAGATCCCAAATATTTAGCGTAAGTATGGTTTGTGTAATATTTAGGATGCTCATATTTTAAAACGGTGATACTGGAATGCTTCTCCCCACCGTCATGAAGCTGGCACTTTCTTACCAGCTGGGACTTGGGTCCAACGGGGTCTTTTCTGACCATGTTGTGTAACGCTCACAACCTCCCTCAGTGGAGTCATCGCTGGCTTATCACCTGGTTTCATTTTCATCCAGCACTTATCGCTATCCAAAACCATCTTCTTTCTTATGTACATATTTGTTTATTTTTCTGTAAACTTGCATAGAGAAGTACCTATTTATTAATTAATGTTTACTAATTTTCTTATTCCACCAGAAGGCAAGCTCCATGGGAGCAGGGGTTTCCCTTTCTTGATTGATCCTTTCTCCCTACAAAAGACCACACAGCACACAGGGGTCACGGTGCACCTGGGAAGCATCTGGGAAGGTGGACGATTAGAAATGGGCTTTTGGGCTGGGCACGGTGGCTCACGCCTGTAATCCCAGCACTTTGGGAGGCCAAGGTGGGAGGATCACAAGGTCAGGAGATTGAGACCATCCTGGCTAACATGGTGAAACCCTGTCTTTACTAAAAATACAAAAAAAAAATTAGCCGTGCATGGTGGCAGGCGCCTGTAGTCCCAGCTACTCCGGAGGCTGAGGCAGGAGAATGGTGTGAACCCGGAAGGCGGAGCTTGCAATGAGCCAAGATCGCGCCACTGCACTCCAGCCTGGGCGACAGAGCAAGACTCTGTTTCAAAAAAAAAAGAAAAGAAAAGAAAAGAAAAAAGAAATGGGCTTTTGGATCCAAATGATAACAACAGTGACTCCACCGCCTGACATTTTGTCTAACATGATCCCACCCCTGGTCACAATTGATTGGACAGGGATGGGCACTCAAACCATGCTGGACCAATCAGAGCCCCTTCCTCAGTCCCGCTCCTAATTAGTGCAGGGCTGGGCCAATCAGAGTCACTGCTCTGGGAATTTAGAATCTGAAGTGAGCAAGAACAGGAACAGTGGCTCCCCAGTGGCTGAATCTCTAACAGGTAAACTTTGAAAGCTGTTTGGTACATTTTCATTTTTCAGTCTTGAGGACCAGAAAGCAGAGAAAACATCTGTAGAGAGCGAGGCGACACTGACTTCTACCTAACTTCCCCAAAAATATTCACACCCAGGCCTGAGGGAAGAAACAGGAGCTACATACAGAATGGAGATGGAAACACACATGTGTTCACACACGCACACACAACACACGTGCACACACATGTGCACAATGCACATGAGCACACATGCACATACGTATACACACATGCTCATGCAGTGCACACACGCATACCCGCACACGAACACACACGAACACATGCACACACGGGCACACACACATGAACACACATGCACAATGTATACACAGTGCATATGTGCACACATGCACATGAACACACACATGCACACACACGCACATGAACACACACACATGCACACACACGTGCACACACATGTAGTCGTTTTAGGAACTAGACTGCCAGTTTATGAATTTGCAATGATAAATCACTTTCCCGGGATATAAGCGTGATGGTCACATCCTTTCCTCTCAGTCCAGGGGTCGTCCTTGAACTGCACAGCCACAGTGCCAGTCCCAACAGTGCCAAGATTCCCCTCCAAGGAATTCACTCTTCCCGTCTCTCATCTTGAAGCTGCCGATTTGTGCCCCACTAGAGGAGCCAAGACGTCCCTAGAACCTCCTCCTCTCATGCGGACAGCCTGGCAGGCACCCCCCAACTCCGGGCTCTCAGGCCTCGTTTGGATTTATTTTGAAGGAAGCTATTGTTTACTAAATGCTTAATTCTCCCGGAATGGTGCCAAGCGCTTCATACAGCCCTGCCCAATGAGCTGGGCCCTCCCGCACCTTTAGGGAATGAGCTGAGCTATCTGCGGGGGTACTCGAGGTGGGACAGGCACAGTGTGGCAGCGCGTGGATCTGGCTGCTGTTTTCCTTTGTGACTGGCACCTCTCCTCTCCCCCTTCCCTCCTCCCCACCGCTTTGCTCCCCCAGCCTTTCTTCCTTGGCCTTCAAGGCCATACACACTCCCTGGAAAGAGCCCTTGCTGCCACCTCTGTTACTCATCGTCCTTGGCCCGTGCTTGCTCCAAGTGCTGGCACCCCCAGCTCCTAGGAAAACTGCTGGCAGTGTCCCCACCAACGGAAATTTCCTTGGCCTCTCTGTTTGTTTCGCTTTGTTTCTGGCCCTGCCACGGTGTGGCCCAGGCCTCGGGAGCCTGTCTGTGTGCAGTTCTCTGCACCTTGTCCGCTCCCTTCCCTTCGTCTTATGGGCACTGCCCCTCCTTCCATCCAGGGTTTGCTGTGTTTTCATCTCATTCTCTGTTTCTCTCTGAAAACCTTTCTCTAGCCCTACCTGTCCTTCATCTGAGGTTCTCATTCCCTCCATCCCCAGCAGCTCCAGATTCCCAATCTGGGTGAACAAAGAGGACAGAAAATCTGTGAAGGAGAGGACCGAGAACCTGGAAAAATCAGCTGCAGAGACGGGGAGGGGACCGGGAGCAAGTGAAGCTGAGTAGGAGAGAAATAAAAAGGAAACTGGGTTTTGGAGAAAATGACAAATAAAGTGAAACCAGATTGGCCCACGTGGATGGGAGCCAAGGGAGGGATGACCCAGCTCATTTCCATGGCCCGGGAGAGACACCGGATCCTTCTTTCGGTCTGTGGCAGGGAGGGCCTAGATCCTTTGAGCAGATGTGAAGCCGGTGGGGAAGCCAAAAGTGGGGTTGGGACAAGGTCAGAGGCTGACACTGGGAGACAGAGACAGCAGCAGTGGCCTTGGACCTGAGAGCAACCGAGTCAGGGAGGGGCCGAGGTCAGCTCGGGGTCCATGGCCAGGACGCACGTCCAGTGAGGAGGGCGCCCCATCCTCACTCTGGGAACAGCGTCCTCGGCTGTCCTGCGGGAGTGCTGCCTCCCACTCTCCAAGCACACCTTGCTCCAGGCGGGGTCACCCTCGGGCTGGCCAGATGAGCAGCCAAAGCCGGGCCCCTGAGAATCAGCCCTGGGATGGTGGCTGGAACTGCCGGGAAAGAGGTGACGTCGCTCCACTGGAGGCCAAGCCACAGCCTCGGGTGGCCACCATTGCCCCATCAGGGAACCCCCATGAGTGTCCCCTGGGGAAAGCAGAGCCTGGGGGAGCACTCAGAGCCCTGGCAGTCGACAACCCCTGCACCCGGTTGCAGCCCTGACTCTTTAGGATCGGAGCTGGCAAATCTCCCTCTTCTTTGCTTAAGCCAGTTTGAGGTGGGGTTCTGCCAGGTAAACCAAA